>NC_000008.11:143870324-144172402 GCF_000001405.40 Homo sapiens | reverse complement strand
AGTTAAATGTTGCCTAAGGACTTGAAGTCAGCAGACAGAAACGCCTGAATTAAAGGGGCTTGTGAAAGCCAAGGTTCTTGTTACGTAGATGAAGCCTCCAGATAGCAGCCTTCAGAGATAATAGATAGTAAATGTCTCTTTTCAGACCTTAAAGGTGTCAGACTCTTAGTTAAATCTCTTCTGGATCAGAAAAAGACCTGGAAACGGAAGGAGATTCTCCACAGATGCAATTTTCCTCCACAAAATATGGTTTTGCAGGGCCATTTCAAAATATGTCAAGAATAGATTTTGGGGTAAAATACTTTTATTTCCTTCAGGGCCCACTATCTATCACGTGATGCTATGCCAGAGTCCAGTCTGGAATTTTATTGCTACAAGGAGTCTGTTTTGTCAGACTTACGATCTCTGTTTTAACCTAATGTTCGCTGGTTGTCCAAACTCCAAAAGGGAGCAGGTATAACGAGGTATGTCCAATCTCCTTTCTGTCTGTCGTAGCCTGGAAGGTAGTTTTCCACGTCGCTCCCGGGTCTCCTTGGACAAGAGGGTGTTAGAGTAGGCCACTAGGCAGACATGAACAGGGCAGGAGAGGCCCCCAACTAGGAATGTCAGGCGGTCATCAGGTGATGGTCAGGCAGTTGTTTAGGTGTCTCTCTAAAATAATAATTGGTCACTGCCAGCACCAGGGAAAGACAGTCTCACAACAGATGGAAAACACCTAAAGCTTCTGCATGGCGGAATAAGGAAAAGAAAGAAAACACCTAAGGCTGGTGACAGCAGCTTCCTTAGAGGATCTCAGGAGTTGGGTGAATGGGCTCCAGCAAGCACACTGAGGTGAAATGGTGGTGTTTAACCGGTATATGGCCCTCCTCTAGAAACACTTGGCTGGTAAGGGAAGAATGCCTCAAGTGAGCATGAGCGCAACTGAGCACAAACCCTCAAAAGGAGCTTCCGGTAGCGGAACCCACGCAGGTGCCTGGAGGTGGTTCCCAGGAGGGCCCGGGAGCTCCGCGCCCCTCCCCATTCCTGCCCAAGCGTCTCCTCCACCTGCTGGGCACCCGCACCCTTCGTCACAGCCTGTGTCATAAATGGGTAAACGCAGGCCACTCTGTCCCTGCATTCTGTGAGCCACTGCTGCAATTCATCAAGCCTGAGGAGGGGGTCGTGAAAACCCTGATTCATGGCAGGTCGGTCAGAAGCACAGGCCACACCTGGGGCTTGCGACTGGCATCAGAAGCAGGGCTGTTGTGTGGGACTGAGCCCTCCACCTGCCAGATCTGACGCGACCTCCAGGTGGATGGTGTTGGGATTGAATTGAGGACACCCAGCTGGTGTCCACTGCACAACTGACTGCTGTTTACTGGTGGAGAGAAATCCCCCCCATTTGGTCACAGAAATCTTCTGTGTTGATTGTTGCGTGGTGTAAGAGCAGAGAAAACAATGTGAGTTTGAGTTTTTCCACTCACAGAATTTGAAAATCCAGTTTTACTATTCTTGCTTCTCTTCCCCAAATCCCGTCCCTCCCCATGGCCTGACGGCCCCTGAGGAGTCTGTCTGTCCTGTGCAGAACCCTGGCTGACGTGTACAAGACTGGATGTGTCTAAAACCGTGAGGCCCAGCACCCCTTGGTGGCACAGGTGGCATGCTACAAAGTCATGGGCCTCTGGGTTCATAAAAACAGAACCACAGATACAGACGCCAGACAGGAGCTGAAACCTGTAAAGCTCCAGGAGTACCCCAGGACACTGTGCTGACATCTGAGGCCTGGAGGGGGATGTGGCATTGCTTTTCCCTATTGTTCCACATCTTTCTGGAGAGACTCAGTGGGCTTTGAACCATGCCTGCTATCTAGGCAAGACGCAATCAAGCGAAGTGCAAATGCGGTGAGATCCACAAACAAATGGCAGAAACTGGAGGCTGTGACCCAAACCTCCTGGAGGCGGTCTGCAGGAGGAGACGACAGAAGAGGACTAGGGCAGGGAAAGTCCCTGGGAAGGGTCACAGCCCACAGGGTCAGTGCTTCCAGCTCAGCATGTGTATAATATGTAAATATGCAACTGTGAAGGCAGACTTTTTAAAAATTCAGTTAAAAAAATGTAAAGGTTAGAAAAGGGGTAAAATCAGAAACAAAGTAGGACAAGCATGGAGTGGCTGGGGCTCAGAGGAGGACACCCCAGAACGGAGGCTCAGGAGCAAAGTCCTTCTCAGATCTGCTCTGCCCTCCTCTCTCTCCTCCTCATTCTCCCCCAAGGCAGCCATAAAACCTGTAAATATTGGCCAGGTAGTGGCTCACGCCTGTAATCCCAGCACTCTGGGAGGCCGAGGCTGGCAGATCACTTGAGGTCAGGAGTTCGAGACCAACATGGGCAACATGGTGAAACCCCATCTCTACTAAAACACAAAAATTAGCCGGGCATGGTGGCAGGCACCTGTAATCCCAGCTACTTGGGAGGCTGAGGCAGGAGAATTGCTTGAACTCAGGAGGTGGAGGTTGCAGTGAGCCGAGATCGTGCCACTGCACTCCAGCCTGGGCGACAGAGCCAAATTCCATCTCAAAAAACATATATAAATAAATAATAAAAATAAAAATACAAAATTAGCCGTGTGTGGTGGTGCACACCTGTAGTCCCAGCTACTCAGGAGGCTGAGACAGGAGAATCGCTTGAACCCGGGAGGTGGAGGTTGCAGTGAGCCGAGATCACGCCACTGCACTCCAGCCTGGGTGACAGAGCCAAATTCCATCTCAAAAAACATATATAAATAAATAATAAAAATAAAAATACAAAATTAGCCGTGTGTGGTGGTGCACACCTGTAGTCCCAGCTACTCAGGAGGCTGAGACAGGAGAATCGCTTGAACCCGGGAGGTGGACGTTGCAGTGAGCCGAGATGGTCCACTGCACTCCAGCCCGGGCAACAGAGTGAGACTCCATCTCAAAAAAAAAAAATAACAATAATGAATAAATAAATTTATTAAAAATAAAAATATAAATAAACAGCTAAGACAGCTGACAGAGGAAGAAAGGAGAGACCCTGCCCCAGGAAGTGCCGCCAGGCCACGGCAGTGGGCAGGTATTTTCATGGAACTGGGTCATCTTCCCCAGGAGATGGTAGCTGATAAGAAATACACTGTATAGAGGTCCCTTTTTACATACCAAAATGTTAAATAAAACAAAAAGAATAATGGCCTTTTGATACTGCAAAAGCCTCTTCCCCTTCCCAGAACAGCCCAAACCACACACACAGAGAAAAACTAGAAAGCGTGCATAACAGTTTCAAACAATGCAGTGCTAACGCTGTCAGCGGTGACAGAGAACCACTGAACCAAGATCAGGCGAGGCCGAAATCCTGGGAGGTGAGAGCCAGCCGGGCCACGTCTGTCCTAGGGTTCGGATCACTGATTTGGCATCCCTGTGAGGCTGAAGAGAGAGTTCCCAAGAGGCTCTTGTAGCTCTCCTGAGTGGGAGGACAGGACATTCCAGCACAGCAAGGCAAGGCCCTGGCCCCTCCTGGGCAGCCCCTCCCTGAGGGTGCAGGAAGACCAGCAGCGCCGGGCCCTTGGGGACTCTCTGAGCACTTATCAGTGTTTCTGGCCCCTTGGGTTGATGAGATTCTCTCAGAAACAACCTTCTGTCCCTCAGGCAGGGACCATGGTCTGTCCCTCAGGCACTAGGCACACAGCCCGGCCATTAGGCCTCCACTTAGTGAGTAAAAGGGGCAGCAAAGAGCCTCGACCAGGAGGGTTGAACAGTGCCGTGGTGGGGGGATGTGGCCATACCCCACTCATGATGAGACAAGGCAGGTTACCCACCCTGACATAGGCACGTGTGGAGGGGGTTAGACATGTGGCCACCCCTGCGTAACACCCGACCCACTGCTCCTGGCTGGACTGTCTCTTCCCAAACCAAGTAAGCCCCAACCGACCATGGCCCTGACAACATCATCCCCACCAAGGAGCACACATACCTTGTCATGCTGCCGCAGATACTCCTCGCAGGCACGGAGCGTCTCCACCGGCCGCGCCTCCCCGAGGGAGCACAGGGCACTGCAGACCTGCTCCTGCACCAGGGGGTCCTTATCGGTGATGGCGTCCAGCAGGGTGGAGGCCAGCTCTGCAGCGACAAAGCCTGGTTAGCATGCTCAGGCCCAAGCGCCCTCTCCTATCACACCTCGGCTGCCACTCCTGCAGTGGACACACCTGCAGCCTCTGAGGATCACAGACACAGAGCAGGAGAGGGCACAGCTGCTTTCTCTCTTGTATAACCTCCCTCCACCTGAGCTGCTGCAGGGGTCAGGTGCACTGCGGTGACAGGCTGTGGAGCTGTAGGGCTCACATTCCAGCTGCCCCTGAGGAGCTGCCTGGCCAGGACACACTATTTAGCCCATCAGGGTTGAGCGACACAGAGGACATAGCCTGCCTCCCACACAGGCAGGCATGAGGCTGTTCTGGTCCTGATCACATGGCCTGAGCTTCCTTGAAGACATTGGCTCACTCACCAGCCAGACCCTTCAGGAAGGCTCCCCGAGGGTCTATGCCCAGGCAGCCTGGGGTTCCCCATGGCCCCATTGCCCACACATAGCCCTTGACAGGCAGGTGCTGGGCAGAGGGTCCAAGACCCCAGCAGTGAGAAATACATGAAGGAATAAAGACATAGCCTCATCCTATGGCTCTCAGTCCCCATGGACCACAGCTGAATCAAGAAAATCATTGAATAAATGTAGTGCTCTACAGGCAAGGCCAGGTGGTTCCCTGTACATGGGAAAGGGCAGGCCAAGCATCCCAGGGACTTGTGCCAACTGGCCGCTCCACCCCGACAACCAGCCACTCCACCCCAACAACCAGTCACTCCACCCAACAACTGGCCACTCCACCCCACAACCGGCCACTCCACCCCAACAACCGGCCACTCTACCCAACAACCGGCCACTCCACCCCAACTGGCCACTCCACCACAACAACCGGCCACTCCACCCAACAACCGGCCACTCCACCCCAACAACCGGCCACTCCACCCCACAACCGGCCACTCCACCCCACATCTGGCCACTCCACCCCACAACCGGCCACTCCACCCCAACAACCGGCCACTCTACCCAACAACCGGCCACTCCACCCCAACCGGCCACTCCACCCAACAACCGGCCACTCCACCCCAACAACCGGCCACTCCACCCCACAACCGGCCACTCCACCCCACATCTGGCCACTCCACCCCAACAACCGGCCACTCCACCCCAACAAGACCCTCCAGGCTGGTTTGTGGATGTCCCCTCTCTTTTGCTCCAGCAGCACCACACCCAGGCTGCCAACGAGGACATCCCAGGAGGCACCTGCTGGGGCAGAGGAACACACAGGCATCAGTGCGTGACTCAGTCTCCCTCTGGGAAGATATTCCTTCCTGAGCAGGAAGCTGGACTTTTAACAGCCCTCCATTTCCAAAGTCCAGTAGTTAGACAAACAGGCTGATCCAAATCAATGAGATCTGACTGTACCTAAGGCCACATTCAGCCAGTAAAGCAAACCCGGCCCGTACTGAACTGGGTCTGCATCTGCTTTTCCGGCTGTGGCCGTTCACGTGTGGAAGCACCAGGTCTCACGTGCTCTGGGAGCCTGCCCTCTGAGGGCAGTGAGGCTAGTCCCCCCTCCCTCGACCCCACCTCCTCACTGCTTTGCAGTGCCCTGGCTGGGCGGCGCCCCAGCCCCACTTGTACTCACAGACGCTTCTCACCACCCCACCTCCACCCATCAACACCCCAGTGCCATTCCGGGCCTCTCGGTGTCCCTCAAGCTCAAGACATGGCACCCAACAGTGGCACTTATAGAGCCCTGAGGTGTGGCTCATCCCTTGGACAGAGCTCTAGGGAGCAGGGACAAGTGGGCAGAGCTTCACCCATCCTGGCCCCGCACACAGTCAGCCTTAAGGGAGCCACAGCCTCAGCTGGGGACGCGGGGGCAGCCCGAGCGGACCCCAGAGCTGAACCGGGGCCTGCGTGCTCAGGTGCAGAGGCTCGGCCACCCAGGGAGCCTCCCGCTCCGAGCAGGCTGAACTGAGCCTCTGGGCAAATCTGTGCTCTCTACTACACCGGCAATGCTGCTACAACTTCCACGCCACGTCCCTCCAAAATCCATATGTTGGAACTTAACCCCCAATGTGATGGCATTAAGAGTGGGGCCTTTGGGCTGCACCTTCATGGATGGGATCAGAGCCTTATAAAAATGCTTGATGGGGTCGGGCGCAGTGGCTCACGCCTGTAATCCTAGCACTTTGGGAGACCAAGGTGGGTGGATCCCCTGAGGTCAGGAGTTCAAGACCAGTCTGGCCAACATGGTGAAACCATATCTCTACTAAAAATATAAAAATTAGCCAGGTGTGATGGCAGGTACCTATAGTCCCAGCTACTCAGGAGGCTGAGGCAGGAGAATTGCTTGAACCTCAGAGGCAGAGATTGCATGAGGCAAGATCACGCCACTGCACTCCAGCCTGGGTAACAGACAGAGACTCCATCTCGATGGGGAAAAAATAAATGCCTGATGGCCGGGCACAGTGGCTCCTGCTGATAATCCCAGCACTTTGGGAGGCCGATCACTTAAGTCCAGGAGTTTGAGACCAGCCTGGCCAACATGGTGAAACCCCGTCTCTACAAAAAAAAAAAAAAAAATACAAAAATTACGGCGTAGTGGCATGCACCTGTAGTCCCAGCTACTCAGGAGGCTGAGGTGGGAGGATCCCTTGAGGACAGGAGGCAGAGGTTGCAATGAGCTGAGAGAGCACCACCACACTCCAGCATAAGCGACACAACAAGACCCAGTCTCAAAAACACACACAAAAAAGATTGAGGCCCTGCATAGTGGCTCACGCTATAGTCCCAGTGCTTTGTGAAGCCGAGGTAGGAGGATCATTTGAAGGCAAGCGTTCAAGACCACCCTGAGCAACATAGCGAGACCTCATCTCTACAAAAACTAATTTTAAAAAATAGGCTGGGTGTGGGCTGTGCGCGGTGGCTCACGCCTGTAATCTCAGCACTTTAGGAGGCCGAGGTAGATGGATCACCTGAGGTCAGGAGTTTGAGACCAGCCTGGCAAACCTGGTGAAACCCCATCTCTACTAAAAATACAAAAATTAGTCGGACATGGTGGCGGGCACCTGTAATCCCAGCTGCTCTGGAGGCTGAGGCAGGGAGAATCACTTGAATCCAGGAGGTGGAGGTTGCAGTGAGCTGAGATCCACTGCACTCCAGCCTCTGCGACAGAGTGAGACTCCATCTCAAAAAAAAAAAAAATTAGCTGGGTGTGATGGCACATGCCTGTAATCTCAGCTACTTGGGAGGCTGAGGTGGGAGGATGGCTTGAGCCCAGGAGGTCACTGCACTCTAGCCTGGACAACAGAGTGAGACCCTGCCTTAAAAAACAAACAAACAAACAAAGGCTTGAAGGACATCCTAGTCCCTTCAGCCCCTCCAGTTATGAGATGACACAGCAAGAGACTCCATCTATGAGTCAGAAAACAGCCCTCACAGACATTGAATGTGCCGGTGCCTTTATCTGGGACTTCCCAACTGCCAGTACTGTGAGAAATACATTTCTATTATTCATTAATTACCCAATCTAAGATATTTTGTTACAGCAGCCTGAACAGCCTTTGAAAACTGCTAATTTTTTTTTTCTGATGAAAACCTGGAGAGAGCATGTTCATTCAACAGTCAGTCCAGGCCGGGCGCAGTGGCTCATGCCTATAATCCCAGCACTTTGGGAGGCTGAGGAGGGTGGATCACTTGAGCCCAGGAGTTCAAGAGCAGCCTGGCCAACATGACAAAATCTCATCTCTATGAAAAATACTTCTGGGCATAGTGGCATGCACCTGTAGGCCCAGCTACTTGGGAGGCTGAGGTAGGAGGATCACCTGAGCTCAGGAGTTTGAGGCTGCAGTGAGCCATGATTGCACCACTGCACTCCACCCTGGGTGATAGTGGGAGACCCTGTCTTTTTTTTTTTTTTTTTGGGGGGACCGAGTCTCACTCCATCGCCCAGACTGGAGTGCAGTGGCACGATCTCGGCTCACTGCAACCTCCGCCTCCCGAGTTCAAGCGATTCTCCTGTCTCAGCCTCCCGAGTAGCTGGGACTACAGGCAACTGCCACCACACCTGGCTAATTTTTGTATTTTTAGGAGAGACGGGGTTTCACCATGTTGGTCAGGCTGGTCTCAAACTCCTGACCTCAAGTGATCCGCCTGCCTTGGCCTCCCAAAGTGCTGGGATTACAGGCGTGAGCCACTGTGCCCAGCCGACCCTGTCTTAAAAAAAAAAAAAAAAAAGTAAAACAAACCTTCAAATCACATCCTGGATGCCATGTGCTTTTCTGGAGTCCCAAACTGAAGGCTCGTGTGGGAGAAGTCTACACCTGCCACATCACCCAACCTGCCCAGAACCCACTCAGGCTCCCGAGTATAGGGTGGAAACTCTAGGCACCATTGGAGCTGGTAAGAGCCTTGGCCTGCCCTGACCACCCAGAGGCAAGAGAGGCCTCACACCCGGCCACTCCCAATCCCCATGCACTCACTCTTCATGGAGGACTCAGTCATGTCTGTGGTTTCAGCTTCCTTCACCCAGTGTGAACATGGACAACTTCTTCTCCCATCTGGAATAACCAAAATCACAAGATTTAATTCATAAGCCTCTACGATATCTGAGTTCACAGGCAATTACCATTTCCATGTAAAATACACAATTTAAATGAATTTATTCTGGGGGAAATATCTCCGTCACATTTTCTTTGAGCCACTCAGGGAGGGCAAAAGGCATCATGATCCTCAACAGTTTCCAGCTCTCCTCCATCCCTGAGCACCCATCAGTCCCTACCAGCACCTCACTGGCCTGCACAGGCTTGTCCACAGCTGGCCCACAGTGTCACCTCGTCACCATCAGCCCCAGCAGGAGTGGATGCACCTCCACCTACAGCATCCTCCTCCACACTGTGAGGAACTGAGCACGGGCACCACAGCTTTCACACATCACATGCCATGCGCCACTGCATGCAACAATGGTCCCTAAGAATCGAGTCCAGGAAGCGTCCAAGTTCCCTCTGCCTCTTCACCACGGACACACATTCAAGTCTTGTGTCACGCTTTCTGAGGACCTACGTCATCAGAGGGGCTGCAGGCCCACCATAAGCATGGCAGCCAGCATCCTAACACTCACATTCTCTGTTCTCTGAGTCTCCCACCAGCCCCTTAATTCCCTTGATCACCTCCCATCCACCATTCCTTGCTAACATACTCCAGAGAAAAATGAAGGAGAGACACCATGACCCATCCCTGACCAGCCAGGACACCTCCCTGCGCTGTGCACACATGGGTTGGAGGCGAAGTAAGAAATCATAGAAATCTTGGCCAAGAGCGATGGCTCATGCCTGTAATCCAGCACTTTGGGAGGCCAAGGTGGGTGGATTGTTTGAGGTCAGGAGTTCGAGACCAGCCTGGCCAATATGATGAAACTCTGTCTCTACTAAAAACACAAAAATTAGCCGGTCGTGGTGGCAGGCACCTTTAGTCCTAGCTACTCAGGGAGCTGAGGCATGAGAATCACTTGAACCTGGGAAGCGGAGGTTGTAGTGAGCCAAGGACACACCACTGCACTGCAGCCTGAGCGACAGAGTGAGACTCTGTCTCAGAGAAAAAAAAAAACAAAAGAAAGAAAGAAAAAAGACATCATGGGCCGGGTGCAGTGGCTCATGCCTGTAATTCCAGCACTTTGGGAGGCTGAGGCAGGTGGACCACTTGAGGCCAGGAGTTTGAGACCAGCCTGGCCAACATGGTGACACACCATCTCTACTAAAAATACAAAAAAATTAGCCAGTCTGGTGGCTCATGCCTGTAATCCCAGCTACTCAGGAGGCTGAGGTGGGAGAATTGCTTGAACCTGGTAGGCGGAGGTTACAGTGAACCGAGATTGCACCACTGCACTACACTCCAGCCTGGGCAACAGAGCGAGCCCTGTCTCAAAAAAAAAGAAAAGAAAAACAGGGCCGGGCGCAGTGGCTCATATCTGTAATCCCAGCACTTTGGGATGCTGAGGCGGGCGGATCATCTGAGGTCAGGATTTCAAGACCAGCCTGGCTAACATGGTAAAATCCAGTCTGTACTAAAAAAATACAGAAATTAGCTGGGTGTGGTGGCGCGTGCCTGTAATCCCAGCTACTCAGGAGGCTGAGGCAGAAGAATCACTTGCACCCGGGAGGTGGAGGTCGCAGTGAGCTGAGATCGTGCCACTGCACTCCAGCCTGGGCGACAGAGTGAGACTCTGTCTTAAAAAAAAAAAAAAAAAAGAAAAGAAAAACAAAAAAACATATTCCATAAAGATCCCAAGCTGTGGAAGAGTTAAGAGCTGAAGAGGGCAGTGGCTCCCAGGCAGGGCAGAAAACCTGTGAAAGCGCCCACAGCACATACTTCCCAGAGACAAGGGCACGCCTGACGTGGAGCATCACAAGCCAGAGTTCCCAGGCCTGAGCTGAGCTGGGAGGCGGAGAAGCTGGGCTGAGTGGCCGGGCTCTGGGACCAGAGGCTGTGCCCTGCGGGTAGCCAGCACTGCCCAGCTCCGTCGTCCAGGAAGAAACGGGCGGAACCAACGCCAGTCCACGACCGTGCAGCACCCCTTCCAGTGCAGCAGCCACGCTCACCCAACTCAAACAGGAGCTAACAAAACAAATGGGCACATGGACTTGGACTTGCCTGCTCCCGGCCCAGGCGAGAATCACAGGACAACTAAAAAACTGGACGAGACACAAGAAACCACTGTTTCTCAGGACAATGGACATCAGAAAATGAAGGACTGTGCGGCCTGAGAGGTAGGAAATGAGGCGGAGCCCTAAGAGCCCAGCTCACTGCCTGGAGAGAGGACCCAGTCCTAGGGCCCAGCAAAACACCTAAGCTGATGAGACAGAACGGGGAGTGCCGGCCGATACCAAGGCGGCCGGAGTCTGCAGTCTCTCATACCAGAGAAAGCGCTGCCCAGAGAGAACTTTAGAGACCTGCAGCGGGTTCCCTGGGCACTCAGCAAGTTACTGGTCAGCAGAATAATAGCCCCAAAGCTTCCCACACCCTAATCCCCAGAACCTGTGTGTATGAACCCTTACACAGCAAAGGGGATTCAGTAGATGAGATTAAGGGTACAGGCCCTGAGACAGGGAGATTATCCTGGATTACCTGGGTGAGACCAAACTAATCACATGAGTCCTTAAAAGCACAGAAGCTTTCCCAGGTGCGTCAAAGAGAAGAGACAGAAGAGCGGGGAGGAGAAATTTGAAGCGTGAGAAGGACTCACCCCACAACTGCTGGCTTGGAGGATGCAGGAGGGAGGCTCTGAGACAAGGAATGCAGGTGGCCTGGAGAAGCTGCGAATGGCCCTCAGCTGGCGGCTGACAAGAAAACAGGAGCTTCCGTCCTACAGATGCAAAGAACCAAATTCTGCCAGGAACCTGAGACAGCAGAAGCAATCCTTCCCAGGGGCACCAGGAAGGGAAGCAGCCCCCGGCGCCTGGGTTCTGGCTGGTGAGACTTGGTAGACTTCTGACTCCAAAAACTTTATGGTAATAAATTTGTCTGGTGCCTGGGTTCTAGCCGGTGGGACCCTTGTAGACTTCTGACTCCAAGAACTTTATGGTAATAAATTTGTCTGGTGCCTGGGTTCTAGCCAGTGGGACCCTTGGTAGACTTCTGACTCCAAGAACTTTATGGTAATAAATTTGTCTGGTGCCTGGGTTCTAGCCGGTGGGACCCTTGGTAGACTTCTGACTCCAAGAACTTTATGGTAATAAATTTGTCTGGTGCCTGGGTTCTAGCCGGTGGGACCCTTGGTAGACTTCTGACTCCAAAAACTTTATGGTAATAAATTTGTGTTGCTTAAGGCACTAAGTTTGTGATAATGCATTGCATCAGCATTAGAAAACTAAGACAAATGCCTTGTAGGAGAACAAACTGTCCAAAGCTGCAGAAAGAGCCACACAAAGGGATTAGGAGAAGCAACATCCAGGGCTTCCACAGGTCCAGGAATGGGGCCTGCTCCCAGCAGCCGGAGTGGAAAGTGTGGAAAGCGTCATGACTCATGGGGCACCAGGCAGAGCTCAGGATTCCACCTCAGTAAACAACCAAATCAGTCCTAGACTAAATGTCATTCTGGTCTCACCTAACAAAGCTAAAAGAAAGGTCTGACAAGATCAAACTGTTCCCTAGTAACTTAGCCAGCTCCCAGCACAAAGCTCATGAATACTAACAGAAACACAAAAATATCCAGCAACACCAAGCAAAAGCAACGCCTGGCATCCAATCAAAAATTACCAGGCGTGGGCCGGGCGCGGTGGCTCACGCCTGTAATCCCAGCACTTTGGGAGGCCGAGGCGGGTGGATCATGAGCTCAGGAGATCAAGACCATCCTGGCTAACACGGTGAAACCCTGTCTCTACTAAAAAATACAATAAATTAGACGGGGTGTGGTGGCGGGCCCCTGTAGTCCCAGCTACTCAGGAGGCTGAGGCAGGAGAATGGCGTGAACCCGGGAGGCGGAGCTTGCAGTGAGCCAAGATCGCACCACTGCACTCCAGCCTGGGCGACAAAGCGAGACTCCGTCTCAAAAAAAAAAAAAAAAAAAATTACCAGGCGTACAAAGAAGCAAGAAAATCCAACCCATTGTGAGGATGAACCAACCAATACAAACTGACCCAGAAATAACACAAAGGAAAGAGTTCAGAGACACAGACATTAGTTATTAAAACTATTTCATATGTTTGAGAAACTACAGGAAAGATTAAATATGTTAACACTACGAGGTTAAAAGCAAAAGGATGGGCAAAGAAAAACATGGCTGGCATTAGTTACAAGAAAGCTGGAGTCACATTAGACAAACTAGATTTCAGAAATATTAAGTATCCTAAACATTTTTACCTGGTAACAGAGCTTCAAAATACACAAAGCCAAAACTAATAAAAATGCAAGGAACAATAGACCAATCTAAATTGCAGTATAGATTTCAACATTTCTCTCTCTCTCCTTTCTTTTTGACACGGAGTTTCGCTTTTGTCGCCCAGGCTGGAGTACAATGGCAGGATCTCGGCTCACTACAACCTCCGCCTTCCGGGTTTAAGTGATTCTCCTGCCTCAGCCTCCCCAGGAGCTGGGACTACAGAAACGGGCCACCATACCTGGCTAATTTTTGTATTTTTAGTAGAGATGGGGTTTCACCACATTGGCCAGGCTGGTCTCGAACTCCTGACCTCAGGTGATCCACCCACCTCAGCCTCCCAAAGTGCTGGGATTACAGGCGTGAGCCACTGTGCCCGGCCCTCTGTCTCTGTTAGAACAAGTGAACAGAAAATTCGGCCAGGCAGAGTGGCTCATACCTGTAATCTTGGCACTTTGGGAGGCTACGAGGCAGTTTGAATGCTTGAGCTCAGGAGTTCAAAACCAGCCTGGGTAACACAGCGAAGCCCTGTCTCTACAAAAAATACAAAAACTAGCTGGGCGTGGTGGCGTGCGCCTGTAGTCCCAGCTACTCGGGAGGCAGGAGGATCACTTGAGCCCAGGAGGTCAATGCTGCAGTGAGCAGAGATCACACCACTGTGCTCCAGCCTCAGCGACAGGAGTGAGACCCTGTCGCTAAAAATTAAAAAAAAAAAAGTGTAAAAGAAGTCAATGCATACAAAGTATGTTCTCTGACCACAGTGGAATTAAATATATCAATAAGAGAAAGATATCTGAGAAATCCCCAGGAGTTTCAAAACTATTTAATATGCTTTGAAATAACGCATGGGTCTAAAAAGGAATCAAAAGTGAAATTACAAAACACACTGAAGTGAATGAAAATGAAAAGACATATCAAAATTTGTGGAAACTTATAGCACTAAATGTCTTTTTAGAAAAGAAGAATGATTAAAGTATACAGAGAATGTGCAGGAAAAAAATAATGAGTTCAACTTCTACCTTAAGAAACTAGAGGCCAGGTGAGGTGGCTCATGCCTGTAATCCTAGCACTTTGGGAGGCCAAGGTGGGTGGATCACTTGAGGTCAGTTCGAGACCAGCCTGACCAACACAGTGAAACCCCATCTCTACTAAAAATAGAAAAATTGGCCAGGCGTGGTGGCTCACATCTGTAATCCCAGCACTTTGGGAGGCTGAAGTACGTGGATCACCTGAGTTCAGGAGTTCGAGACCAGCCCGGCCAGTATGGTGAAACCCGAACCCTACTAAAAATACAAAAATTAGCTGGGCATGGTGGTATGCACCTGTAGTCCCAGCTACTTGGGAGGCTGAGACAGGAGAATTGCTTGAACCCAGGGGGCGGAGTTTGCAGTGAGCCAAGATAGCACCACTGCACTCCAACCTGGGCGACAGAGCCAGACTCCATCTCAAAAAAAAAAAAAAAAAAAAAGAAAGAAATAGATGGCCAGGCGCAGTGGCTCATGCCTGTAATCCCAGCACTTTGGGAGGCCAAGGCAGGTGGATCACTCAAGCTCAGGAGTTCAAGACCACCTGGGCAACATGGCAAAACCCCATCTCTACCAAAAGTACAAAAATCAGCTGGGCATGGTGGCACCCACCTGTAGTCCCAGCTACTCAGGAGGCTGAGGTGGAAGGACCACGTGAGCCTGGGAAACAGAGGTAGCAGTGAGCCAAGACTGCACCACTGCACTCCAGCCTGGGTGACAAAGCAACCCCTTCTCAAAAAAAAAAAAAAAAAAAAGAAAGAAAGAAAGAAAAAGAAATAGGCAAATCCCTTAAAAGACACAAGCTACAAGCTATCAAACCTCACTCACAAAGAGATAACCTAAATAGTCCCATATCTAAAAAGAAATCGAACTCATAGTAAAAAACCTTCCCATAAAACCTAGATGGTTTCCCTGGGGAATTCTACCAAACATGGAAGGAAGAAATAATACCAACTATACACAAATTCTTCCTGAAAAAATTAAAAAGAAAAGACTACTTCCCAACTAATTTTCTGAGCATTACTCTCATAACAAAACCAAAGACCTTGTAAGAAAGCTATACAGACTCACGCCTGTAATCCCAGCACTTTGGGAGGCCAAGGCGGGTGGATAACTTGAGGTCAGGAGTTTGAGACCAGCCTGGCCAACATGGTGAAGCCCTGTCTATACTAAAAATACAAAAATTAGCTGTACATGGTGGCTCAAGCCAGCACTTTGGGAGGCTGAGGCAGGCGGATCATAAGGTCAGGAGTTCGAGACCAGCCTGACCAACATGGTGAAACCCCTTCTCTACTAAAAATACAAAAAAATTAGCTGGACGTGGTGGCGCACGCCTGTAATCCCGGCTACTCAGGAGGCTGAGGCAGTAGAATCCCTTGAATGCGGGAGGCGGAGGTTGCAGTGAGCCGAGATCACGCCACTGCGCTCCAGCCTGGGCAACACAGTGAGACTCTGTCTAAAAATAATAATACTAATACAAAAATTAGCCAGGCGTGGTGGTGTGCGCCTGTAATCCCAGCTACTCAGGAGGCTGAGGCAAGAGAATTGCTTGAACCCAGGAAGCAGAGTTTGCAATGAGCCGAGATAGCACCATTGCACTCAAGCCTGGGGACAGAATGAGACTCTGTCTCAAGAAAAAAAAAAAAAAAAAAGAAATTAAACTACAAAGCAATATTCCTTATGGACACAGATGTGCAAATTCTTTTTTTTTTTTTTTTTTTTTTGAGACAGAGTCTTGCTCTGTCACCCAGGCTGGAGTGCAATGGTGCAATCTCGGCTCACTGCAACCTCTGCCTCCCACATTCAAGCGATTCTTCTGCCTCAGCCTCCTGAGTAGATGGGACTACAGGCACACACCATCACGCCTGGCTAATTTTTGTATTTTTTTAGGAGAGATGGTGTTTCACCATGTTGGCCAGGCTGGTCTCAAACCCCTGAGCTCAGGCAATCCGCCGGCCTCGGCCTCCCAAAGTGCTGGGATTATAGGTGTGAGCCACCGTGCCCAGCTGGTTTTAATATTTTTAAATTCAGCTGATATAATTCACATCACGATCATCTCAATAAATGCAGAAAAAGCATTTGTCACAATCCAACGTCCACTTATGATAAAAATTCTCAAGAAGAGAAGGGAACTACCTTAACTAGGAAGAGAAGGAAACCTGCTCAACTTTTTTTTTTTTTTTTTTTTTTTCTTTGAGACGGAGTTTCACTCTTGTTGCCCAGGCTGGAGTGCAATGGCGCAGTCTCGGCTCACCACAACCTCCACCTCCCGGGTTCAAGTGATTCTCCTGCCTCAGCCTCCAGAGTAGCTGGGATTACAGACATGCGCCCCACGCCCAGCTAATTTTGTATTTTTAGTACAGGCGGAGTTTCTCCATGTTGGTCAGGCTGGTTGCGAACTCCCAACCTCAGGTGATCCACCCGCCTCGGCCTCCCAACATGTTGGGATTACAGGCGTGAGCCACCGCGCCCGGCCTCAACTTGTTACTTAAGAAAAACTGGCCGGGTGCAGTGGCTCAGGCCTGTAATCCCAGCACTCCGGGAGGCTGAGGCAGATGGATCACTTGAGGTCACGAGTTCGAGACCAGTGTGGCCAACATGTTGAAACCCTGTCTCTACTAAAAATACAAAAATTAGCCTGAGTGGTGGTGGGCGCCTGTAGTCCCAGCTACTCAGGAGGCTGAGGCAGGAGAATCACTTGAACCCAGGAAGCAGGGGTTGCAGTGAGCTGAGATCGTGCATTCTGGCCTGGGTGACAAAGCAAGACTCCATCTCAAAAAAAAAAAAAAAAAAAGAAAAACACCTAAGAAAAACCTGTAATTAACATCATACAGTTGGTCCTTGAACAACACAAGTTTCAACTGCATGGGTTCACTTATACACAGTTTTGTGTCAATAAATATATTGGAAAACTTTTTGGAGATTTGTGACACGTTGGAAAAACTTATGGACAAACGTAGTCTAGAGATATCAAAAAAATTTAAGAAAATGTGAAATATGTCATGAATGCATAAAATATATGTAGACACTAGTCTATTTTATCATTTACTACCATGAAATATACACAAATCTGTTGTAAGAAGTTAAAATTTATCAAAATATATATGCACACTTACAGACCCTACATGCTGCCATCTGCAGTCAAGAAAAATCTAAACAAACATAAAGACGCAGTATTGAGAGGCCGGGTGCGGTGGCTCACACCTGTAATCCCAGCACTTTGGGAGGCTGAAGCAGGCGCATTAACTGAGGTCAGGAGTTCGAGACCAGCCTGACCAACATGGAGGAACCCTGTGTCTACTAAAAATACAAAATTAGGCCGGGCGTGGTGGCTCATGCCTGTAATCCCAGCACTTTAGGACGCCGAGGTGGGTGGATCACGAGGTCAGGAGTTCAAGACCAGCCTGGCTAGCATGGTGAAACCCCATCTCTGCTAAAAATACAAAAATTAGCCAGGCATGGTGGCGGGTGCCTGCAATCCCAGCTACTCGGGAGGCTGAGGCAGAGAATTGCTTGAACCCAGGAGGCAGAGGTTGCAGTGAGCTGAGATTGCACCACTGCGCTCCAGCCTGGGCCACAGAGCAAGCCATCTTAAAAAAAAGTAGCTGGGCGTGGTAGCGCATGCCTGTAATCCCAGCTACTTGGGAGGCTGAGGCAGAATTGCTTGAACCCAGGAGGCGGAGGTTGCAGTAAGCTGAGATCATGCCATTGTACACCAGCCTGGGTGACAAGAGTGAAACTCTGTCTCAAAAAAAAAAAAAAAAAAAGATGCAGTATTGAATCACAGCTACACAGAATTAAGTGTAGCACATACTGAACTACTGTGATAATTCCAAAGCACGTCTCATTGCTACTGCAGTGAGCTCAGGCAGTGAGTGTATCTGCTTAACACACCGTGGGACGCCATCACCCCCACATGAGCAGTTTGCAGTAAAACCAGTCGCCCGTGGTTCTCCCACATTCTTCATCAGGTTTAGTCAGTGCCTTGAATGACACCATGGGACCCATACAAAGTGCCAGTAGTGGTGCTGGAAGTGCTCCCCAGAAGCAGAAGAAAGCCATGACTTTATAAGAACAAGTTGAGCTGCCTAGTTTGTACCATAGACTGAGGTCTATAGCTGCGGATCACTTGAGGTCAAGAGTTTGAGACCAGCCTGACCAACATGGTAAAACCTTGTCTCTACTTAAAAAATTTTTAAAAATTAGCCGGCGTGGTGGCACGTGCCTGTAATCCCAGCTACTCGGAAGGCTGAGGCAGGAGAATGGCTTGAACCCAGGAGGTGGAGATTACAGTGAGCCGAGATCTTGCCACTGCACTCCAGCCTGGGCAACAGAGCCAGGCTCCATCTCAAAAAAAAATAAAAATAAAAATAGGGTGGACGCTTTGGCTCACGCCCGTAGTCCCAGCACTTGGGGAGGCCAAGGTGGGCGGATCACGAGGTCAAGAGATCGAGACCATCCTGGCTAACACGGTGAAACCCCATCTCTACTAAAAATACAAAATATTAGCCAGGTGTGGTGGTGGGCGCCTGTAGTCCTGGCTACTCGGGAAGCTGAGGGAGAAGAACCGCTTGAACCCAGGAGGAAGAGGTTGCAGTGAGCCAAGATCGTGCCACTGCACTCCAGCCTGGGCGATGGAGCAAAACTCTGTCTCAAAAAATAAAAAATAAAATAAAAACAGAACTGCCATATCATCCAATGATCCTGAGTACGCATCCAGAGGAAATGAAATTAGGATCTCAAAAAAGACATCTGCACTGCCATGGGTACTGCAGCACCATTCACAAAAGCCAAGATATGGAATCAGTGTAAGTGTGCACCAATGGATGAATGAATAAAGAAAATGTGGCATATATTTAAAGAAAGAACAAAATAAAAATAAAACAAAGAAAATGTGGTATATCACAATGGAGTATTATTCAGTCTTAAAAAAGGAGGCTGGGCGCAGTGGCTCACACCTGTAATCCCAGCACTTTGGGAGGCCGAAGCAGGTGGATCACCTGAGGTCAGGAGTTCGAGACCAGACTGGCCAACATGGTGAAACGCCATCTCTACTAAAAATACAAAAATTAGCTGGGCGTGGTGGTGGGTGCCTGTAATCCCAACTACTCAGGAGGCTGAGGCAAGTGAATTGCTTGAACCCAGGAGGCGGAGGTTGCAGTGAGCCGAGATCGAGCCATTACACTTCAGCCTGGGCAACAAGAGTGAAACTCCATCTCAAAAAAAAAAAAGAAGGAATTCCTGTCATTTGCGAGAAATGGGATGTACTGAAGGACATTACGTAAAGTAAAATAAGCCAGGAACAGAAAGACGACCACGTGATCTCACACGTGGAATCCCAACTTCTATGAAGAGTTGAACTCCTAGAAGCAGAGTAGAACGGTGGTTACCGGGGCTGGCAGAGGTGGAGGACTAGGGAGATGTTGGTCACAGGGTCAATGCTTCAGTTAGACAGGAAGAATAAATTCAAGAGATCAATTGCACAACATAGATGACTAGAGTTAACAGCAACGTGATATATACTTGAAAATTGCTGAGAGTAGATTTTAAGTGTTCTCAGCACGAGAAGAAAGTATATGAGGTCATGGCCAGGCGCAGTGGCTCATGCCTGTAATCCCAGAACTTTGGGAGGCCGAGGTGGGCAGATCACAAGGTCAGGAGATGGAGACCATCCTGGCCAACACAGTAAAACCCCGTCTCTACTAAAAAATACAAAAAATTAGCCGGGTGTGGTGGCGGGCGCCTGTAGTCCCAGCTACTCGGGAGGCTGAGGCAGGAGAATGGCATGAACCCAGGAGGCGGAGCTTCCAGTGAGCCGAGATTGCACCACTGCACTCCAGCCTGGGCGACAGAGCGAGACTGTCTCAAAAAAAAAAATAATAATAATAATTTTTCACACGCCTGTAGTCCCAGCTACTCAGGAGGCTGAGGCAGGAGAATGGCTTGAACCCAGTAGGCAGAGGTTGCAATGAGCCAAAATCGTGCCACTGCACTCCAGCCTGGCGACAGAGCAAGACTCCGTCTCAAAAAAAAAAAAAATTTTTTTTAAATAAAAAAACAAGGCAGTTATGATAAACCAATCATAATATATATGAGAAAATGACTTGCCTGATATTAACATAGTAGTCCCCTCTTATCCTGTTTTACTTTCCTTGGTTTCAGTTACCCACAATCAAACATAGTCCAAAAATATTAAATAGAAAAATTCCAGAAATGAACTCATGTTTTAAATTGCAGGCTGTCTTGAGTATTGTCATAAACTGTTCTATTTTATTATTCATTGCTGTCAACCTCTTATTGTGCTTCATTTATAGTTAAACTTTATCATAGGTATATAGGTATGAGACATATCCCTGTGGACAGGGAAGGACTACTGTATGCAAAGGAGCTTGTGCACATCCCTGAGATAAACAGGAAAGAGAGCAAAGGACGTGCAAGAATTCTCAGAAGAGAGAGAGATCGCCGGCAGACATATGGGGACTGTGCTGACTGCCCCTAGGTTGAACAGAGACACTCAGCCACCCTTCCAGAGCCGACGGCAGTGCAGCACGGTGCTGCGGAAAGGTCCCCTTGTCCCCGTCGCAGGGCGTGTGACGTTGGTGCGAATTGCTTCTTCAGTGCCCCGCTGCCCAAACCTCTAGGGGGAGCACAGAGACGGGAGGCTGTATCTAGGGATGAATGTTTACACCTGAAGCCCCAGTGGGCGTGTGTTCCAGGGTGCTCTTTTAGTTTGCCGTCTATAGGCAGCTTGTGCTAAACAGCTCAATTAGACCCTCTACTTGTCGCAAGGACAGAGGGCTTTTTGTATCCCGGGTTCTTGCCCTTTGGTGTACCGGCAGAGTCGGATCACACCTGGGCTTGGAGAATGAGTGTAAAGTTCTATTGAGTGGAAGCAGCTCTCAGCCAATGGGGGAGCCAGAAAGGAGATGGTCTTCCTCTGGAGTTGGGCTGCTTGGTGGCCCCAGCTCTCCTCCGACTGCCCTGGCCAAACTCCACCTTGTCCAGCCAGTCGATGGCCTGCCAGAGTGCTGGCATCTGTTGGTGTGTTCTTCCACTGGCGTGTTCCCCTCGAGGTCCAGTTGCTTGTGTCTTCTTCCGCCAATCTGCTCCTCTCTATGTCCAGCTGCCTGTGTCCCTGCCTTGCTAGCATCTTGGAGGTTTTTTTTTTTTTTTTTTTTTTTTTTTGAGACAGAATATTGCTCTGTCACCCAGGCTGGAATGCAATGGCGCAATCTCGGCTCACTGTAACCTCCGCCTCCCAGGTTCAAGCGATTCTCCTGCCTTGGCCTCCTGAGTAGGTGGGATTACAGGCGCCCACCGCCACACTCGACGAATTTTTGTATTTTTAGTGGAGACGGGGTTTCACCATGTTGGCCAGGCTGGTCTCGAACTCCTGACCTCAAGTGATCCGCCTGCCTGGGCCTCCCAAAGTGCTGGGATTACAGGCGTGAGCCATCACGCCTGGCCTGGGTCTCAGGTTTATATAGGCACAGGAGCTATGTATGGCAGGCCAGGGTGGTCTTGGGAAATGTAACATTTGGGCAGGAAGGCAGGAGTGCCTGTCCTCATCTAGGTCCATGGTGGTGGAGCCCTAGCCAGGGACCATGCTCTACTCTACCCAGCACTTCCCTTCCCCTATTCCATAAGGGACCACACTCTTCTCTTCCCAGCCCTCCTGCATCAGTGGCTGGATAAGGGCTCAGTGGCAGAGCCAGTAAGCCATGAGCAGGCATGGAAAATCCCTGTGCCCTGTCCCACCACCTACAAATGGTGACGATCAGTGATGACTAGCTCCTCTATTTGTAGGCTACATGGCAAAAAGTGTCACCAGTCAAAGGCTTGCAGTGAGGCCAGCACACAGTTGAACACCAAGAGCATCTGACGTGCTGAGGACAGGGGCTACTCGGTGCTGGTGCCAGTAGCAGAACCTGAAGAACGGCCCCAACAAGCCTCAGTGGCTAAACATCCACTTTTCCACATCTATCTACAGATGCCCTCGTACTAGTACACACACATGTATATAATGGGGATGTCAGAAAAAAACACAAATGCCAATCAGGGCTCTGGTTAAATTAACAAAAAGCAAACGAATGGGAGAAGGTGGCAGGCAGGGTTGATAGGGTCTTCTCTCCCTACATAGCACACATTTCTGTGTGAATGAAAGAGCTGCTTCCTTTTCATTTAATTCAACCACATTTAGTAAACACCCGCCAGTCACCATCCCAGGCCCAGAGTTCCTGTCTTGAAAGCCCTCCGGCCACAAAAAGTATATGGCTGCCACACCTGTGCCCACAACAGAGGTGCTGCACTGGGTCC
This sequence comes from Homo sapiens, assembly GCF_000001405.40. Classification (NCBI taxonomy): domain Eukaryota; kingdom Metazoa; phylum Chordata; class Mammalia; order Primates; family Hominidae; genus Homo; species Homo sapiens. The sequence goes on along the minus strand of NC_000008.11, from coordinate 144,150,116 downwards.
AAAAGGGTTAGGAGGGGGTGTGCGAGGCTGTGCAGGCCACAGGAATCAATAGCCCAGAAGCAGTGGTGAGCCAGCCTGCAGGGCTGGGTGTGTGCAGGGAGACTGGGAGGTCACAGAATGCCCCACCCACGCGTCAGGTCCAAGGAACCTTCTCTCCCAGCACAGCAGCCACAGAATCAACTTCCAAAGTCACCAATAAGGCTGATGACCCTGGGAAATGCAATCCCACAGCCCACTGCTCACAGTCCACCGAGAACATGGTTCCTCAATACAGGCCACACCAAGCTGTGTCACTGGTGCTCATGCAAACCCCCAAAACCAGGTGGCCCCTCAAGCTCAGTGAAGAAAGCACATTTCTCATGATGGGCAGCAGTCCATGTTCTCTGCACACTGGCTAGGAGCTCCCAAGAGCCACGGGAGCCTTTCCTGGTGCTCCTACCCCAAAGAAACCAAGCTGGGTGGACCGGCACAGACAGAGGATCTCTACCCCAAATAACCCAGCTCTGTGAAAGGGGGGCTACGAGACAGAGGGCAGCAACCAGGCTTCTCTCCTGGGCCTCTGTGGACCCTGGGAAAGAAAACTAAGCACCAGCACCTGTTTCCTGACACAGGAGACAGCCACGAACTCAGGCAAGCACATGCCCCACAGCCTCCACCTCTGACCCCCTGGTGTCCCTCAGCAGTCAGCAATCAACCCCAGCCAGTGGGAAATGACGAGGTGCAGGTCTCCACAAGCCACAGCGGCCTGCACGTCAGTTTCAAGTTAACAAAAACACCTTAGCCTCAGGTCATTCCACTCTGACATCAAAGAGAGACCAGAGACACCTGTTCACGGGGACCCTGAGAGCCTGAGACTGAGCACTGAAGATCCTGCTGACGGCAGCACCCTAGGGTGCCCAGACTGTCCATGCAGCCACGTCACAAACACGTACCACCTATGAAACATGCCGCAAACAACGATTCCCACACGCATCTCCAGCCCTCGCCTCGCCGGGACCCGAGGTCTTCGGGACATCTCCATCCATGGTCATCGCACTGAGACCCAACAGCTCTAAACTCAACTCACCACCCTCACCTGACTTATCACCGGCCCTACCCTGCCTGCCTCTTACCGCATCGTGTGCGTTCACCACCATCCCCTTCCAAAGTGGTCCCTGCCTACAGGGCTGTCCCCGACCCAACTCTGCTCACATCCCTAAGTTCGGCCACACCCCCGTACCCCTTTTCTGCTTACCTCACTGCACTTGAGTTTATGAGTCTGTCCCTTCCCCAACTGAGCAGGCAAAGGAGCCCCTCCCCAGAGTGTGTAGGACCGAGCCACCAGCGCCCGCAGAGTGGTTTCCTCTGACCCTCACACTGCAGCTGCACTGACGCTGCCCGAAAATCCGACCCCCTAAGTCTCACCTTGGCTGAGTGAGGGCTGGCTCCCGGCGGCCCTGCCAGCGCTATGCCCGGCACGCTATGACCAGTCATCCTCGTGACTAGGGACAAATCACCTTCCTGCTCGCGATCGTCAGAGAATACGGAAGGCATACGGAGGCCCGGGGCACGCCGGCTTTGCAGGCTCCGGGCGTATGCTTGGCTTCCCGGAGAGAGGACCCCCGGTGGCCCCGCCTGGGGGGAGAAGGGCCGGGGACCACCGCGCTCCCGGGGAGGGCCGGGCACTGGGGACCACCGGGCTCACAGGAGGGGCGGGCACCGGGGACCACCGGGCTCCCGCGGAGGGGCGGGCACCGGGGACCACCAAGCTCCCCGAAGAGGGGTGGTCGCGCGGCCGAGACGACTTAGCGGCGCAGAGGAGGAGCACAGCCGCACAGCTCCGGCCTCTCTTCCGGGCTGTGGCGCGGCGCACACCTGAGCCGAGGTCCCCGCGACACCCAGGACCCTCCCAGCGTTCGCCCTGTGACCTTGGGGAGGCGCCTCCTGACTCGGCTTCCTCCGCGGCCCCGCCAAGGGAGCCGCCCCAGGCTCTTCAGCCCAGACTTCCCCGAGGGGCTCTTCCCCAGCGCCGCCGAAGGCTCATCCCCACCCGCCGTTTACCTGAGGAGCCGCCGCCACCTCGGCCGGGGCGCCGCCTTCCCGCCCAGCAGGGGCCCGGAGTGGGCGGAGCCGCGCGCGCCGAGCCCGCCCCCGCTGCCTTCTGGCCACCCGCAGCCTGGAGCGCGGCAGCAGGTCCCCGCCCCCGAGCGATCTCTGCACTTATTGGTCGGGGGCACGTCTCTCACGCTCGCTCCACCCCGCCCACCTTCATTTGCAAAGCAGCAGTGCGCAGACTCCGCCTCACGCTCGGCCCCGCCCGTCTGTTGAGCGACAGTTCGGCCGCCACGGCGCAGGCGCGGCCTTCAGGCTCGCGACAGCTACGCCAGCCCCGGGGTGCTGCAGTCCCCGTGTCCCCGTCGGACGCATACAGCCCTGACGACCTCCGCTCCCAGACGCCGGGGACGCGGGCTCGGCGCGGCGTTGCGGCCGCTCGCAAGCACACGCCCGCCCTGGACTCGCGCGGCCCGCCCGCCCTCTGTCTGCCCCGGAAGCGCCAGCTGGAGGCCGCGGCACCCGGAGGGGGGCAGGACTCGCAGGGCCCTGCGCTCGTTGGGAAAGAGGCGACCAGCGGGGTCCCGGGAACTCGGGACGCGATAAGAGCGATGTGAGGAAGGAAAGCGCCCGCCGCGCGTCCAGGCTGGGCGTCGGCAGAGGCGGAGGCGGCGGGAGCAGCGCGGGCAGGATGTCCACTCCTGGCCGGAGGGACTGGGCTCCCGCTGTGGGGACGGCGCCCGGGAGAGCGCAGTACCCTTTGCGGATGCGGGCGCGGCCCCTGCGGCGGCTTCCCACGCGCCTGTGGCCTTGTCCCCTCCCGGTCTCGGTGCCGCCCCCGCCTCACGCACACCAGCTGCCGCGCGCAGCACAGCCCCACTTTCACTCCGATCACAAACGAACGCCAGCCCCTCCGCCAGGGGCAGGCCTGAGTCTGTATTTTGCTCCCGAGGGCTGCTTACAAAGCCCCGCACGGGACGGCTGCCCAATGAAGCCCCGGGAATGGACTCAGGTGCAGGCAACGACGCGGATAATCGAGACTGCAAAGGGAGGGTGGACAGAGCCAATGGCCGTTCTGATCCTGCAGTCATCACTTGGCTTGACACTCGCGGGCTTCCAGCTGTGTCCTGCCACTGGTGGGAGCGGAGGTGTGCCGCAGGGGCCGCAGGCTCCCAGGCTCCGCAGCAGAGCCCAGAGGCTCAGCCACCCTGGGTCGGGACCACCTGGCTCCGGTTCTAGAGTGGCCGCTTCTTGCAGCCCCCACCTTCGACGAACTCCACCCTGCCCCCGTGCCTCTCAAGCCCTTCTGACACTTAAGCAACCAATCCCACCTGCTTAAATTGCCTGGCGCAGTTTCTATTTTTTTCCTAATGAAGGGGTGGCCTGCCCCTCCACACCTGTGGGTATTTCTAGTCGGGTGGGACGAGAGACTGAGAAAAGAAATAAGACACAGAGACAAAGTATAGAGAAACAACAGTGGGCCCAGGGGACCAGCACTCAGCACACCAAGGACCTGCACCAGCACCGGCCTCTGAGTTCCCTCAGTTTTTATTATTATTTTCATTATTTCAGCAAAAAGGAATGTTGTAGGAGAGCAGGGTGATGAGAAGGTCAGCAAAAAACGTGAGCAAAAGCATCTATGTCATAATTAAGTTCAAGGGAAGGTACTATGACTGGACGTGCACTTAAGCCAGATTTATGTTTCTCTCCACCCAAACATCTCAGTGGAGTAAAGAATAACAAAGCAGCATTACTGCAAACATGTCTCACCTCCCACCATAGGGCGGTTTTTCTCCTAGCTCAGAACTGAATGTACAATCGGGTTTTATACCAAGACATTCAGTTTCCAGGGGCAGGCAGGAGACAGTGGCCTTCCTCTAACTCAACTGCAAGAGGCTTTCCTCTTTTACTAATCCACCTCAGCACAGACCCTTTACGGGTGTCAGTTTGGGGGACAGTCAGGTCTTTCTCATCCCACGAGGCCATATTTCAGACTATCACATGGGGAGAAACCTTGGACAATACCCTGCTTTCAAGGGCAGAGGTCCCTGTGGCTTTCCACAGTGCATTGTGCCCCTGGTTTATCGAGACTAGAGAATGGTGATGACTTTTACCAAGTATACTGCTTGTAAACATTTTGTTAATAAAGCACGTCCTGCACAGCCCTAGATCCCTTAAACCTTGATTTCATACAACACACGTTTTTGTGAGCTCCAGGTTGGATCAAAGTGGCTGGGGCAAAGCTACAAATTAACAACATCTCAGCAACGCAATTGTTTAAAGTACAGGTCTTTTTCAAAATGGAGTCTCTTATGTCTTCCCTTTCTACATAGACACAGGGACAGTCTGATCTGTCTTTCTTTTCCCTACACCTAACCCCCAGGTCAACCACAAACCAGTTTGTTTCTTCTGAGGTCTAACTGTCCCCTAGGCTGGAGTGCAGTGGCGCGATCTCGGCTCACTGCAACCTCTGCCTCCCGGGTTCACGCCATTCTTCCGCCTCAGCCTCCCGACTGGCTGGGACTACAGGTGCCTGCCACCATGCCCGGCTAATTTTTTTTTTTTGTATTTTTTGTAGAGACAGGGTTTCACCGTGTTAACCAGGATGGTCTCTATCTCCTGACCTCGTGATCTGCCCGTCTTGGCCTCCCAAAGTGCTGGGATTAAAGGCATGAGCCACCGCGCCCGGCCCAAGCTGGGTTTTATTGTTGAAATGAGGCCTCTCACTGTTACCCAGGCTGGAGTGCAGTGGCACAATCATAGCTCACAGCAGCCTTAAATTCCTGCGCTCAAGTGATCCTCTCGCCTCAGCCTCCCAAATAGCTGGGATTGCAAGTGGGAACCACCAAGTCTGGCTAATTTTTAAATTTTGTTGCAGAGACAAGGTCTCACTATGTTACCCAGGCTGGTCTGCAACTCCTGGCCTCAAGAGATCCTCCTGCCTTGGTCACCCAAAGTGCTGGGATTACAGGCATAAGCCACTACACCCAGACCTTGTCCTTATTTTCTGTATCCCAGGCAATTTGCCAAACAAGGCCTGAGGGTGAGCAAAGGAATATCAAACACATGCTTTGCTCTCAAGAAGCTCGTGGTCCAAAAGGGATGAGAAAGTGTGTTTTTCCAGTTCAAGCCAGCCCATTCTGGGGCCTTTTCTGCAGCAAACATGCCAAGTGCACCCACAGATCTTGGTGGAGACCCCAATTCCCCAGACTCACTGGTCTGTACCAAGCACCAGACCCTTGCAGACATTCCCAGGATGGCTGCCCATCAGGCAGCCCTGCCCTCCAGGCCCACAGCCACTGTGCTGTCTAGCTCACAGCAGAGATGACACATTTGGGTTGGGCTTCCCCACCATGGCGGCTCAATTTCATCATCTGTAAAGCGAGGATTGCTTGGTTGTGTTAGGACTTGAGATCCCAGATGTGAACTGCCCCCACAGGCTGGGCTCCTGAATGTCTTCTGTGAACGGGGGCAGGACTGCTACAGGTGGTAGTGGTAGCTGGTGCGACTGCCCAGAATGGCACCCGGCACAGAGCTGGCACTCAAACGTTAGCAGTAATAGTGCCCACAGGGCACTCTGGGGTCCAGAAGGGAGGGGCAAGGTTGGCTTCTGTCTCTTGGAACTGTAGGATCAGAGGTAGGCTCAGGAGTGGGGCCCTTGCTTGCCCTGGGGTGTGTGGTCAAGTCTGCAGAGGTCTCTAGGTGGGACGCTTCCTGCACCTTGCTGGCCTGGGCAGGAGGTGCTTCAGGCTCCAGTGGAGAAGGCCGGGAGACAGAGCTCCTGCCTGCCTTCCTCTGGCTCAGCCCACCTTAGGGCCCAGCTGAGTGTGGCCATGGCATCCTCTCGAAGGAGGGGGTGCAGTTGAAATGGTGGTTGACACGTATGTGTCCCTTTTCCTGTCCTTATGCCCCAGAAATCCCCACCCTCATTTCTTTAACAGCTTTCTGTGGCCAGCCACGTCCATAGGGGTCCACAGAGGCCTCACCCTGGCTGCAGCCCTTGAAATGGGTTTTCACCTCACAGAGAGTGGGCCCCATGTGGGCAGGACTGGTCCCACAAGATGTCCTCAGAGTGGGCAGGTCCTCAAAACAAGAAGACGCACCCTTTGAGGGCACAATGCAGGTACAGCTCAATTCTCCACTCTAGAACCTGCACCTCGTCTCCCAGAGCTGGCCCTCCCCCTGCCCAGTCCAGAGCTGTGCCAGCCCCCGCCCTGAGCTTGCAGCCCCATCACTCCCTGCCTCTGCCGCAGTCCCAGCAAGTCTTCAGAAGTGTGGCTGCTGCCTCAAGAGGGACGCAGTTCCCACCCAGCACCCCCTACCACCCTGGCCCCTGCCCTCTGACACAAGTCAGGTCTCAGCTGTGCCCCCCAAGACTGGTGAAACTGGACCACCACACCCCCTTCCATGCACTGCCCTCCATGAAGGGCAGCAGCAGGCAGAAGCTGGATCAGAGAACCTTCACGGAGCAGGTGCGTGAGTGCAAGGACAATGGCTACCTGCTCTCCTCCAAGAAGATCAGTTCTGGGGCCTTCTCCAAGGTGTACTTGGCCGATGCCACCCACGAGTGCATGCACCACAACCCCAAGCTGTCCTCCCACCTGCAGGGCAAGCGCCACACCATGGTAAGACAGGCTTTCCTCCCTCCCCAAAGGGCTCCAGTGCCCCCCAGCAGGCCCCTCCGTGTCCCAAACCCACTCAGGCACCATCCAGCTGCTCCAGCTTCCTCCGCCTGATACTCTCCCCAGTCCCATTTCCTCCCCAGAGGCCTCCCCGGGGCTCCTGCAGGCTGACCATCCCCTGTTCCCAAACCCCTTGAACACAAAGTACTTGGCACAGGAGGGAGCAGGGAGGTCATCACTGCCCTCCAAGGGCACTGCTCACCCAGCATCCCCCCTGAGGATTCCAGCAAAGTGTATAAAGGACAGGGGCCTGCCCTACCACAGCCAGCCCCTCAAGGGCCAAATCTCACACAGCAAGCGCCCTTCACCCTACAGATAGCTATCAAGATCGTCTCTACAACCGAGGCCCCGGTGGAGTTCTCCCGCAAGCTCCTACCCCATGAGATCTGTCACTCAACGCTACCTACAAGCACCTGACCATGTGGGCAGAAGCCTGGACACAGCCTGTCCCCACCCTCCGCCTCCCCAGCCAGCTGCCTGCCCCAGGCCTATCGCCCCCTCCCACCTTGGACCTCCCTTTCGCCCCAGGGCTGGAGCCCAACCCCATCCTGGAACCTGGATCTGGTACCCTTGACAGTTCCAGCATACCCTTGGCCCTGCCTCCGGGTGATGGCAGGTGTGTGGGCTGCAGGTGCAGCTGTATGAGACCTATCAGAGCAGCCGGCTCGTGCTGGAGCTGGTGCCCTGGGGCGACCTGCTGGAGCACATCCAGGCTGCAGTGGATCACCTCTGCCGCCCAGGGCTGGAGAAGGAAGCCCCTGGACTCTTCTGGCAGCTAGTTAGTGCCATGGCACACTGCCACAGCGTGGGCATCGTGCACCAGTGAGGGCGGCACCTGGGCCGATCGTCTGCCCACATGCACAGAGGCCCACTTGAGCCCAGGTCAGCCCCACCTCCCGCCTCCCCTCTCCCATGCAGGGACCTGAAGTGCGAGAACATCCTGCTGGATGTTCTTCTCCATGGCCTTCTCAAGCTGACCGGTGAGCCCACAGCCCCACCCTGGGGTTGAATGCCTCCACCTGCAGGGGCCCACACCCCACACTTGTCCCAGCCAGGCCCCTGCTTTCAGCCCTCCCAGAAGGCCTGCAGGCCACCCTTACCCTCGGCCCTGAGGTCACTGGCCTAACCCCGTGTGCCCCCAGACCAGGCCCACCTCATCCACACCCACACTCTTGCTGTCGGCCACACACTGCATGCAACCCCGCAAACCTCCACAGCCATCCCTGCAGAGTGGCGTCCTCAAGTCCCTCTCCCTGCACCCCTGCCCCTCACGCATAGTGCCACCCTCCCCACACACCTCGTACAGACTTTGGCTTCACAGGCTGCATGGGGCCCAGGAACTCACCGCTCAGCACTTTCGGCGGCTCCCCAGCCTACACAGAGATCCTCATGAGCAGCAAGTATAGCGGGGAGTGGGCCGACCTGTGGAGTCTGAGAGCCCTGACCCCAGGCAATGGGCCGACCTGTGGAGTCTGAGTGCCCCCAGGGCACCCCGACCCTGTGGCCAGGGCCCACGGGAGGGCTGGGGAGGGGCCACACCCTTAGGAACTCCTGCCCCCAGAGGTCTCATCTTCTATGCCATGGTGAGTGGGAAGCTGCCCTTCAAGGAGCGCCAGCCCCACTGCATGCTGCACCTCATGCACCGCGGTCCCACCTTCTGGCCAGGTCTGTTCCCAGGTGAGCACCACCCCATGACACTCCCACACCTAGCTCAGGCCTAGAGAGCAACAGTGAGGGAGACCTGGACTCCCAGGAGGGTAGTCCCGCGTGGTGGAAGAGACTGAACCTGGCATCCTCCCCGCTTAGGCTGGGAAGCGTTTGGTCCACGCAAGGCGGTGACAAGTGCTGGGGAAGCTGGGCTGCTGGAGGACCTGACTCAGAATGCAATTCAGGAAAGGCAGTGGCTGCGAACCTAAGCTCTGCACTAGCCCAGGGCACACTGCCTTGCCCCTCTATGCCTCAGTCTCCCCACTGGTAACAGAACTGACCCCTCTAAGCTGCTGGCACTGTTGGCAGTGATGTGCATGGGGTGAGGGTGGGTGCTGGAGGTGATGAGAGGCTGCAGCCGTGAGCCCTTGCCCACAGTGCCAGGACTTGATTCGGGGGCTGCTGCAGCTGCACCCAAACGCATGCCTGGGCCTGCAGCAGGTGGCTGCACACTGCTGGATGCTGCCTGCAGCGAACACGCTCTTCCTCAGTGCTGTGCCAGGTGTAGTGTGGCCCTGTGGGTGAGCAACTGAGCAGCACGTGGTCCCTCTGCACTCCACCTGACCCCACTGTGGCCCCTTGCAGAGAAGCAGGTGCAGTCCCAACTCCGAGCATCCGTGGATGACCTGGAGCCTGGCACAGACTTAGAGCGCCAACAGCCAGTCCTGCAGCTGCACTGCCCCAGCAGCAGGGCATCCCCAAGGAGAATACGGGCCCTGAGCTCAGGCCTCCAGAAGCGCACCCCAGAAGAGGGGTGGGTTCTGCCCAGCTGGTCCTCTAGAGCTCGTAGCAGCCAGCCTGGGAGTGAGCGCCTCCAGGAGGCGCTCCAGTAAACTGAGGGTGGGTGGGTGGGGCAAGGCCAGATAAAGCATTTATTCTGTGAAGACAGTGCTGATGTCTGAGTGCTAAGAGGGCAACTGGCCTCCAGTGGCAGGTGGGGGCTCTGGCCAGGGGAAAACATGGTCCACACATGCCTGCATGAGTGGCAGAGCTTTAATGGGGGCAGGTGAGAGGAGATCCTGGAGGCGGGAGACGCCCGGCACCCAAGCCACAGCAGGAGACCATAGGGGACGCTCCAGTTTTAGGGTGTGGAGTGAGGCATTGTGAATTGCCAAGAAGACAAGCTAAGCTCCTTCACCAGGGCTTGACGGGCCTGGGAGGGCCCATCAGTGAGCAGGGGCCAGCCCTCAGGATCCCAATGCAAGAGGTGGCAGTGAGGTCAGGTCAGCTCAGGAAGGGAAGTGTGGCAAGAGCCACCATGACAGCCTGTGGGGCTTGGCAGCCACATAACTGGCAGGTGAGGGATGCACATAGGTCCAGGGGAGAAGCACGTAAGGCGCCTGGGCCTATAGTGGGCTCTACCACAGGGGCAGAGGGTGGCTGGGGGAGAAGCTTGGGCAGGGACTAGGCTGCAGGCACATCTGGAGGCTCTTGGCAGAGGTAAGAAGGCCAGGGAGGAGTGGCCCAGGCTCAAGGAAGCTGACCAGGGAGACGGCCTAGCTAGAGAGGCCAATGAGAGCACCCACTCAATCTGAGACTGGGAAACAGGAAGACTTAGGGAGCTGACAAGGGTTGAGGGCAGGGTCCTGGAGCATAGGTCAAGCAGGGAGGCACAGTCCTAGAAAGACCCCAGGATCTACGTATGGCTGGGTCAGCCCTTTGAGGCCAGGTCTCAGGGAACAGGGAGCTGAGAGCTGCAGGGAGTGAGGCTGACAAAGCAGCACTTGTACCTATGCGCCCACCTCTGCCCAGACTCTGCAGTGCCCTGGGGATTGGGAGGCTTCAGCTGGCTCCTTGGGGCTTGCAGTGGTTTTCTGTCCAGTCCCCACGCCGTGCCCAGGAAGAGTCTTCTCATGGCTCCCTGGCCATCCGCCTGCCACCTCCACCTTCTGCACAGGCAGCCGAGTCACGGTGCCTACCTCACAGTACTGCTCTGCACAACCTTCATTCTTGCTGGTAGCAACACTGCACAGGGCTGGAAAGTGCCTCCAATCCTTACTGGAGCCTAAGCGTAGCTCTGCTTCTCAGAAGAGCACAGTCTCTGAACAAGGGGACCCAGGGGGCCTGCAGACAGCTGCAGGAAGGCCTGGTCTGAGAAAGCCTGGCAAAGGGGACCCTGGAGCTGGTGTCCGGCTGCAGGGGCCTCAGGTGGGTGTGGCCCTCTCCACCCATGGCTCTGGGGCCAGCTCCCGCTCCAACTGCTCCTGCTCCCTGCAATCCAGCTGCTGCAGCTGCTGCTCCACATCCTCAGGCACCTGCACCTCCAGCAGGTTTTCCATGCCACGTTCAGGCTCGTCCCCAATAAGCACCTGCCAGACGGGAAGCAGGTGAGCAGCTGGCCAGCTACAGACACCCCTTCCCCAGCCTCTCCAACCCTGCACCAACCTGGATGAGCTTCTCACAAGCCGTCCGCACGTCGGGCTCCGGCTCCCAGCTGTGCAGCTCTCGAAGGATCAGGTAGGCTCCCTGGTCCCGCACCTGCTGCCGACCTGGTGCTGTGGCTGTCAGCTGAGGAGGTGGAAGAGGTTACCCAGATGTCAGCATGCTCATGTGTGTGTGTTGGGGTGGTGCTTATTGCAGCAGGGCTCCTGCTCACCAGCATGATGGCTTCAACAAGCATCTTGCGGATGTCTGCATCAGGTTCTCGCTGCTTGTCTGGTGGCAGGTACTGCAAGTCGACAGGCAGCCCTAGGGGTGAGTGTGTGGGAGCCACTGTGTCCCTGGGCTGGGCAGCTGAGCCAGGCTCTGCCTGTGTAAGTCCCACCTGTGCTCAGCAACTCACTGCTGCAAAGTTTCAGGAGCCTGTGGCCTGGACACCTCTCTCTCCCTCCACTGGCCTCCCTCCTCTCCGGCCAACTCTGAGGCTCCACACTAGCCACTCACGTTCCATCTCTTCCTCGGAGAAATCCTCAGGCCCAGCCAAGGGCAGGAGCAAAAAGGGGAGAATGTCCACCTCAGGTCCAAGCAACCACTCGTGATGTCCTGAGGGATGGTGAGGGTGGGGAGACGGGAATGGAAACTGGTCCAGAGCAGCCCCGGAGTCCAGTCCCCACACCTGGCAACGCACCCCCGCCACACCCACCACTCACGGTGCTCGAAGCAGCAATTCCGCAGCGTCCCCACCACCCCGCCCCTGCGTACAGAGGAGTCGGGGTACTGGGTAAGGGGCAGCAGCCGCTGGACCACGCACCTGTTGGGAGGTGTCACTTAGGGCCGTCCCCCCTAACTTCCGTCCCCTCCCCGCCCGCGCGGGCGCCCTGGGCTTCACCTGTCGGGGTCCAGTAGGAAGGCCCGCGCCGCAGGGCGTTGGCTGAGGTTGGAGAGCAGCGGCGCTAGGTAGTGCAGGGGCGCGCGGGCGTTGTAGCCGGGCGTGCACAGCGCGCGCACCAGCCGCTCCAGGCCCGAGTCTGCCGGCTCCGCGGCCGCCAGCGCCGCCATGAGCGCTGCACACGGCGCCGGCTCGCGACTGAGGTTGGCTAGCGCGGCGGCCGCCTCCTCGGCCCAGGGCCACTGCGGGTCCAACGCGCGGCCCATCAGGCGCGCTGGCAGCCCGGGGTCGGCCGCCAGCAATGTCTCGTGCAGGCCGGGGTCGGCGGCCAAGTTCACGAGCGCGCGGGCGGCGTCCCGGGCCGGGGCAGAGGCCGGCGCCAGCTCCATCAGCGCCTGCAGCAGCGCCGCCTGCCCCGCCAACAGCGCGCGGCCGGGTCCGCAGCCAGTCAGCGCCAGCACGTGCCGCACCGCCGCCGCCTGCAGGTCCGCCCGCGCGCCCGGCGCCAGGAAGGGCAGCAGCTTCACCACCTCTGCCTCCGGGCTTGCCTCCGGCCCTCCCGAGGCGCCAGCGCCAGCCCCGGCCTCCCCCATGTCGAGCGACACTCTGCTGCCACCCGACCGGTGCCAGCGGTCCGCTTAGGGGTCCGCTGTGTGGCCCGCAACCCCGCCCACCAGAGGAGCGAAAGCCGCCCTGGCCAATCCGAGGCTGCGCACTGGGCTCAAGGGGCGGGACCGGCGTGCGGAGGGGAGGGGCCAGGCCGCGCGCGGGGAGTTATGGGTCTCGGCGTCTGGCCGGAAGCTGCGGAGGTTGGAGACTGAGCGCTGTGATGTCCCGAGCCATGGGGACCGAGGCCCGGCGCGATTTGGCCGCCTGCCGCGTCCACACTCGCTGGAAGCGTCCATGTAGTCTCGGCTAGGTCGGCCAGTGCTTCCCACTGGGCGCTGGCCACGCCGAACCTGGTCAGCCGGCCCTGGCTTCTCGTGGGCCCTGAGGGTCTGAGGCCCGCGCCCCGGCTCCTCGACTAGGCTGTCGGGTCAGAGAAGGGCTGAATGGGGGAGTGGCCACGGGCCTCTCGGAAGGAAGGCCTGCTCTTGTCCAGGCTGGCACGGCCACCGAGAAGCTCAGGCCGTCCAGGGACAGGACAACACAGGGCCCCAGTGGGGACCTGAGGAGGCAGCTTTGGAGAGGCCTCTGGGCATCTCTGAGCTGGTAGCTTTGGGGCATTTGTCAGGACGTCTTCAGTCGCAAGTGACAAACCCAACTCAAACTGACTTGCACGAAGAGAAAATTTGTAAATGGAGGTTTGGAGGGAGCCAGCTTCCGGCACTGCTTTATCCAGGAGCTCTCTGGAGCCTTGTACTGTCTACCCTACCATTGCTCTCCCTCTCTGCTGCCCTGCTGCTCTGTGGCTCCATATCATTTCCACCTGCCACTGGCCGATTTTCTCAGAGCAGTTGGGAAAGAAAGACACTGGGACCTCCCAGTTCCATGGTCGTGGCAGAAGAGTTTCTCTGTCCCAGTATTGGAGTCTGCCCCAGAAAAGGACTCCAGTTCTTCACGTGTCCTCCACTGTGGGCGGAGCAGCAACCTTCTAGAGACACACAGACTGGGAGGAAGGGAGGGCAAAAGAAGGGCATTCCCTCACTCCAGCATTTTTTGGGCACCAGCCATCTGCCAAGCTGGTAGCTCAGGACACGGAACCAAACAACTTTGGTGGCCATTCTGGCCTCAGGGTCTTTGCACTTGCTGTCTCTTCTGCCTGGAATGCTCTTTTCTCAGCTGTACACAAGGCTGGCAACTTCTAATTATTTGTCAGAGCTATCTTCCCTGGGCAACTTACAGAGACTCAGCCCACCCGCCACCCATGACTGCTTGGTTTCTGTCTGCCTCCTTCAAGATAGCAGTACTTAGGCCAGGTGTGGTAGCTCATGCCTATAATCCCAGCGTTTTGGGAGGCCAAGGCAGGTAGATCACCTGAGGTCAGCAGTTTGAGACCAGCCTGGCCAACATGGTGAAACCCCTCTCTACTAAAAAAAATACAAAAGGTAACCGGGGGTGGTGGCACACTCCTCTAGTCCCGCCTACTCGAGAGGCTGAAGCAGGAGAATTGCTTGAACCTGGGAGGAAGAAGTTGCATTGAGCCAAGATAGCGCCACTGCACCCCAGCCTGGGCAACAGAGGGAGACTCCATCTCAAAAATAAAATAAATAACAGTAAATTAGGCCGGGTGCGGTGGCTCACACCTGCAATCTCAGCACTCTGGGAGGCCAAGGCATGTGGATCACTTGAGGCCAGGAGTTCAAGACCAGCCTGGCCAACATGGTGAAACCCATTTCTACTAAAAATATAAAAATTAGCCGGGCATGGTGGCGTGTGCCTGTAGTCCTAGCTACTTGGGAAGCTGAGGCAGGAGAATTGCTTGAACCTGGTAGGGGGAGGTTGTAGTGAGTGGAGATTGTGCCACTGCACTCCATCCTGGGTGACAGAGTGAGACTGTCTCAAAAAAAAAAAAAAGAAAACAGTACTTAAAGGAAGGTAATAAAATTTAAGCTTCATGGTGCCTTGCTTGGACGGGTCCTTTCCAAAGCTTCCCTGAGAGCAAACCTTGCATAGTGTTCATATATATAGTCATAATGGTTTTGCAAAGTAGGGTGTAGCAGACATTATTGGTGCAAAACCCACTAGGATGGCTATGATCAAAAACACAGAATTTCTTTTTTTTTTTGAGATGGAGTTTTGCTCTTGTTGCCCAGGCTGGAGTTCAATGGCACGATCTCAGCTCACTGGAACCTCCACTCCCAGGTTCAAGCAATTCTCCTGCCTCAGCCTCCCGAGTAGCTGGGATTATAGGCATGCACCACCACGCCTGGCTAATTTTTTTTTGTAGTTTTAGTAGAGACGGGGTTTCTCCATGTTGGTCAGGCTGGTCTTGAACTCCTGACCTCAGATGATCCACCCACCTTGGCCTCCCAAAGTGCTGGGATTACAGGCGTGAGCCACTGCACCCGGCCAAAAACACAGATTAAACAACTGTTGATGAGGATGTGGAGAAATTGGAACCCACATACACTGCTGGTGAGACTGTAAAATGGAGCCGCCACTGTGGAAAACATTTTGTCAGCTCCTCAAAAAGTCAGACATTTGCTGGGCATGGTGGCTCGCGCCTATAACCCCAGCACTTTGGGAAGCTGAGGCTGGTCGATCACAAGGTTAGGAGTTCGAGACCAGAGTGACCAGCATGATGAAACCCCATCTCTACTAAAAATACAAAAATTAGCCAGGCACGATGGCACGCGCCTGTAATCCCAGCTACTCAGGAAGCTAAGGCAGGAGACTCACTTGACCCCAGGAGGCAGAGGTTGCAGTGAGCCAAGACGGTGCCACTGCACTCCAGCCTGGATGACAGAGCCAGACTCCATCTCAAAAAAAAAAAAAAATCAAAAAAACGCAAACAGAGTTATCATATAACCCAGCAATTCCACTCCCAGGCATCTAGTCAAGAGAAATGAAAACTGAAAACCACACAGAAACGTGAACGTGTACAAGCAGCATTATTCATAGTGGTCAAAAGGTGGAAACAACCCAAATGTCTGTCAACTGACGAATGGAAAAATAAACAGATAAATCCATGCAAAGGGATATTATTCAGCCATAAAAAGGAGCAAAGTACTGACATATGCTGCAACACATATGAACTCCAAAATCTTACGCTAAATGAAAGAAAGAAATCACAAGAGATCACATATTTTATGATCCCATTTATAAGACACGTCCGGAATAGTCAGTTCATAGAGACAGAAAGTAAATTAGCAGTTGTCAAGGGAAGGGTAGGGTAAGGGGAGTAGGAGTGACTGTTAGTGGGTGCTATGGACCGAACAGTGTCCCTCCAAAAAATGCATATGCTGAAGTCCTAACCCCAGTGTGACTGTGTTTAGAGATGGGGCCTCTAAGGAAGTGGAAGGGCACTCACCAAAAACCAAATCTGTCAGTACTTTGATCCTGGACTTCTTCCTAGTCTCCAAAAATGTGAGAAAATACATTTCTATTGTTTAAACCACCTAGTCTATGGTATTTTGTTATGGCAACCTGAGCTGACTGAGACAATGGGTTTGGGCTTTCTTTTTTGGATGTTGAAAATGTTGTAAAATTAGATTATGCTGGTAGTTGCACAACTGTGAATATTTAAATTGTAAATATTCTAAACATTTAAATTGTACTAAAACATTTAAATTGTACACTTTAAATGGGTTGATTGTATTTGAACTATATATCAAAGCTGTTAAAAAGACGGCACCCATGTAACATTTGGGACACGTTGATACCAAAAAGTATTTGTTGTTTGTCTGAAATTCAAATTTAACTGTATCCTGGACAGTAAATTTTGAATTTCAGACAAATAGTAAATACCGTATCCTCTATTCGAATTTAACTGGGTATCCTGTATTTTATCTGGCAACCCTATTTGCAGCCTGTTGGCTTTCTGGCAGTCACCCATGAGCCCACAGACAACTCTCTGTTTAGGAGAGAAAAATACCTTCCTGAATACTGAGGAAACCCATGATGTCACCCAAACTGATCAACTGATGTCACTAATGAATGTGAACAAAAACCAAGAATCACTAGATATTAAGTAAACCAAAGGCATATACCTATTTACAGAGGTAACACAGTATGTGAAGCAGAAGGGAACTTTTTTTTTTTTTTTGAGATGGAGTCTGGCTCTGTCGCCCAGGCTGGAGTGCAGTGGTGCGATCTTGGCTCACCCAAGCTCCGCCTCCTGGGTTCACACCATTCTCCTGCCTCAGCCTCCCGAGTAGTTGGGACTACAAGCGCCTGCCAGCACGCCCGGCTAATTTTGTTTTGTGTTTTTTGTTGTTGTTGTATTTTTAGTAGAGACAGGGTTTCACTGTGTTAGCCAGGATGGTCTTGATCTCCTGACCTTGTGATCCACCCTCCTCGGCCCCCCCGGGATTACAGGCGTGAGCCACCACACTTGGCCGGGAACTTTTATTTATTTATTTATTTATTTATTTTTTGAGGTGGAGTCTCGCTCTATCGCCCAGGCTGGAGTGCAGTGGTGCGATCTTGGCTCACTGCAGCCTCCACCTCTCAGGCTCAAGTGATCCTCCCACCTCAGCCTCCTGAGTAGCTGGGACCACAGATGTGTGCCACCATACCTGGCTAATTTTTTTTTTTTTAGATGGAGCCTCTCTCTTTCACCAGGCTGGAGTGCAGTGGCATGATCTTGGCTCACTGTAACCTCCGCCTCCTGGGTTCAAGTGGATTCTCCTGCCTCAGCCTCCAGAGTAGCTGGGATTACAGGCACCCACCACCATGCCCAGCTAATTTTTGTATTTTTTTTCTTTTTTTTTGAGGCAGAGTCTCGCTCTGTTGCCCAGGCTGGAGTGCAGTGGCGCAGTCTCGGCTCACTGCAAGCTCCGCCTCCCACATTCACGCCATTCTCCTGCCTCAGCCTCCCGAGTAGCTGGGACTACAGGCGCCTGCCACCACGCCCAGCTAATTTTTTGTATTTTTTTTAGTAGAGACAGGTTTTCACCATGTTGGCCAGGATAGTCTCAATCTCCTGACCTCGTGATCTGCCTGTCTTGGTCTCCCAAAGTGCTGGGATTACAGGCGTGAGCCATGGCGCCTGGCCTAATTTTTGTATTTTTTTTTAATAGAGACAGGGTTTCACCACATTGGCCAGGATGATCTGGATCTCTTGACCTCGTGATCTGCTCACCTCGGCCTCCCAAAGTGCTGGGATTACAGGCGTGAGCTACCGCGCCCGGCCAATTTTTTGTATTTTTTGCTGAGACAGGGTTTCACCATGTTACCCAGACTGGTCTCGAACTCTTGAGCTCAAGTGGTCTGCCTGCCTTGGCCTCCCAAAGTGCTGGGATTACAGGTGTGTGCCACCATGCCTGGCCAGAACTTTTAAAGAATTCTAGTTACTATGCTCTGAAAATTCAGGAAAATACTGCAGCCATAAAACAAGAACAGATGTCATGATAAAGGAGCAATCAAAGAACAAAGATATATTGAACACTGAAATCATGATTGCTGAATTTAAAACCAATGGGAGAGCTGGGCCCAGTGGCTCATGCCTGTAATCACAGCACTTTGGGAGGCTGAGGCGGGCAGATCACGATGTCAGGAGTTCAAGACCAGCCTGGCCAACATGGTGAAACCCTGTCTCTACTAAAAATACAAGAAATTAGCCAGGCACAGTGTTGCGTGCCTGTAATCCCAGCTACTTGGGAGGCTGAGGCAGGGGAATTATTTGAACCTCGAAGGCGGTGGAGGTTGCAGTGAACCAAGATGGTACCACTGCACTGCAACCTGGGGGCAGAGTGAAACTCTGTCTCAAAATAAACAAATACAATACAATATAATACAATACAACACAACAAAACCAGTGGAAGATTGAATATGGCTGAAGATTGAATTAGTGTTTGACAAGTTAAAGTCGAGAGTATATCCAAAACGAAAGACAAAATAGGGCTGGGCACAGTGGCTCACACCTATAATCCCAGCGCTCTGGGAGGCCAGGGTGGGCAGATCACTTGAGGTCAGGAGTTTGAGACCAGCCTGGCCAACATGGTGAAACCCTATCTCTACTAAAAATACAAAAGTTAGACTGGCGTGGTGACGTATGCTGTAATCCCAGCTATTTGGGAGGCTGAGGCAGGAGAATCGCTTCAACCTGGGAGGCAGAGGTTGCAATGAGCCAAGATCGTGCCACTGCACTCCAGCCTGGGTGACAGAGTGAGACTCCATCTCTAAATAAATAAATAAAAGGACAAAGAGGAAAAACATGAGAGGAAAATTAGAAGTTACAAGAAATCTAATATGTCTGTAATAGACAAGAAAAAACTCAACATATGGAAAAAATAATTAGGAGAGACTTTTCTCCTCTAGCCATATAGTAGACCAAATATTCTAAAAAAACCTTCTTACTACAATCTAGAAATGCAAGAGAAGATACAAGAAACATCCTTTAAAATATAAACTGAGCTTATAAGGAAGTCAAGGAAACCTTCAAGAGCTCAAAATGAATGGGAAGTGTAGTGAATTGCAATTTTGCCTTGGCATCTATTTTGAATATAAGTTGGATTTTCTCATTCCAAAATCAAGGCTCAGTCACCCTTGTCACAGTTTCCAGTTCTCCACCTCCTCCAGTTCTTCAATGGGATTGACCCAGGTATCTGCCTCATTCAACCACCTCCTGGTTGAATAAGGGACATCTACATACAACCTAGTTGACTTGCCCCAGAGACCCCTACACCCTGCATAGACTGCGTAGATATGCTGCTGCAATGACCACCTCTCAGTCACAACACAAATCCACAGAACTCATTCCTGCTTGCTCTGAGAACACCAATTAGAACTCCCCATGGAGGCCGGGTGCGGTGGCTCCCGCCTGTAATCCCAGCACTCTGGGTGGCCGGACGGGCAGATCACGAGGTCAGGAGTTTGAGACCAGCCTGGCCAACATAGTGAAACCCAGTCTCTACTAAAAATACAAAAATTAGCCAGGTGTGGTGGCACACGTCTGTAGTCCCAGCTACTTGGGAGGCTGAGGCGGGAGAATCTCTTGAACCTGGGAGGCAAAGGTTGCAGTGAGCTGACTGTGCTATTGCACTCCAGCCTGGGTGACAGAGTGGACTCCGTCTCAGAAAAAAAGGACTCACCATGGAAACCTGCCTGGGTAAGTAACACCTGGACTCCAGGAAAGGCTTTGGCCCATGGGCCCCTCTCTTTCCTTCCTTCCTTCCTTCCTTCCTTCCTTCTTTCTTTTTTGTTTTAATGGCATCTCACTCTGTTGCCCAGACTGGAGTACAGTGGCGCAATCTTGGCTCACTGCAACCTCCGCCCTCTGGGTTCAAGCAATTCTCTTGCCTCAGCCTCTGGAGTAGCTGGGATTACAGGTGACCGCCCTCACGCCCGGCTAATTTTTGTGTTTTTAGTAGAGACAGGGTTTCGCTATGTTGGTTAGGCTGGTCTCAAACTCCTGACTTCAGGTCATCCACCTGCCTCGGCCTCCCAAAGTGCTGAGATTACAGGCGTGAGCCACTGCACCTGGCCAAAGGTACATGCTTATAATAACCTACTTTCACTCATTATTATGTTTGTGGGATTCATGATTTTCATTGCTGTGCAGTATTCCATTGTGTGAGTATCTCAGGATGTATACATCCATTTTCGTGTTTCTGGACATTAGGATTATTTCCAATTTTTGCTATTATGAAAAATGCTGCTAAGAACCTTATTTAACGTCTCCAGGTGTACATGTGCAAGAGTGTCTCTAGGATCAGGGCTACGCACATATTCACTTTTACGTGCTTATGCCAGATAACTTTCCAAAAGGGTCGTGGCAATTTACCTTCTGCAGCGACTTCTGATACTAACTACCTGGAGTTAGGCCCCACTTCACAAGTTGAGGGGACAGTCTTCCACAAAACTGTTCTCACTTTAGACACCAGCCACAAGTTTGGGGATTTCCAGGGCCACCCTAACCTCCAACCAACTGGCTACAAATTCAGAGGTCCTCATTACCCACTCAGGCTTGATAAGTTACTAGAACAACAGCTCATAAAACTCAAAGAAGGGTCGCAGCCTGGGCAACACAGTATGACCCCCATCTCTACAAAAACATTAAAAAAAATTAGCCAAGGGCCAGGTGCAGTGGCTCACACCTGTAATCCCAGCACTTTGGGAGGCCAAGGCAGACAGATCACTTGAGGCCAGGAGTTTGAGACCAGCCTGGCCAACATGATGAACCCCCCTCTCTACTAAAAATAC
Organism: Homo sapiens; assembly: GCF_000001405.40. Taxonomy (NCBI): domain Eukaryota; kingdom Metazoa; phylum Chordata; class Mammalia; order Primates; family Hominidae; genus Homo; species Homo sapiens. The sequence continues at coordinate 144,129,620 of NC_000008.11, read as the reverse complement.
AAAAATTAGCCGGGCATGGTGGTGTGTGCCTGTAATTCCAGCTACTCAGGAGACTGAGGCATAAGAATCACTGAAACATGGGAGGCAGAGTTTGCTGTGAGCCGGGATCGTACCACTGCACTCCAGCCTGAACAATAGAGTGAGACTCTGTCTCAAAAAAAAAAAAAAAAAAAGAAAAGAAGAACAAAAAGAAAAAGAAAAAAAAATTAACCAGGCATGGTGGTGTACACCTGTAGTTCCAGGTATTCCGGAGGCTGAGGTGGGAGGATCACTTGAGCCCAGGAGGTCGAGGCTGCAGAGAGCCATGTACTCCAGCCCAGGTGACAGAGAGAGACCTTGAATCAAAAAATAGATAGGTTGATAGGTAGAGAGTTATATGATAGATAGATAGATAGATAACATAAATTTCAAAAATTAAAAAAAATTCTCTAAGGCTGGGCGCCTTTTAATTTTTATATATAGTTGTATTCATTTGCTAAGATTTTGTTTAGAATTTTCGCATCTATGTCCACAAGGAATATTTTGTCTGTGGTTTTCCTTTTTTTGGTAATGTCTTTTTCTGGTTTTGGTATCAGGGAAATGTTGACCTCAGAAGGATTGGGAAAATATTTCCTCCTCTTAAATTTTCTGGAAGAGCTTGTGTAGAACTCTTATTATTTCTTCCCTAAACATTTGGTGGAACTCTCCAGCAAAGCCACCTGGGCTGAAATTTTCTTTCTGGGAATATTTTCTACTAAAAATTCAATTCCTTTAATAGATATATGGCTATTCAGGTTTTTTTTCCTTAGGTGACTTTTGGTAGTTTTTGTGTTTCAAGGAATTGGTCCATTTCAACTAAATTGTCAAATTAATTGGCATAAAGTTGTTCATAACATCATTGCCATATTATCCTTTTGGTATCTATAGAATCTGTAGTGATGGCCGGGCGCGGTGGCTCACGCCTGTAATCCCAGCACTTTGGGAGGCCGAGGCAGGGGGATCACGAGGTCAGGAGTTTGAGACCATCCTGGCTAACACGGTGAAACCCCGTCTCTACTAAAAATACAAAAAAAAAGTTAGCCAGGCGTGGTGGCGGGCACCTGTAGTCCCAGCTACTCGGAGAGGCTGAGGCAGGAGAATGGCGTGAACCCTGGAGGCGGAGCTTGCAGTGAGCTGAGATCGTGCCACTGCACTCCAGTCTGGGCAACAGAGGAGACTCTGTCTCAAAAAAAAAAAAAAAAAAAAAAGAGAATCTGTAGTGATGTCACTCTCTCATTTGTAGTGATTGCACCCTCTCATTACTGATATTGGTAATTTGTGTCTTCTTTCTTGTCAGTTTCACCAGAGGTTTGTCAATTTGTTGGTCTTTTGAAAGAACCAGCTTTTGGATCCATTTATGTTTCTCCATTGTGTTCTTTTTCTTTTTCTTTTCTTTTCTTTTCTTTTTTTTTTTTTTTTTTGAGGCAGAGTCTCACTCTGTTGCCCAGGCTGGAGGGCAATGGCATAATCTCAGCTCACTGCAACCTCTGCCTCCCAGGTTCAAGTGATTCTCCTGCATTAGCCTCCCAAGTAGCTGGGATTACAGGTACCTACCACCATCCCCGGCTGATTTTTTGTATTTTTGGTAGAGACGGCGTTTTGCCATGTTGGCCAGGCTGGTCTTGAATTCCTGACCTCAGGTGATCCACCTGCCTCAACCTCCCAAAGTGCTGGGATTACAGGAGCGAACCACTGTGCCTGGCCTGTGTTCTTTTTCTATTTCACTTATTACCACCTTGACCTTACTATTATTTCCTTTCTTCTGCTTACTTTGGGTTTAGTTTGCCTCTTTCTTTCTTTTTTTAGATGGAGTTTCACTCTTGTTGCCCAGGCTGGAGTGCAATTTCATGATCTCGGCTCACTGCAACCTCTGCCTCCTGGGTTCAAGCAATTCTCCTGCCTCAGCCTCCGAGTAGCTGGGATTACAGGCGCCCACCACCACGCCTGGCTAATTTTGTATTTTTAGTAGAGACAGGGTTTCTCCACATTGGTCAGGCTGGTCTCGAACTCCCGACCTCAGGTGATCCACCCACCTCGGCCTCCCAAAGTGCTGGGATTACAGGCATGAGCCACCACGCCAGCCATTCTCTTTGTAGTTTCTTTTTTTTTTTTTGAGACGGAGTCTCACTCCATCACCTAGGCTGCAGTGTGGTGGCGCTATCTCAGCTCACTGCAAGCTCTGCCTCCCGGGTTCACGCCATTCTCCTGCCTCAGCCTCCCGAGTAGCTGGAACTACAGGTGCCCGCCATCATGCTCTGCTAATTTTTTTTTTTGTATTTTTTAGTAAAGACAGGGTTTCACCGTGTTAGCCAGGATGGTCTCGATCTCCTGACCTCATGATCTGCCCGCCTCGGCTTCCCAAAGTGCTGGGATTACAGGCGTGAGCCACTGCAGCCGGCCCCTAGTTTCTTGAAGTAGAAGCTGAAGTCACAGATTTGAGACCTTCCTTCTATTCTAATGTAGGCTTGTTATTTTTATCCATTTATTCCTTGATTTATGGGTTATTTGTTGTTATAATCCCCTTACCAGCTTGATGTTATTTTTTACTTTTTGAGACAGAGTCTTGCTCTGTCACCCAGGCTGGAGTACAGTGGCGTGATCTCGGCCCACTGCAACCTCTGCCTCCCGGGTTCAAGCAATTCTCCTGTCTCAGCCTCCCGACTAGCTGGGACTACAGGCGTGAGCCACGGTGCCCGGCCTGATGTTATTTGTATTTCACACGAAAGACTGGGAGGAAGCCACTCACAGAGCAGCACATCATACAGTCCAAGAGCTGGGACTCACCCCTGGGGAAGACCGAGGAAGGGCACTTCATCGTCTCAATCCCAATTTAAATTTGCATGAAAACCCCATGGAAACTGAGGAAGAGGGTCTGAGTCCAAGGCAGTGTCCATCCTCCAAAGGAAAGCACAGGCTTGAGACTCACAGACCCAGGGAATATGTACTGTGCATAATTAGGTAAATCATGCCCTCTGGTGGCTACTTTTGACTGAGACAAAAGTGTGCACCTTCAGGGCCCGCTGGTGTCCAGCAGCGATGAGAAAGCCCTGGCTTTGATGGTGTCAGGAGTGTCCACAATCACCACCAGGTGGGGAGCCTTAACAATTCCCGACATAAATGGAAAGATCCAAACTTTTCGGAACTAATTTCAAAGTTACAGGCTGGGCATAGTGGCCCGTGCCAGTAGTCTCAGCTACTCAGTAGGCTGAGGCAGGGAGGATCGCTTCAGCCCGGGAGGTCGAGGTGGCAGTAGCTGTGGTTGTACCACTGCTCTCCAGCCTGGACAACTGAGCGAGACCCCATTAAAAAAAAAAGTTACAGAATAGTTACAAGAACTGTACAAAGAACTCCCATATACCCTTGGCCCACAGACCTCAATGAAGTTCCCAAATCACACCTGTTGCCATGACGATGACCTTTCCGCAAAAGGTGTGTCTGAGTCTCTTCCGTCTCCTTCAGTAAGGAACAGTTCTTCAGCCTTTGACTTCCTTCTCTGGACTCTTAACGACCAGCGACCAGCTGCTGGTAGAATATTCCCCGCCGAGGGCTGTCCGGTACAATATTCCTCCGCCGCGGGCTGTCCGGTAGAATATTCCCCGCCGCGGGCTGTCCGGTACAATATTCCTCCACCGAGGGTTGTCAGGTAAAATATTCCTCCACCGAGGGCTGTCAGGTAGAATATTCCCCCTCCGCGGGCTGTCCGGTAGAATATTCCTCCACCGCGGGCTGTCCGGTACAATATTCCTCCACCGCGGGCCGTCAGGGAGAATATTCCTCCACCGAGGGCCGTCCGGTAGAATATTCCCCGCCGCGGGCCGTCCGGTAAAATATTCCTCCACCGCGGGCTGTCCGGTAGAATATTCCTGCAGTGCGGGCTGTCCAGTAGAATATTCCCCGCCGCGGGCTGTCCGGTAGAATATTCCTCCTCCGCGGGCTGTCCGGTACAATATTCCTCCACCGCGGGCTGTCAGGTAGAATATTCCTCCACTGCAGGCTGTCTGGTTGCCCCATGGTTTTGTTCAGTTGCACATTTTGGGCAGTAGCAACCCAGGGGTGAAGCTGGATTCTTTTTTTGGCATCACAAAAGAACCAGGTGGCATGCGATGCCAGTTTGTGCCAGGACTGGTGATGCTCATCTTGATCCCTTGATTAAGGTGGAGGTGGCCAGGCTTCTCCACTGCCAAATCATTCTTCTCCTCTTTGTATTGAATGCATAGTTCATGGGGAGATCCTTTGAGACTTTGTATACCTATTCCTTTTCCAACTTTCTCCCACTAGTTTTGGATTGTTTATATCTCTGAATTAATTATCACCATGATGATTGCTAAATGGTGATTTTCTTTCTTCCTTTTTTTTTTTTTTTTGAGACGGAGTCTTGCTCTGTCGCCCAGGCTGGAGTGCAGTGGCGCGATCTTGGCTCACTGCAAGCTCCACCTCCTGGGTTCACGCCATTCTCCTGCCGCAGCCTCCCGAGTAGCTGGGACTACAGGCACCCGCCATTGCACCTGGCTAAATTTTTTTTTGTATTTTGGTAGAGACGGGGTTTCACCGTGTTAGCCGGGATGGTCTTGATCTCCTGACCTGGTGATCCTCCTACCTTGGCCTCCCAAAGTGCTGGGATTACAGGCATGAGCCACCGCGCCCGGCCTCTTTCTTTCTTTTTTTTTTGAGGCAGAGTCTCACTCTGTCGCCCAGGCTGGAGGGCAATGGCGTAATCTCAGCTCACTGCAACCTCTGCCTCCCAGGTTCAAGTGATTCTCCTGCATTAGCCTCCCAAGTAGCTGGGATTACAGGTACCCACCACCATCCCCGGCTGATTTTTTGTATTTTTGGTAGAGACGGCATTTTGCCATGTTGGCCAGGCTAGTCTTGAAGTCCTGACCTCCGGTGATCCACCCGCCTCAACCTCCCAAAGTGCTGGGATTACAGGAGCGAACCAGTGTGCCTGGCCTAAGTGGTGATTTCCTTTTTTTTTTTTTTGAAACTGAGTTTCGCTCTTGTCGCCCAGGCTGGAGTGCAGTGGCACGATCATGGCTCACTGCAACGTCTGCCTCCTGGGTTCAAGCGATTCTCCTGCCTCAGTCTCCCAAGCAGCTAGGATTATAGGCGCCCACCACCACACCCAGCTAATTTTTTGTATTTTTAGTAGAGATGGGGTTTTACCATGTTGGCCAGGCTGGTCTCAAACTCCTGACCTTGTGATCCGCCTGCCTCGGCCTTCCAAAGTGCTGGGATTAGAGGTGTGAGCTACCGCACCCAGCCTAAGTGGTGATTTTCTAATCCCATCATTGATTGTAGGGAAAAGCTTTATCTTAACCTATTTATTTTTATCAGTGAGGACTCGTGGATTCCTCTTCTATTCAAAGAAATGTAATATGTAATATTGTGTTCTCATTATGTTGATCCTCAACCTGTTCGTGATTTGGCCAGTGGAAGACCCTTCAAGATGGCTCTTGTCTTTTTTTTCTTTTTGGAGACAGGGTCTCGATCTGTCACCCAGGCTGGAGTGCAGTGGCTCCATTATATACTCACTGCAACCTTGAAGTCCTGAGCTCAAGCGATCATACTGCCTCAGTGTCCTGAGTAGCTGGAACAACAGGCACACACCTCCATGCCCCGACTTGCTCACTCATTTTCTTTCTGGTCTTTTTTTTTTTTTTTTAGACGGAATCTTGCTCTGTCGCCAGGCTGGAGTGCAGTGGCATGATCTCTGCTCACTGCAACCTCTGCCTCCTTGGTTCAAGCGATTTCCCTGCCTCAGCCTCCCAAGTAGCTGGGACTACAGGTGCGTGCCACCACACCCAGCTATTTTTTCTTATATTTTTAGTAGAGATGCGGTTTCACCATGTTGGCCAGGATGGTCTTGATCTATTGACCTCGTGATCCACTTGCCTCAGCCTCCCAAAGTGCTGGGATACTTGCCCATTTTCTAATGGGATGGTTTTTAATTTATAAATAATAATTATATATATTCATATGGTACATAGTGATATTTCAACACGTATAATGTATAGTGATCAGATCAGGGTAATTAGCACATCCATCATATCATTGATTTGTGTTGGGAACATCCAATATCCTCCTTCTAGCTATTTGCAATATATAACTGTTAGCTGTAGTCATCCTACAGTAGTATAGAATGCTAAAACTTATTCTATCTAGCTGTAATTTTGCAACCTTCAACAAAACTCTCCCTATCTCCTTCCCACCTCCCTTCCCAGCCTCAGTATCCTCTGTTCTACTTTTTACTTGTATGAGATCAGCTTTTTTTTAGCTTTCACATGTGAATGAGAACATGCCGCGTTTAACTTTCCGTTCCTTGCTTATTTCACGAACATCATGTCCCCTGGTTCCATCCATGTTGCTTTTTATTCTTTTCACGGCTGAATAGTATTCCATTGTATATATGTACCATGTTTTCTTTGTGCATTAATCTGTTGTTGGACACTTGAGTTGACTGCATATCTTGGCTACTGTGAATGGTGCTGCAATAAACACAGGGCGCAGATATCTCTTCCACAGACGGATTTGCTTTCCTTTGGATAAATTTCTCAGTTGTAAAATTGCTGGATCATCTGGTATTCTATCTGTAGTTTTTTGAGGAACCTCCATACCATTATCCACAGTGGCTGTAACAGTTTTCATTCCTTCCAACAGTACATTGTTTTCTCCATATCCTTACCAGTATGTTATTTTTTTCTTTTTGACAATAGCCATCCTAACTGGGGTGAGGTAATACTTCATTGTGGTTTTGATTATATTTCCCTGATGATTAGTGATGTTGAGCATTTTTTCCATATATTTGTTGGCCATCTGTATGTCTTTTGAGAAATGTCATTCGGTTCATTTGTATGACATGTTTAAATCAGATTTTTGTTGTTGTTGTTGAGATGTTCGAGTTTCTTGTATATTCTGGATATCAATCCCTTTTCAGATGGATAGATCACAAACATTTCCTGCCAGTCTGTAGCTTATCTTTTCATCTTCTGAACAAGGTCTTTTACAGAGCAAAAGTTTTTAAATTTGATGAAATCCAATTTACTGATTTTTTTCTTTTATAAATGGTGCTTTTGGTGTTGAGTCTAAGAACTCATTCAATCTCTAGGTCCAGAAGATTTTTACTTTTTTCTTATAATTTTTAGAGACAGAGTCTAACTTTGTCACCGAGGTTGGAGTGCAGTGGCAAGAACACGGCTCACTGCAGCCTCAACCTCCCAGGCTCAAGCTAATTTTTGTTTTCGTAGAGATGAGGTTTCATCATGTTGGCCAGGCTAGTCTCGAACTCCTGACCTCAGGTGATCGACCTGCCTCGGCCTCCCAAAGTGCTGGGACTACAGGAGTGATGGTCCAGAAGATTTTTTTGTATTTTCTTCCAAAATGCTTATAGTTTTACATTGTACATTTAAATACATGATCATTTTGAGTTTTGTCTTTGATTTTACAGCGTCTTTTGCCATATTTTTAAAAATCCAGGTCGAGCGCAGTGGCTCATGACTGTAATTCCAGCACTTTGGGAGGCTGAGGTGGGCGGATCACGAGGTGAGGAGTTGGATACCAGCCTGACCAACATGGTGAAACCTTGTCTCTACTAAAAATACAAAAATTAGCCAGGCATGGTGGCAGGTGCATGAAATCCCAGCTACTCAGAAGGCTGAGGCACGAGAGTCGCTTGAACCCGGGAGGTGAAGGTTGCAATGAACCGAGATCTCACCACTGCACTCTAGCTTGGGCGATAGATAGAGACCCTGTCTCAAAAAATAAATAAAAAATAAAATAAAATCCATAAATACATGTATCTTTTCTTTCTCTGGGTGCTATGAATATATTAACATATTTTCTATATTGTCTTCTGATATATTTATGTTTTACTTTTTACATTCTAATCTTCAAATCATTTGAAAACTACTTTTGTAAATAACATGAGGTAGGAGTCCAGCCTTGTATTTTTAATCAGTATATTCTGTGCTAGGCATTTTCCTTAAATCGTGTAGATATAATAATTCATTTATTTCTCACAACAGCCTTGTGAAGCATCTTTGCATTTTTATTCCCCTCTCAGAAATGGGGGACCTGGGGCTGGGCACGGTGGCTCATGCCTGTAATCCCAGCACTTTGGGAGGCCAAGGCGGGCAGATCATCTGAAGTCGGGAGTTCAAGACCAGCCTGGCCAACATGGTGAAAACCTATCTCTACTAAAAAGACAAAAAAAAACTTAGCCAGGCATGGTGGCACATGTCTGTAATCCCAGCTACTTGGGGGGCTGAGGCAGGAGAATCACTTGAACCCGGGAGGCAGAGGTTGCAGTGAGCCGAGATCGTGCCACTGCACTCCAGCCTGGGCGACAGAGCGAGACTCTGAGAAAAAAAAAAAAAAAGAAATGGGGGACCTGAGGCTTAGAGAACTTAGGTAACTTGCTGAAGTTCACAGAGCTAAAAGGTAGAGGAGCTGGGATTTGAACACAAAGAGTCAACCTCAGGGTGCCTTCACTTACCCATTCACGTTGCCCATCGCACAGGTGGCCTCTTATGCCAGCACCACTTATTAAGTCAACCATATCTTCCCCCTGAATCGCAGTGCCGGATTGTATGTATATTAAGTGTCCAGATATAAATGGATGTATTTCTGGATTGTCTACCACTGCTGTTTGTCCTTTTTTTTTTTTTTTTTTTTTGAGATGGAGTTTCACTCTTGTTGCCCAGGCTGGAGTGCAATGGCAAGATCTTGGCTCACTGCAACCTCCGCCTCCTGGGTTCAAGTGATTCTCCTGCGTCAGCCTCCTGAGTAGCTGGGATTACAGCTGCGTGCCATCATGTCTGGCTAATTGTTTTTGTATTTTTAGTAGAGACAGGGTTTCACCATGTTGGCCAGGCTGGTCTTGAACTCCTGACCTCAGATGATCTGCCCACCTCGGCCTCCCAAAGTGCTGGGATTACAGGCATGAGCCACCATGCCTGGCCTGGGTTTGTCCATTTTTATATCAATAGTATTTTGATTACAATGTCTTTATAGTAAATATAACTATTCATAAGAGATTCCCTACTCACTCTGTGTCCCGTTACAAGAGTAGTTGCTAGGCAGTGGCTCATGCCTGTAATCCCAGCATGTTGGGAGGCCGAGGTGGGAGGATTACTTGAGCCTGGGAGTTCCAGACCGGTCTGGACAGCATGATGAAACTCTGTCTCTACAAAAAATACAAAAATTAGCTGGGCACGATGGTGCATGCCTGTAGTCCCAGCTACTTGGGAGGCTGAGGTGGGAGTATCACCTGAGCCCAGGTAAGTCAAGGCTGCAGTGAGACATGATCATACCACTGCACTCCAGCCTGAGTAACAAAGTGAGACCCTGTCTCATTAAAAAAAAAAAAAAAAAAAAGCTGCTATAATTGATACTTTTTTTTTCTTTTTTTCGAGACGGGGTATCGCTCTGTCACCCAGGCTGGAGTGCAGTGGCAAGATCTCGGCTCACTGCAACCTCCGCCTCCTGGGTTCAAGCGATTCTCCTGCCTCAGCCTTCCGAGTAGCTGAGACTACAGGCATGTGCCACCATGGCCGGCTAATTTTCTTGTATTTTTAGTAGAGACGGAGTTTCACCATGTTGGTCAGGCTGGTCTCAAACTCCTGACCTCAAATGATCCACCAGCCTCGGCCTTAATTGATAGTCTTTAATATTATTTTGGTAGTCCTTGCCAAAGCAAAAAGGAAATAAGATGTATATTTTACAAAAGGAGAAATCATCATTATTTGCCAAAGCTGTGATTGTCTGCTTAGGAAATACAAGATAGTCGAGATATTGTTTGGACGAATAAGTAGGTTCAACTAGGTAACCACATACAAGTCTAGCATCCAAAAGAACAACAGCTTTCCCAGGATTCACCAGGATCCCCTAGTCAGAAATATAGTGACCACCCTTTTGACAGACAGAATTTAATTCAAGAACTTGATTACACAGGTGACAGATGAATAACAGAAATAGGAACCAGCAAGGGAAAAATTAGAGGGAGCAGCTGCCACCGGTAGGCCTGAAGAACAAAAGGAAGAGGCCAACTTATCACGGCAGGCATTAGCTCCACCTGGATATTTCCCCGTCACATTCCCTCTGGTGCCATCTGGTCACTGCAATGGTCAGCTCCCCCTGCAGAGCCCCTACTGCTTGGGGACCACTTGGGTGGGCCAGGTGTTGGCGCAGAGCAGTGTTCCAGAGCTGTGGCTAAGAGCCACGTGTTCTCCTCAAGGTACTAGTTTTCTTGTTTACATTCCTCTATAATGTAGCGTAGCCTTATAAACTTGGACACGCATTCTTCCTGTGTCTTATTAAATTCAAGCACTCTTTTTCGTCAGGTTAGACTTCCATGATATCTAAATGAGTTTCCATAAAGGAGAGGTAATCACACCACAGGAAGTTTTTCTCTTTTTTCTTTTTTTTGAGACAGAGTCTCACTTTGTCAGCCAGGCTGGAGTGCAGTGGCGCGATCTTGGCTCACTGCAACCTCAGCCTCCCGGGTTCCAGCGATTCTCCCACCTCAGCCTCCTGAGTAGCTGGGACTACAGGCGTGTACCACCATGCCTGGCTAATTTTTGTATTTTTAGTAGAGATAGGGTTTCACCATGTTGGCCAGGCTGTTTTTTTGTTTTTTTTTTTTGGTGTGTGTGTGTGTGTGCGGCGGGAGGGGGCGGTTTGAGACAGAGTTTCATTCTTGTTGCCCAGGCTGGAGTGCAATGGCGCGATGTAGGTTCACTACAACCTCCGCCTTCCAGGTTCAAACGATTCTCCTGTCTCAGCCTCCCGAGTAGCTGGGATCACAGGCATGCGCCACCACACCTGGCTAATTTTGTATTTTTAGTAGAGACGGGGTTTCTCCATGTTGGTCTGGCTGGTCTTGAACTCCTGACCTCAGGTGATCTGCCCGCCTCCACTTCCCAGAGTGCTGGGATTACAGGCATGAGCCACCAAGACCGGCCCTTTTTTTTTTTTCTTTTTTTGAGACATGGTCTTGCTCTTGTCACCTAGGCTGGAGGGCAATTGTGTGATCTCGGCTCACTGCAACCTCCGCCTCCCGGGTTCAAGCAATTCTCCTGCCTCAGCCTCCCGAGTAGCTGAGACTACAGGCATGTGCCACCACACCCAGCTAATTTTTGTGTTTTTAGTAGAGACAGGGTTTTATCATGTTGGCCAGGCTGGTCTCAAACTCTTGACCTCAAGTGATCTGCCTGCCTCAGCCTCCCAAAGTGCTGGGATTACAGGCGTGAGCCACCACACCCGGCCTAAACTAGATAATTTTTTTTTTTTTGACACAGAGTCTCGCTCTATTGCCGAGGCTGTAGTGCAGTGGTGTGATCTCTGCTTGCTGCAACCTCCACCTCCTGGGTTCAAGTGATTCTCCTGCCTCAGCCTCCCAAGTAGCTGGGATTACAGGTGTGAGCCACCACGCTCGGCTAAACTAGATAATTTTTAAGGAACAAGTCTCTTGCCTGATGTGTGGGTGTGATATTATGATATCTGTCATTGGTTTCCATCCACAGTTCCTGGCTTATAACTCCCATATCCCTTGTTATAATGTTGGGGAACTTAGGCCTCAGAGGCAAGACTCAGACAACAGCATCTTTCTCTTTGACCTTTTCCCACCCTCCTTTTTCTCCCCAAGGCAGGACTTTCCCCTGCCTTTGCTGTCTTGGAGATAGCCATAAAGAAGGCTGGGCACAGTGGCTCATGCTTGTAATCCCAGCACTTTGAGAGGCTGAGGCAGGCGGATCACCTGAGGTCAGGAGTTCGAGACCAGCCTGGTCAACGTGATGAAACCCCATCTCTACTAAAAATACAAAATTAGCTGGGCGTGGTGGCACATGCCTGTAATCCCAGCTACTCAGGAGGCTGAGGAAGGAGAATTGCTTGAATCCGGGAGGCAGAGGTTGCAGTGAGCCGAGATCACGCCATTGCACTCCAGCCTGGGCAACAAGACTGAAACTCCATCTCAAAAAACAAAACAAAACAAAACAAAACAAAACAGATAGCCATAAAGAAATCCTCTGACCTACCTTGTCTGATTGTAAGTCATGTGGGGTCCCTCAGATCCCCCCCTGCCCCCTGCTATCTTTCTGTGTCCTGACCAAAAATCAGAGGGCCTTGGCCACTCTGTGACCCAGCAGCTGCAGGACTGTCCCAGCAGGCTTGAACCCAAACTGGGGGCCTTGACATCGCTAGACACTGATCGAGGTATCTAGGTTTACTCATTTTTTTTATAAAAAGTGTCAAGTCCTCTAGTGACAGACTCAGTCCTCAGTCTCATCGCACACCTGTGAACCTTGGCCTTCTGCAGTGGGAGGATGCGGTAGTGCCTGGAGGTGAAGAGGCAGGTTCAGCTGGGCCCAGCAACTTGGCTGTCCCGCACGGTCCTGCGCACCCATGCTCTTGGGATGGTGGCACCACTGTGTCAAGCACCGGCCTGGGAAAGAGCAGCCATTTGGTGGCCCCATAACAAGAGCCACCGCACAGTTTGGGGTGACAGGGAAGGTGTGGAGAAGCGATTCTAACCAGAGCCATCAAGAAGAAACTAGTAAAGTCAGAGGCTACAGATACAGGAGGGAAATCACTGCTCAGACAACACAAAAGACAGGTGTAAAAGCCGGGGATTCCCCCCAGAGCTGCCCCAAGAACTCTGTGCACAGGTCTTGCGCCCTGCCAGGCCACACAGGGCAGAGGGGCCCGGCCCAGAGGCCGAGCCCTTCCGGACCAAGCCCCTCCCCTAGGGACTTTCAGGCTAAAGGGGTCAGAGGATGCTCTGCGTTGCCGCTCAGAAAAAAGCTCCTGGTGCCTTTGTCAATTCTTCTCTTTGCCAGAATAAAAGTAACGAAAGCAAGGTCTGCAAACTCCTGGTCTCACCTGCATCGACCCGGAAGGCTCATCCTGGGACCGCCCAGGCCCTCCCGGACTCCCCTCCACACCAGGCTGTGGGCTGGCCCAGGACACGTTCTCTAAGGTCAGCCCGCATCTCAACACCTAGTACTTGAGCAGAAAACGTTTGCTCAGTGCCCAGCGGATGGTACCCCGCTATGGGTCTCCTCTGCCCTAGGCCGGCCACCCCTCCGGGAACGCTGGTGCCCACGATGGCCACCTCCGCCAGGCCTCCGGCTCCTGCCTTCCGCCGCCACTGTGGGTTCAGGCCGCACGCCCACACGCCGTGCGCACCCCGGGGCCCTCCAAAGCAGGCGGCATCCTGCAGAAAGAAATTCTCTGGACTTTATTCCCGATGCAGGCCTTGGCCAAATACCAATGACAGGCCCCAGAGCCAGGCGGGCTGAGGCCACCAGTCCGGTCAGCTGTAGGTGTCAGGGTCCGCGTCCGCTGGCAGAAAGTAGCGCTGCAGGGCCGGCTGCAGGAGCCGCGGGGGCAGCGGGCGCGGGGGCATAGGCCAGTCCAGGGGGAAAGGCTGCGGCTCCACACGCGGCAACGGCAGCTTCAGCGTCCGGATGGGGCCGTCCAGGGTGCGGCCCGCACAGAGCCGGGACCGCATGGGGCCTGGGGGCGGGCGGAGGCTTATGAGGCCCGGGGGCTGGGGTGGGTGGGGTCCAGTCTCCACCCCTGGCTCCACTCACCCCTCAGTCTCATCGCGGACCTCGCGGACCTCTGCGGCTTGGCCTCCTGCAGCCGGAGGATGGGGTGGTACCTGGAGGCAAAGAGGAGGGTTCAGCTGGCCCAGCCCCACGCTTGGCTGCCCCACGCAGGCCCCGCCGGCGCAGGCCCCGCGCACCAGTGCTCCCGCGGAGGTGGCACCACCATGTCGGGCACCGGCGCCACCGTGTAGGGCTCTGGCGGGTGTGGGTGCGCAGCCTTCTCCTGGAGCGAACTCCGCTGCTGCGCCCGCAGCTGCTCACAGAAGAAGTTGAGCGCGTCGATGGGGCCCAAGTCCAGCAGCTGCGAGTGCGACCAGTCGGTCTCCTCCAGCGGCGGCGGCTCTCCGGGCAGCTGAGCAGGCCCGGCAGGGTGCAGGCGGGCCTCGGGCTCCAGGCAGAAGCTCTTCAGCGTCTCGGAGAGCACTCTGAGACGGAGCTGAGGGGTCCCCCAGCTGCGCTTGGGTGCCAGCATCCGCTGGGCCTGGAGCTCCGGGGCTAAAGAGTGCGGCTCCGCAGGTGAGACCACCATCAAAGGCACCTCTGAGACCTGCGAGAGCCTCCCGAAGATGCCGGAGGCCGACCAGGAGGTGCCCGAGGGTATCACGGAGGCGCGTGTGGGTGCCCCAGAGACCACTGACGTCTGCGATGGGGTCTCCTTGGGAGGAGAGGAAAGTGCTAAGGTCTTAGAGACCTTGGGCAGCACCACCAGCAACTTGGCTGCAGACAGTGGCTGCGAGCTTTCCATCTGTCAGGAGGTGACCCATGGCCAAGCACCCTGGCTCCTCGAGCATCCACATGGCCACTGAAACTCCCTTCTGCCCGATGCTCAGCCCAAGGCAGGGGCTGCCACTCCCCTGACAAGGAGGTCCCAGGGCTGTCCCTGGTTCGGGCCAGACACCCCCTGCTGACTTCCAGCTGCACAGGGAAATCCCTAGAGATGCTCAGGGCAGGGAGGCTGGAGGCCCAGGACTGGGCAAGGCAAGGAAGGAGCCTGTGGCCTCAGCTGGCTTTGACCCCAGGACTTGCAGAAAGCCAGAGAAGGCAACAGGGTTCCCAAGGCCCCCCCGGCCCCTGCCGGCCCAACCTGAAGCTCCTGGATCATGTCCTCCAGTTTCTGGTGGCAGCAAGTGCGCAGGCCGGCCTTGGAGTCCAGGTCTGGGCCCTGGACCCAGGTCATCATCTCCTTGAATAGGAAGCCCTCTGGGTCCTGAAGGCCCAGCCCGTGCAGCAGCTTCTTGAGCTCTGGCCTGGGACAGGTGCATGTGGCTTGTCCAGAGGCCTTCCCAGTGGCAGGGAGGGCTGGGCAGGAGCGCAACTCACCGGCAGTGCACGGGAGAGTAGAGGAAGTAGGACATGAGCTCCAGCACCACATCCCGGGACTCCAGGGAGCAGGCCAGGAGCAGCTGCAGCGCCAGTATCACGAACTTCTTCTGTGTCTGGTCCTGAGGCAGGCGGTGGGGATGTGGTTGCTGAGGGCCGGTGGGCGGGGAGGAAAACTGGGGGCAGGACAAGGGGCACACCTGGAGGCTGGGGGGCTGGTCCAGGTTGAGCAAGTGTACGAGCAGGCCCTGCAGCTGGCCTTGGAGATCACTGCTCATGTTGGGCAGCAGTCTCAGTAGCACCTGCAGGATGTGCACACGGTCGACCCACGTGGTCTTCTCCAGCAGGGCCACCAACAGCGAGGCCAGGCCCTCGATCGTGCCCGCCTCCGGGTATGCCTGCAGGGTAGCATGCTGAGGCCCTGCTCCCATGTCACACCCAAGCCAGCCCCTACCTTCTCCCCTGTCCCTCACCCTAACCCATGCTTCTCATGCATCCCCAGTTCCCTCCAACCTGCAGGCTGAAGATGGGGAACAACTTTTTGAACCAGGTCTGGTAGATGAAGAAATGCAGAAACTTGGGCAGATGCCCGTAATGCTCATCCAAGAGCAAACTCCCATGACGGTGCCAGGGATGAGGGTGGGTCCTGGCAACCTTGCAGCTGCGCCGCCGGGGCTCCTGGGTCCAGTCCACAGCACTCTAGGGGAGCAGCAGTGGCTGCAGGTCCCACCTGTCTGGGTCTCAGTGTAAGCCCACCTCCCGTGGTGGCCTGGGGCCTCTGCCTGAGCCTCTACCTGATCCTCCAGTTCCCAGGAATCCAGCTGCTGGTTGGAGTGCGGGCTCAGGGAAGCCAAGGCCCAGTCCAGCTCCTCGTCTTCCTTCTCCTCCTCCTCTTCCTTCTTGTCTTCCTCCCCCTCCTCCCCAGGCTTCTCCCCCATCCATTGGAGCAGCTTCCTCTGCCACTGGGTTTGGGATGGCCTGGGGCGCCACAACCACAGGGCATCCTGGCTTGCCCCTGGCTGCAGAGGGGCAAGAGATGGTGCCTGATGGGTTGCAAGGACAGCAGAGCCCTCCCCTGCCGGCAAAACCCCCAGCCCTGCCCCTTGCCTCGAGCTTTCTCTGGGAGGCGAGCTGAGTCGGGGATCCGAGGCTGCTGACCTCCGCATTTAGCCACATCTGCTGTAGCACCGCGGAGTTGGGCACATAGCCGGGGAAGCAGATGGGCCTCAGGCAGTGCTGGAGGTGGGCACAGCAGGGAATGCTGAGGACCTGGATTCCCCAGCCTGGACACCACCCTTGGTCACCTGTATAACCTCTCAGAGCCCCTCAGCCGCCAGTCCAGCTCTGCCTGCCAGGCCTCCGAGAGCTGGCTGAGCTAGCAACCCCTACTCTCAACACAGATGGCAGGAGAACCCTGAGATACCAGGGGCGAGGCCCTCAGTGAGCATCAGCTCTGACAAACGAGAAGGGAAACCTGGAGAAGTGCTGGCTTCTAGGGGCCCTGACACCCTGCAAGCTCCTTACAGGACTTGGCCCCAGCCCTGGGACAAGAAAGTCTAAAAGAAGCACAGGGGCCAGGGAGGAAGGAAGGAGCTTGGAGAAAGGGCAATGAAGAGCATGATGGTGGCACCCAGGCCCAAAGAGTCAATTACCCACCTGGGCAGGTGACAGTGCCAGGAATATGCTGGGGGAGGGGCTGAGGCCTGCCTGGGCACCTGGTGTACGTGAGGGTGGGAAGACAGTGGATTCTAAAGGGCCAGGTTCCCTTGACTTTGCTCCTCTAAAGGGCAGGGATTCTGATCTTCCAGGAAAAGTCCCTAGGGGACCTGCCCTCCCAGCGCCTCCACGGGGGAAAGGGGTGTGTGGCATAACCGGCTGGGGGGACTGGCTTTGCCTGATGTCAGCTCCCAGAGCAGCAAGGAGCCTGTGGCCACAAACACAGCTGTACTGGAACAGGGCTAGACAGAGGGTGAAGGGTGAGGGGTGAGGGGTGCGTGGGAGGCTACAGCCTGGCCCTCTGGTTGTAGGTGGGCATGGCCCTTGGGTCAGATTTGGACACAAAGATTTGTAGCAAAGGGGAGATGGCAGGCACAAGAGTGATGCCTGGAGAGGAGTGGCTCTCCAGGAGCTGGGAGGGGGTCTCACCTTGTGGGGCTGCACGGTGGCAGGAAAGAAGCCCCTGAGGCTAGAGAGAGGTTCCTTGTCCCATCTCTTTGGCAGCAGTGGGATCTGGGGGATGGAATGGGGGCTCAGAACAACACAGCCCCTAGCACCCCGGCAGCTCTGCCCCTCAGTAGGTGGTACCCCACCTGCCTGGGTCCCTCACCCTGCACTGCAAGTGGGAGGATGGCAGGTCCAGGGCCATGGTCGTCCTCCCTCGGAGCTGCTCCAACTGCAGCTGCAGATCCAGACTGATGCCCAGGTAGTGGCTCAGTGAGGAGCGGGCCAGAAGCTGGGGCATAGGAGGAGTCACAGGGTGGCAGAGGGGTCATGGGGGCCCAGCAGGCATGTGGGAGGGTGGGAAGCCTCACCTGGGATGCCTTGCTGTGCACCCTACGGTGGGTGGGTGGGATCGGCACTGTGACTCGGGGAGACTGGGAGAAGTGCTGGCCCAGGGCTCCCAGGTCCTGTGGGGACAGGGCTGTTGGCACTGTTTGGGCTGCAGTGCTGACCTCAGCCCGGGCAAGACAGTGGGCAGCTTGGGGTACAGCACACACATCCCGGGTCTCTCTCTCCACTCTGAGGGTCCCGGCACTCCACTGCTGGGACCCCCTTCCAGACTGCATGCCCTGGGAGGTAGCAGGAGCAGACAGACCATCAGAGACCAGGTGGGAGGGGTGGGTGGAGAAGAGGGGCCAGGGTCAGGGCTGGGCTGGGGGAGGCCCTACACCTACCAGCAGGCCAGAGCCGTAGATCAGACGGAGGTAATTGTCAAAGCCTTCCTGGCGCTGCTGCCAGGAGGGTGGGGGCTGGGCTGCTGGGACCACTAGCCCCAGCCTCAACTGCTGAAGGTCTCGGTCCCGGGCCACTATGGCGTCCAAGTCCTGAGTCAGGGTTCAGGGATCAGCCTGCTCTTCCTTGAGCCTTGCTATGTGCTGCCCGGGCAACCATGGGGATCCCAGGCCTGCCCCAGGGCTGACGGCTGGGGCCTGAGCCGGGGCAGGGCGGGCTAAGGAGGACCCACCCCACCTCCTTCGGCACCAGGTGCTGAGATGTTGCCCTCCGACGATGGATGAGAGACAAGGCCTCGCTGCAAACAGGGACAGGCACAGGTGGGATGCTGGGTGGCATGCCAGTGGGCTGGGGCAGAGGCTGGGACAAGGACCAACCCCAAACGGGTGTGCCAGGGCTCAGGCAGGCTTGTATCAACTCCAGAGGGCCCCACACCGCCAGGCCCCCACCCAGAGTGGGAAAGGAGGGCCTCCAGGAGGGCTGAGCAGGCCTGCATGGGACCTGAGGCTGGCTGCCCCATGGAGGTTGGTGAGCCTCTGCAGTTGGGCGGAAGTCAGTGACTCCTGGCTCATCAGTGGCAGCGGAGGGTCGTCCACCACGTCTGGGGCCTTCCGGCACATCTTCTGAATAGGGGAAGGAGCCTGTATCCCTGGCTGGGGGAACCTGGGTCTGCCCCCCAAGGTGAGCAAGGGGGGCCCACCTTGCTCACTCTGTCCTCACCACACACCTTAACTAGGTAGGATGTAGGCAGGTAGAGCCTGTGGGACACCAGGCAGAGGCGGGATCCCAGCGCCAGCACCAGGTCTCCACTGTTGCTGCAGAAAGCCAGGGCCTGAGGGGCACCATTCAGCTGCAGGAGCCTGGAGAGGCACCCAGGGCAGCCGAGGCTCAGCAGGGACAAGGCCTTCTCCACTCAGTCCAGCCAGTGGGCTCTGGTGAGGAGCAGAGGTAGGAGACCCCAGCCCTCCCCACCTCCTAGCCTACCGCAGGAGGCGGTTCTCAGCAGTCCAGATGCGAACGGTGCAGTCCAGGCTGGAGCAGGCATACAGTTTGAGCGTGGGGCAGCAGCACAGGCCTGGCGGCAGGGTTCAGGGTCAGGAACCGGAGCTGGGCGGTGGCTGGGCTTCACCCATGCTGCCCCCTCACCAGTGATGTGGTCCGTGGGGTCGTCCTGGGGCCGGTGGTCTAATCGCGGACTGTCGCCCAGGCCAAACTGCACCAGGCCGTAGGTAGCGCTGTCTGGGTCCTCAAAGCCCGCGGTGACGCGTCTGCCTAGCGCACAGAGCGCCACGGCCGGGTAGCAGCAGGAGAAGGTGCGCAGCAGGCTCAGGCTCTCTTCGGCATAGGGGAAGACGCGCCACATCTTCACCGTCAGGTCCCCACCTGTGGGCAGCGGAATCTGGCTGGGCCTTGTCGGAGGGGAGGGGGCTCTGTGGCGGCCTGGCCTTTGGCAGGGGAGCTACTGACCCGAAGACACAATGCTGTTCCAGGTGGATGCGATGGCGACAACCGGGCCCGGGCTGTGCGCCTCCGTTTGGAAGACAGTCTTCGACGAGAGCCACTCCAGCACCGACAGCGTGCCGTCCGTGTGCCCCACCACTGGCAGGTACCTGCGAGTGGGAAGAGCCTGTTGGCGCGGACCCTGCCGCTCCTTCCGCCCGCCAGACCCTCGCCGGCTCCCGCACCCACCGGTTCTTGTTCTTCCAGGCGCAGGCCACAGAGCTGCAGCGCAACTCGCCCCAGTGCTGGCGCACGATCTCCCAGGAGGAGAAGGCGCCTTCGAGATCCGTGAGGTGGCTGTACAGGTGCAGACAGCAAGGCTGCGGCGCAGGGGGCGGCGGCGGGCACACGCGGTGCAGCACGCTCATGGGGCAGCGCGCCGCGTTGGCGCGGACCAGGTGCCCAGCCCTGGTCAGCAGCCACAGCGCCTCGCGCGGCAGGCAGTAGGCCACGGCTGCCGCGCAGTCCTCCGGCTCCAGCAGCAGTGAGCTCACTATGCGCCCGGTGGCCGCCGACAGGAGGTAGACCGAGCCGTCGGCGCACGCGCACACGAGGCGCGTAGGCAGCGACTGGTGCGCAGGCGCGGGCAACGCGGGCGCCACCTGCACGTGGAGCACCTTGGCGGGCAGTTGCGCCAACGGCGAGTAGAGCTCGCGTACGCGCCACAGCTGCATGCTGCTCGCGCACAGGGACAGCACCGGCCAGCCCGGGCGCACCGGCGCCAGCAGACGGCCCACGCGCCGGGACAGCTTGTCCTGGCCCCAGAAGCCCAGCGCTACCTCGCCCACCTGCGCCGCCGCCTGCAGGTCCCAGGTGCGTAGCGTCCCGTCCTGCGAGGCCGACAACACCAGGGTCGTGTTCGGGAGCACAGTCATAGCCGTCACCGGGCCTGTGGGAGGGGTGCAGGTCACTCGGCCGACTGAAGGCAGGGGAGCCTTCAGCCTGTGTTGCAGTCAGCGCAGCAAGGCCTGGCCGGAGCTGCGGAGATGCTGGACAGCCTAGAGCGGCTGGAGGCAAAGGGCCGAGGCTCGGGGTGCAGAGAACTCAGAGCACCTGTGTGGCCCACGAACACCATCCGGATCTGCCAGTCAGCCTCCCACACCTTCACGGTGCTGTCCCGGGAAGCTGTCACCATTGCCTCTACTTCCTCGCAGTAAGCCAGGTCCGAGATGGTGCTACAGGTGGGGAATGGGAGAATCCCAATGGACTTAACATCGCCTTGTGTGTGAGGGCCGTGTGCCCCTACATGCCTGGCCCTCCCTAGGGGGATCCCCCTCACGTTTTGTGCAAATCCCGGCGCACATCTACGAGAGTCCAGGCATGCAGATCGAAGGTGAGCACGGCCGAGCCATAGGCCGCGAAGCAGCGCAGGACGTGGTGGGGAGGAACCGGCGCCACAGCCAGACGCATGAGCCTGCCTGTTGGGCTCGGGGGCGGGTGCAGTGCTGACCCTCGCAGCACCAGGCGGCGACCACCTGAACGGAACTGCCAGAGCGCCAGGCTGCTGTTCATCTCCGCAACGAGCAGCAGCCTGAGGTCGGGAACCGGCAGGCAGCAGGTGGGCGCCCAACCCGGGGCCCTGCCCACCCCCTGCTCGCTCAGCCACAGCAGGCTGAGGTTGGGCCTCAGAATTGCCAGCCCCGCGGGGCCCCAGCCTACAAAACGGCCCACGGCACCCAGCGGGCCCAGCACGGTCACCAGCCCCGTAAGCCGGACAGGCGCCAGCAGCGTCTCCTGTGCCCAGCCGTCTTCCTTGTGCAGGTGCAGGCGGCCCGCGCCGTCCAGCACCACGAAGCGTCCACCCACCGGGTCCTGCGCCACCGAGCGCAGCCCGGCTGCCACCTCCAGGCGGCGCAGTGGTTCCAGCCCATGCGTCAGGCGCGCCGCGCGCAGCTCGGCTCTCTTCTCCTGTGGGCCGGGGTGGGCGGGCCCGCAATCAAAGGTTGGGGCTACTCCGGCCTAGGGGACCCCTAAGGGAAGGCCCAGATCCGGAAAGAGGCCAGGAGGCGCAGGACAGGCACACCGCACCTTTTCCACGACTTCGTGGAGGCTGGTGCGCAGAAGCAGCCACAGCCGGCGGGCGCGGGCGCGCGGGGTCAGGCTTTGCCACTGTTGGCTGCTGGTCAAAAAGGGCAGGACCTGCGACGGCTCCGTGAAAGTCAACTCTGCGGGCAGGAACTGGAAGTTCTGCCACCTACAGCCTCAGGTCCTCGACCCTGACGGTTATGGGGAGCCCTCCTCCAGGGGCCCTGCCCTACCAGGGACTGCCCAGGGGAGTTTTGTTCCAGGGGACGGAACCCAAGCCCGAATGAGACCCACTTCCTAGCGGGATGCCCGGAGGGCGAGGCCAGGCCCCCTCACCATTCTTTTCGGTGAGCAGCCCAGGGTCTGGGACATCATAGCCATCCGCATCATACAGGTCCGAGTCCAGAACTAGGTTGTAGCCTTCTGCCTCCCACACCTCTGCCTCCATTTCAGCAACTGCGGTCCCAGAGCCCAACAGCTCCCAGGACTTAGCGGTCACGGCCCGCAGCGGCAGTTGCTAGGATACCAGATGCCGCCGGCCACTCCCACACCGCAGGCCCCACCCCCACACCGCATCAGGTCCACACTAAGTCACAGAAACTTTTATTGGAAAGAAACGAGCTGCAGCAAAGTGACACTCAGTGCACGCGGCCAAATGGGCGAGGTGGGGGTACAGGTGGGCACCGGGGCCGGCCCAAGACCAGAGCCGGTGACTGCTGGGGCCTGCTCGTGGGGCCTCCGGCCACAGACCCTTTGGGCTGGAGTGTGCAGGCCCAGTAGAAATACAAAAATAAACTCTGCGGTCCAGCTGTCCCTGCTGTGGCAGTTCATTTGGGCAGGGCAGTCGCTCCTCCCACCAGGCCCCCTGCTGACAAGTCCGGCCACAGCATGGGCAGCAGGAGTCTGAGGGGTGAGTGGGCATCCACAGGATGGAGCCAAAGGGCTAGGCAGGTATGGCCTTGGGCAGTGCCAGGACTGTGGCAGCGCCAGGGTCTGGCCAGCAGCTGGGGAGGCCCCAGGGGCCTCTCAGGTGGACAGGTCCAGGCATTGGTTGAAGCTGGATGAAGCTGGGGCCTCGGCTCCTCCTCATCAAATACAGATCACTGGGACCCTGGGCGGAGGTTGGCACACAGTGGGCCTTCAGGAGCCACCACTTAGACCAAGTAGAGGAGGCCCCCACCCTGTTGTACCCACTCCAGGCTTCAAGGACCCGGGTCATGGCCCCCATCACACACCTGTCCTCCTCCATGGTGCTGGTCTCCTCGGCCCCACTGCCCCCGCTTCTGCTTTCTTCCTCCACCTCCTCCTCCCCCAGCTCCATGTCCAGCTCGTTGCCTGCCTCTGAGGGTGTGTAGGTGGAGCCACTGAGGGGAGGCAGGGAAACCAGTTTCAGGACCCCTACCCAGGCCTGCTGCTGGCCCCAGGGAGGATGTTCAGGGAGGGCAAAGCTGGGTGGAGATGGCACAGCTGGGGAAGTTGTATCGGCCCAACAGGGAGGTGGGGGAGGAGGCGGGGGGTGCCCACCTGATGGAACGGCAGCTAAAGAAGACGATTCGCTTGAGCCGCTTGTTGTAGAAGAAGTAGTTGAAGGACCAGAGGCTACCATCCTCCCCGAAGGGATCTGAGTCCAAGTCTGGGTTATAGCTGGGGAGTATAGGGTGACAGGTGGTGTGAGGCGCCAAGTGCCCCACAAACCTGGAGGCCTGGAGGCCATCTGCAGGGATGCCGGCCCACCTGTAGATGTCACATTCAGCCAGGCAGATCTCCTCGTCCACCGCGTTCCACAGCTGTGGTTTCAGATCCTTGAAGTCCTCCCGCACAGCTGAGAACAGACTGCAGTTGACTGCATTCACCACCTAGGGCAGGTCACAGTCAGGGTGACAGGAGCCCAGGGCTACCCAAAGTGGGGAAGGACAGTGGGGTGGCTGTGGGTCCCTTCCCTCCACCTGACCCTCACCCAGCTAAGGCTGGGCTCCCGGCTGAACTCATGGCTGCGGGCTGTGCTGAAGTCATAGTCAGGCCTGAAGGACTCATTGAGCGTGGCAATCAGGTAGAAGAGGGTCTTGCGGCTGCACTTGTCACTGAGGGGGCCCTCCTCCTCACCGCCTTGGCTTTTGCTGAGTCTGCACAGACAGAACCATCAGCTGGGCCCATCACCTCCCCTCAACCCCCAGCCCCAGGTAGGCCCCACCATGGCTCACCTGCTGGGGCTCAGTCCTGAAGTCTGGGGTGGAGAAAGTGCCTCCAGCACGTGGGGCTGGCCCTCCTGGCAGAACTGCTTGAACATGTGTTTGTCGTCTCCTGCCATCTTACATGAGTAGCTCTCAATCCTATAGGATGCAGAGAGAACCATGAAGCATGCTTCCCCCAGGTTCCACTGAAGGGCGCGGCAGTGTGACCTCCGAGATGCCAGCCCCCCCAGCCTGCCTCACCTGCCAATGATGTGGGCATCTCCAGTCTCCACAGTCAGCTGTGAGTTGATGGCTTCAAAGCTCGAGTTCTCCAATAGCTTCATGTCTTTGGGGAAGGAGCTCCGTGCTCCAGAGGGGCTAGTATTGCCTGGGGAGTGAGAGACCAGACCATGGGTATCTATCTGGCCCCTTGGGGCCCTGCCTTCAGCCCTCCTACCCACTAAGTGGAGCCGCTAGGAACAAGCTGAGTCTGGCCTCTGTCCAGGCTGCACATCAGGAGCTCCCCTCTCTGCCCGGCCAGGAGAGGTGACAGAGATCCTGTTTTACCTGAGGGTGGTAAGTCCAGGCTCCAGGTCAGCCATACCCCCTGCAGAACACGCGAGTTCTGGGACTAGACTAGACCACCGGGGACCCTGCTCACCCTGGGGCTGCTGGCTGAGATTGTTGCTCAACATTCCCATTCCCCATCTCCACGCCCACTCCAAAAGAGCTCCAGCCACCATGGGGGTAACTCTTGAGTCCGCAACGGGACGTGACTCCTGCAGTCTCCCTCAGGCTGGCTGGGCTCCTCAGCCAAGGTAAGAGGCTGCATCCCGGTTAGGAACCAGGACACCTGGGACTCCGGGCCCTGCGGTCACCTGGGCGGGCGCTCTTTCGTTTTGGCTACTTTCTGGCCCGGGGAGAGGAAAACTACAGGTTCCTCCACTCTACCCGGAAAAATTGCCTAGTTTCTCCAGACGCCTAGGAGGGCGGTCCCTCGGCCCCGCTGGGGCGCTGCAGTCACCAGGCAGCGCCCGCCTGGGCCACGTCGGGCACCAGCCAAGCCGCGGTGGAACTACAAATCCCAGGAGGCAGCGCGCCGCGCGAGGCCTGCTGGGGGCTGTGGTTCCGGGTACGCAGACGGCGCGGGACGCAGGGCGGACACCCACCTGCCTGGCTGGGTTAGATCAGGCCGCGCCGGGCCGGGTCTGGCTGGGCTGGGTCGCTCCGCGTCGGTGCCGGTGCGCAGGCGGGGGCGGGCTCCGCGCAGCGCGGGCTCTTCAAGATCGGAGGGCGGCGCCGCGGCCTCCGCTCGGGCCGCACTGTATCCGGGGGAAGAAGCTCCGCGGCGACGTCCCGTTACTCCCGGCCCTGCCGGCCCATCCGGGCTGCCACCGCGACATAGCCTCGCCCCCTTCCACAGAGCCCGCTCTCGCGACCGACCTGCCGCCGACCGCCACAGAGCGCTCCGGCGAGTCAGCGAGCCGAGCGAGCGAGCGAGCGACCTCCGCCTCCCCCGGCCGGACAACAACAAGCGTCCGCCGGGCCCGGCCCCGCGCCTCTGAATGGCCCGCTCCAGTCTCCGAGATCGAGAGCTCGAATAGCCATCGGGTGCCGTACCCGCCACTCAGTTCTGCCTTCTACGTCTACTGGTTATGGAGCCTGTCTGTCACTCTTCTCGTCGTACTAACCCGCTTACCCCCGGCGTTCATTGGCCGTGGCCTCTCTAGCTCCGCCCCCTAGGGGGGTCGACCCCGTAACCAGTGAGGCGCGGGCCAACCTAGTGCGACGTGTGGGCGTGGCGGGGGCTGGGGTCTGCGGGCGAAGGTGGCAGCCCATTGGAGGTCCCGGGAGCGAAGTCCAGCTGCCGTTAGGCGCTGGGATAGTCGCACGCTGGATGCATCTACGTCCGCCGAGCCCCTGGGGCGAAGAGGCCGCGTCCGCCTTCAGTTGTGGCCGGTGCTTCGCCCCCTGACCCTTCGCCCCCAAAGACCAGCTCTAACGTGAGCGCCTCGGCCGCCCTGCCCCAGCCTCGTACACGCCGCCAGCCTCGCCCAGCCGGTGTCCGGAGACCCTCGGGCCGTGTCCATTTGTGGGCAAAGCCAGCGGGGCAGGCTTGGCCAGAGTGCACCACTCGGCGCCGTCCCAGGCCCGACGCTCTGGGCGCGCCCGGAACCCCAGGTTCGCGGCCCGTGTTTCCGACCGGCGGAGGGGGCTCAGCGGCCCGATCCCACGGAAGCGCGCTCGGAGGGGTGGGACCCGGCCGGACCGGAGATGGCGCCGCCAGCGGGCGGGGCGGCGGCGGCGGCCTCGGACTTGGGCTCCGCCGCAGTGCTCTTGGCTGTGCACGCCGCGGTGAGGCCGCTGGGCGCCGGGCCAGACGCCGAGGCACAGCTGCGGAGGCTGCAGCTGAGCGCGGACCCTGAGCGGCCTGGGCGCTTCCGGCTGGAGCTGCTGGGCGCGGGACCTGGGGCGGTGAGTGGGGGCGGAGGGCGCGCGGTCAGTCCTCTTGGCCCGGGCAGGGCACGGAGCCCAAAGTTAGGCCCCTCCGCTTGCCACCTGGGTGCCCTTAAGCAGTTATGTTTCTTTGCTTCTGTTTTCTCGTCCGTGAAATGGGGGTGACGCTCGGACCTACTGGGACCTACCTGGACCTACTTTACAGGGCTATTGTGAGGATTTGATGATAGGCGTACAGGGCTTAGGACCGTGTAAATGGTCTATAAATGTTACCTTGTATTTCTTTGCTCCTCGTGCGATGTAGGGCGGGGGGACGCCCTGAGCCTGGACTCTCCCTCTTCTCAGGTTAATTTGGAGTGGCCCCTGGAGTCAGTTTCCTACACCATCCGAGGCCCCACCCAGCACGAGCTACAGCCTCCACCAGGAGGGCCTGGAACCCTCAGCCTGCACTTCCTCAACCCTCAGGAAGCTCAGCGGTGGGCAGTCCTAGTCCGAGGTGCCACCGTGGAAGGACAGAATGGTCAGTGCCCTGTAATGGATACAATTACAATTTGGAATAGCCTTGGCCCCCCAGTCCTGGTTGGGGAAGTTGGATCCACCTTCCCCACTGCTGGATGTCTGGGAAGGCTTCCAGGAGGGAGTAGGTGGAGCCTGGAGTAGCTTGGAGTACTTGGAGTGGCTGCTGGAGTCAGTCTCCTACACCATCTGAGGCCCCAGCCAGCACAAGTTGCAGCCTCCACCAGGAAGCCCTGGAACCTCAGCCTGCACTTCCTTAACCCTCAGGAAGGATGAGAGGCAAGCATGAAGAGGCAGAGCAGGCAGGGTCAGGACCTGTGTGAGAAGACATCATCCCAAGAGCAGCAGGAGAGTGACAGGAGTGGGAGAGTGACAGACTCAGATACCTCCTGCTTAAGACAGAGTTCTGCAGTGGCAAGGGTTGGTGCAGATAGGGTTGGGGAGAAGGATGTTTCTAGAGATGCTTAGAAGATGGAATTAGTGGCCGGGTGGGGTGGCTCACGCCTGTAATTCCAGCACTTTGGGAGGCCGAGGTGGGTGATCACCTGATGTCAGGAGTTTGAGACCAGCCTGGTCAGCAAGGTGAAACCCTGTCTCTACTAAAAATACAAAAATTAGCCAGGCGTGGTGGCGTGTGCCTGTAGTCCCAGCTACTTGGGGAGGCTGAGGCAGGAGAATCACTTGAACCCGGAGGCAGAGGTTGCAGTGAGCTGAGATCTTGCCACTGCACTCCAGCCTGGGTGACAGAGCAAGACTCCATCTCAAAAAAAAAAAAAAAAGAAGATGGAATTAGCTGAGTTTCATGGCTGCTTGGGAG
The DNA here is from genome assembly GCF_000001405.40 of Homo sapiens. NCBI lineage: Eukaryota > Metazoa > Chordata > Mammalia > Primates > Hominidae > Homo > Homo sapiens. The sequence continues at coordinate 144,102,237 of NC_000008.11, read as the reverse complement.
GTTTTTTGCAGACAAAGACTCCCTCTCTCACCCAGACTGGAGTGCAGTAGCGTGACCCTAACTCACTGGAGCCTTGAACTCCTGGTCTACGGTGATCCTCCTGCTTCAGCCTAAGTAGCTGTTATTGGCATGAGCCACTGCCCCTGGCTCACATGGCTGCTTAAATGGAAGAGTTAGCAGTTGAGACTGAGAAACATGAAGGACTAGGTAGTATGGGGCTCCCAGATAGAGGGCAGCCCACAAACGAGATAAGCAGAGCTGCCAGAGGGGTAGGAAGACAGCCAGACAGTGATGTAAGAGAGACTCAAGCAACTCAGGGTTTATAAAAGGAGCTAAGCTCTCTTTAGTCATTCACCAAGCATATGTATTCAGCAGCTGCCCTGTCCCAGGTACTCCTTTGGCATGAACAAAACCTCCCATCCCCATCCTATTGGAGCTTGCATTTTTAGAGGGGAGGAGGCAGACATATAAAATAAGTACAGGGCTGGGCAACATACAAAAAATTTAAAAATTAGCTGAGTGGGCCGGGCACGGTGGCTCACACCTGTAATCACAGCACTTTGGGAGGCCGATGTGGGCAGATCATGAGGTTAAGAGATCGAGACCATCCTGGCTAACACGGTGAAACCCTGACTACTAAAAAAAAAAAAAAAAAAAAAAAATTAGCTGGGTGTGGTGGTGGGGACCTATAGTCCCAGCTACTCGGGAGGCTGAGGCAGGAGAAGGGCGTGAACCCAGGAGGTGGAGCTTGCAGTGAGCCGAGATTGCACCACTGCACTCCAGCCTGGGCAACAGAGCGAGACTCCATCTCACAAAAAAAAAAAAAAAAAAAAATTAGCTGAGTGTAGTCGTGTCTGCCTGTAATCCCAGCTATTCGGGAGGTTGAGATGGGAGGATCACTTGAGCCCAGGGGTTCTAGGCTGCAGTGAGCTGTGATCGTGCCACTGCACTCCAGCCTGGGTGACAGAGCGAGATCCTGTCTCCAAAAAAAAAAACAAAAATAATAAAATTACTGTAGAGTTTTTTAAAAAAGAAAGTCTGTTAGATGGTGTGGGAATGAGAATGGTGGAGCTGGGAGGATTGCTGTTTAAAACGGTGGCAGGGGCCGGGCGCGGTGGCTCACGCCTATCATCCCAGCACTTTGGGAGGCCGAGGTGGGCAGATCACCTGAGGTCGGGAGTTCAAGACCAGTCTGACCAACATGGAGAAATCCCGTCTCTACTAAAAATACAAAATTAGCCGGGCGTGGTGGTGCATGCCTGTGATCCCAGCTACTCAGGAGGCTGAGGCAGGAGAATCGCCTGAACCCAGGAGGCGGAGGTTGCGGTGAGCCGAGATCACACCACTGCACTCCAGCCTGGGCAACGAGTGAAACTCCGTCTCAAAAAAAAAAAAAAGTGGTGGCAGGGAAGGCCTCATTGAGGTGACACTGGAGTGAAATTTGAAGGTCATGGCATGAACCATGTGACCAAGGAAGCAGCAAACAAACCCTGAGGTGAGCATGTATAAGTGATCCTTGAGGTTCAGTGGGGGCCGGGGCCGGGGCCGGGGCCAGGAACAGCGCTGGGTGCGTGGAAGGCCCTGCTTATCCTAGTAGGGAGATGGTAGAATATAGTGGGCCTGAGACCACGGGAGCTGTGTCAGCACTGGATGGGGACCCCCCCATTGCAGTGGGCTGGGCCTCACAGGGCGGGTAAGAAGGTGAGTCAGCAGGGTGCTCAGCTCTGAAGACGCCCAGGGCAGTGGCTTGTCTGGAGTGCTGGCAGCCCAGGTGTGGGTCAGGGAGCCCGGAGAGGGGAGGTCCCCAAGGGCTCCAAGAGGCCACCCTGACTGCAGGGCCACTGAGGGCCTGCTTTGGTTCTGCTGTGAGGCATCCCTGGCTGGCAGAAAGAGCCAAGAGAGGTGGCCTAGCCAGGCACAAAAGGGTTTGAAAAGGCTCTAATTCCCAAATATGAACTAAGTGCAGCTCCAGCACTAACAGAAGTCTGGCAGGGGCCTCTGAGGGTCTTGCCAGAGCCAAGGCTGGGAGAAGGTGTGGCTAGAAGTGTGGCCTGAGGCAGGGCCCTGGCATGGACTGAGGTGAGGGAGAAGGCAAAGGTCCTGGAAAACCAAGGGCCTAGAGGCCTGGACAGAGGCCACAGCACAGCACACCCATATCTTACCTCTAGGCAGCAAGAGCAACTCACCACCAGCCTTGGGCCCAGAAGCATGCCCTGTCTCCCTGCCCAGTCCCCCGGAAGCCTCCACACTCAAGGGCCCTCCACCTGAGGCAGATCTTCCTAGGAGCCCTGGAAACTTGACGGAGAGAGGTACAGGTGGGGGGAGGGGGTTGGGGGGTTCGGGGATAGCAGATAGTCCCCAGTGGTGACAGCTGTCCTTTCCTTACCCTGCAGAAGAGCTGGCAGGGAGCCTGGCCCGGGCTATTGCAGGTGGAGACGAGAAGGGGGCAGCCCAAGTGGCAGCCGTCCTGGCCCAGCATCGTGTGGCCCTGAGTGTTCAGCTTCAGGAGGCCTGCTTCCCACCTGGCCCCATCAGGTGAGGCCTGGGGCTGCTTCTTCACCTTGTCCTCGTGACCATCCCAGGTCCCCCATCCATCCCTGAACCCACATTCTGGCACAGGCTGCAGGTCACACTTGAAGACGCTGCCTCTGCCGCATCCGCCGCGTCCTCTGCACACGTTGCCCTGCAGGTCCACCCCCACTGCACTGTTGCAGCTCTCCAGGAGCAGGTGGGCACAGGGTCTGGGGAGCCCTGCCAGGGGCAGAGGAGCCTAGGTGACATCACCTGCCCTGATGCTCTGGCCACAGGTGTTCTCAGAGCTCGGTTTCCCGCCAGCCGTGCAACGCTGGGTCATCGGACGGTGCCTGTGTGTGCCTGAGCGCAGCCTTGCCTCTTACGGGGTTCGGCAGGATGGGGACCCTGCTTTCCTCTACTTGCTGTCAGCTCCTCGAGAAGCCCCAGGTCAGTCCTCGATGGGGGTGGGGTGTGGGAGGTGGGGTGCAGCCCCACAGTCCTGAGCTCCACCCCCTCAGCCACAGGACCTAGCCCTCAGCACCCCCAGAAGATGGACGGGGAACTTGGACGCTTGTTTCCCCCATCATTGGGGCTACCCCCAGGCCCCCAGCCAGCTGCCTCCAGCCTGCCCAGTCCACTCCAGGTGGGCACGGGACTGGGCAGGGAGGGCCAGGACAGCCATGGGCATTGGAAAGAGCAGGGAAGCAACAACTGTCTCTCTTCCCCCAGCCCAGCTGGTCCTGTCCTTCCTGCACCTTCATCAATGCCCCAGACCGCCCTGGCTGTGAGATGTGTAGCACCCAGAGGCCCTGCACTTGGGACCCCCTTGCTGCAGCTTCCACCTAGCAGCCACCAGAGGTACCAGAGGTGGCACAGGCAGGGGAGGTGGGGGGCAGGGCAGAATCCACAGGAATGACCCAGCTCCTCCCCCACAGGTTACAAGGGGAGAGTGGCCCTTCCCTCACAAGTCCGACATCTCCAGGCCCCCACTGAACTCCGGGGACCTCTACTGACTGCTTGCTGGGACAGTCACCAGGGTTGGGGGGAAGGGCCACAAAATGAAACCATTAAAGACCCTTAAGAGCCAGCAAGCATCCCTTTCATGGTGTCTCTGCAGACCTGCCCCATCCTAGCCAGCGATACAGGGAGACAGGCCCTCATCAGCAGGCGGGGCTCCCCAGCCAGACCCCGGTGTTACTGAAGAATGGGCCCGGACCCTGAGCCTCAGTGGTCAGGAAAGCATGGCATGGGGATCTCTTCCCAGACCCCAGAGGCCTACAGAGCCCCCCACCCAGCTGCTCACCACTGGGCTGAGGCTGCTGGGGTGTGCCACATACTGAGCTGCAGCCCCCACCACTGACCTTGTCTCCTACTGTCCACCCTGGTCCCCCAGGCCTGCACCTCTCTTGCCTGCAGGCCTATTGGTACCACCTTTCTCCCATTCAGCTCTTGCCTTCCTTGGACTATGGCCACCACTCCCCTCAGCTCTTGCAGCTAGGACACCAGCAATGAAAATGGGTGTTTTCCTTCCCTTCCTAGGGACGAGGGAAGCTCAGGAGCTGAGTCCTGCACCAGGTCACTGGGCCGGTGCTGGGTCATGTCTCTGTGACCCTCCTAGATAGCATCCACTGTCTCCCTCCCTCAGCAGCATGCTCCTGTGGGAACCCAGCTACTGCCAGCTTCTGGCCAGGACCCACCACCTAGCTACCCTGTGGACTGCTAGGAGGGGCCACTCCATGACACACATCCTGTCTGTCTACTTGACTCCTTCACCTGGCTGGGAGCCATCCCCTTCCTCAGCCCAGCCCAGCAATAAATAGCCCCTGCCCTAGACCAGGCCTTTCCCCTGTTAAAATGCAGCCAAGGTTCCCTGCTGCCATCAGAATGGGGGCCAAGTGGTTCAACACCTTAACACTTGGCTGTTCATTCCAACAGGTCCCTGGGCCACATCCTGCCTGGCTAGGCCCTTTTCAGCTCTGTGCTCAGACACACCCCACCCCACCAAATGCTGACTTCCTCTAACATGCAGTTCTCCGCTTTCTGTCCCACACCCACTGTCTGGACTCCCAGCTACCAGTCAGTGCAGGGCATTGCTGGCCACACTGCATGGGACATCCTGGGAGCCTTGTGAAGGCAAGGGTCTTGGTATCAGAGTTCCTTGCAAACGTGCACTCTTTCCATATAATAACTCAAATATGTACATTGAGAAAATTAATTTATTCCCATGATGGGGGCTGAAGGAGGGCCCAGAGCTAGAGCCTGGTCTCCTGCCCCCTTGCCTCTTCTTCCAGATGAAGAGAGGCTTAGCTGAGGCCTGAACAGGCCTGGGATGGCTCTTGGGCTTGAGGGCCTGTTCTGGCAGGATGGCAAGCAGACACTGGACAGGGTCACTTGGGCGGCCGATATGCCAGCTTCCGACTCTTCAGGACTGACCACTTGTGCCGCTTTATGGTGTAGACCAGGGGCACCAGCAGAGCCATCATCATCAACATCTGCAGACAAGGAAGGCTCAGAGAAGGGAGTGGGGAGGAGCCCTGCCCAGCTCCCAGCCCTTCTCTGATACCCACCATGGCCTCCCAACCCTTTTACCTTGAGCCCCATGCGTTTTCGATGGTCGTGCTCTGGCTCAGATGCCCAGCGCAGGAAGGTGCACACATCCTTGGCTATCTGGGACATGGTAGCTGGGGTGCCTGGCCAACGACAAGCAGTGAGGGCTATTCTCAGGCTCATGTCCAACCTGGGATCATGCCCCCCCTCTGTGAAGCAGACACTGCCCCTACCCAAGGCATCAAAGGGGCAGTACCCTCCACCGGACATACGCAAAACTGAAGGAGCCCAAAAGCCTCCTGAGACATGCACAGAAGACGCCCCAGACAAGAAGTGGGCAGGACCTCCTGGACCCAGGAACACAGGGAAAGCATCCCTGGGGGTAGTGGAGAAGTATTCCACATGCCCACTGCCAGACTGGAGGCCTCTTACCATCGTCAAACTCTAAGACATCTGTGTAGATGGGAGGGGCCATGGCAATGGCCTGGCCAGGAAAGTAGGGGTTGAAGTAGAGACCTTCCCGCAGTGACACCCCGGTGGGTGGCTCGCAGTAGCCCGTGAGCAGGGAGAAGACGTAGTCCTCACCACCATGCCTAGGACCAGATCCATGGCTCCTTAGTTCCAAGCACAAGTCAGCCCTTCCCCCATCTCTCCAGCACCACCCCATGGGCAGCCCGTGTACCTAGCTCGCACGATGTAGCTGAGGTCAGGGGGCAATGCTCCGTTGTTGGCAGCTCGAGCAGCCTCACTGTTGGGGTATGGTTTTGGGAAATAGTCGAACAGCTTCCCTGGCCGCATGAACATCTCCCCATCTTCATTGGGGCCGTCTTGAACCTCCACCTGCCACCGAGAGCCTCATCACAACCCTGCCATCTCAACAGTGGGAGCCCTGAGCCCTGGGTCCCAGGCATCCCCAGACCCCACACCTCCGCAGCCAGCTCCTTAGCTTCATCCTCCGTGTAGCACACGCCCACCAGGTGGCGGTAGGCCACGAAGTCCATGCTGTGGCAGGAGGCGCACACCTGCTTATATACCTGGAAACCCCTCCGGATGCTGGAGGGAGGGAAAGGGTTAGGAAAGCTGAAGATTCCACCTTACCAGCTCCACCCAGAACCTCCCGCTGCCAGCCAGCCAGCCAGCTGCACACCTGGTGTGGTCCAAGGAAGAGAGGAGGCCACGGTGAGACCACGGATAGCTGGGGGGGTGCAGCTCCAGGTCACTGGCACTCACAGCCGAATGCAGAGCCATGGCCAGCCCCGCACCCCCTGCCGCCAGCATGCCCAGCGCTGACAGCATCACTTTCCGGCCTCGGGAAAGGCCAGACTTCGACGACAAGGCCACTGCCTGCAAGATCTCCGCTCAGCGCCTGCCAGGACACCACCCAGCCCTACCTGGGGATCTGACTCTCAGCGCCCACCTCTCCACCCAGCAATGGCCTCCTCCTGCAGGGCACCAGACGCACACCCTGTCCCACTACCCACCCCATCCCTCTCCGCCGCTGACCCCTAGACCGTGATTCGCTCTCAGGAGAGGGTGTTCCTGGATCCTGAGCCGGGGATCAGACCGAAGTGACCAAGGGTGCTGGGACAGGCCAAGGTCACAAGCAGCTGGCCGAGATCAGGCTGGGGTCACTTCAGGACGCGGGCCCAGTTTGGACAGCCAGCCGCAAGAGCCGTCCTGGGCGCGCCATTCGGGAAAGCCCCAGCCCCGCCACGGCAGCTAGCCCGTCCCGCCAACCCCCACGCTGGGGACGGGCTCTCTGCCGTTCGGAGAGGTGGGCGCCCAGCCCTGATCCCACACGCTCAAGGTCGGCAGGCAGCTGGGACCGGGGACGCTGGGTGGCCGGTACCGCTTCCGCGCTGCCCAGGCCCGCGCCCGCAGCCTCCCCGCCGTGACCTTCACGGAGATGCGGGGCCGCGCGGAGGCCGGGGCCCGGCCCAGCGCTCACCTGAGGTGTCCGTAGCGGGAGCTGCCCGGGACGCGCGCTGCACAGCAGACCCCGGGCACGCGCGCCCGGGAGCCCCGCGCCCCGCGGGCCCAACACTACCCCGCGAAGCGAAGCCGCAGCTGCCGCCATCTTGGCCTCCTCCGCGCGGCCGCCACTCCCGTCGGCCCCTGGGGCGCCACGAGAGTCAAAACCTCGCGAAAGCCGGGGAGCGCGGGGCGGGGCCGGGCTCGGGGGCGGGGCCTGTCGGGTGGGCGGGGACGAAGCGCGCTGGTCCCGGTCGCGTCAGTCAGGGGCCGGGGCACCGCCTGCCTCCCCACGCTCTTCGGGTTGTCGTGGAAACTGGCGGTGGGGCGGGGCCCCGTCGCGTCTCTCTGTTGCCGTGACAGCGCCACGCTCCGCCCGGCGTTTCCCACGCCGCCTCCGAGACCCCGACGCTCCTTTTCTCCACCTTCCCAGGCTGCGCGATGGCCGGGTGGAGGGTGCCCCTGCAGGCTGAGGACCTCCAGAGAAAGGGCGGCTTGGAGGGCAGCCCGGCAGAGGGCGCGGGCAGGGGTCTCGGCCGCAGGCAGCGCGTGACAGCGGGAGGCTGGGCCCCCAGGCTGAGCACCCTGTTCTCCTTCATTCCCTTGACTCATGGCCCGACGCGTGATGCGCGCCTTGGGTCCTAGCGCTTTGGGAAGCTGAGGCGGGAGGATCGCTTGAGCCCCGGAGGTGGAGACTGCGGTGAGCCGAGATCGCCACTGCACTCCAGCCTGGGCGATATCGAGCGAGACCTCGTCTCAAAAAAGTAAGTAAATATGATCTTGTTATGTGAGAATATTTTTATTGTAAAATATTTAAAAAGTAAGCAAAGGCCGGGCGCGGTGGCTCACGCTGTAATCCCAGCACTTTGGGAGGGTGGGGCGGGCAGATCACGAGGTCAAAAGATGGAGACCATCCTGGTCAGCATGGTGAAACCTTGTCTCTACTGAAAATACAAAAATTAGCCAGGCGTGGTGGCGCGCGCCTGTAGTCCCAGCTACTCTGGGAGGCTGAGGCAGGAGAATCGCTTGAACCCGGGAGGCGGAGGTTGCAGTGAGTAGAGATCGTGCCACTGCACTCCAGCCTGGATGACAGACGGAAGACTCCCTCTCAAGAAAAAAAAAAAAGCAAATAAAATTTAAAAACTAGGCTGGGTGCGGTGGCTCACGCCTGTAATCCCAGCACTTTGGGAGGCCCCAGATCACTTGAGGTCGTGAGTTTGAGACCAGCCTGACCAACATGGAGAAACCCTGTGTTATATGTAAAATGTTTATTTAGAAACAGAACGCTTGTTCCCTGGTACCATAAGGAAAGATCAGCATTCCGACAAAAAGTTCTCTCAGCAAGTCAATTTTACTTTCTGCAGAGAGGGTGCTCCTCACAGATGGAAAAATGGTGAGAGCACACCTGAATAAAGGAGAGAAGCTATTTTTATCCCTTACACAGCTTGTCCCTGCTACTGTGTCCTGTCTCCATTGGCTAGAGCCAGATGGCACAATCTAAACTAAAAGTCGACTGGCTAATAATTTAAAACTTTTCTAAATAGATAAAGGCAAGGGAGAACAGAGGAAAAGAGGAAGTTGCTTATGCCAAATAGGGAAGGGGCACAGGCTGTGAGCTGGAACGTGCCTGTGAGCACGTCCAGCACAAATATTTTGGTTAAGGTACAAGGACATAGAATGTACTACCTGCCTGTGAGCATGTTTAACAGCTACATAAGATAGAGCTTAAAGAATTATTAGCAAAACCAAACACCACATGTTCTCACTCATAGGTGGGAATTGAACAATGAGAACACTTGGACACGGGAAGGGGAACATCACACACCGGGGCCTGTTGTGGGGTGGGGGAGAGGGGAGGGATAGCATTAGGAGATATACCTAATGTAAATGACGAGTTAATGGGTGCAGCACACCATGGCACATGTATACATCTGTAACAAACCTGCACATTATGCACATGTACCCTAGAACTTAAAGTATAATAAAAAAAGAAAAGAAAAGAATTATTAGCACAAAACAAGGAGGCTTGAAGGAAGTTAGTCTGTAAAAGAAACTATTATTTCTAACACTTACGATTTATTCTTTAACAAGAAGGGAAACTTTGAAGAGGAAACTTTTTACTTTCTACACACCATCTCTACTAAAAATACAAAATTAGCCAGGTGTGGTGGCGCATGCTTGTAATCCCAGCTACTCCAGAGGCTGAGGCAGGAGAAGCGCTTGAACCCAGGAGGCGGAGTTTGCAGTGAGCAGAGATCACGCCACTGCACTCCAGCCTGGCAACAAGAACGAAACTCTATCTCAAGAAAAAATAAAATAAAAAATAAAATAAAAATCCAAAATTAGTTGTCAGTGAAAATGGAGAAAGACCCCTAAAAAATGTGCCCACCCCTCACCCAATAAGAGCAAGAAAAACATAGCAAAAATGATCAGAATCAACTTTTACAAAGCTATGGAAATTAATCAAAGGCTGTCGTCATCCCAGGGGGTGTTATTCAATTAAACAGGTGACTATCAGTAAGAACAGTGGCCTTTGTGGGTTGTAGCTTTCCCTGGTTCAACCCTGCCCTCCAGCTCAGTGGTAATCTTGGAAATAAGAACCTACATTCCTAGTTACTGTGGGAGCAAAATGCCCTCATTCGCACAGAACCTCCGTTATTGAACGTGTCTGATGGCTGCCTAGAAGACTCCTACCACATTGGCTCAGGGCTTGCCCAGTGCCAGCTGCCTGAGGTGATGGATAACAGTTGCCACAAACAATAGACTAAACAAAAAGCTAAAAAGGAAGAGCAAGGGAATGAGATGTCCACAGGCGCTTTGAAAAGCCCAAAACATTTTTGGGAATACAGGTCATATACACACGGAGGACTATGGATATATACTCAGGAGAGACCTGAAAAAGCCCTAAACTCTCACCTCTGGCTGACCTTGAGGCTCTACACAAAGGGAAGTCTGAGGAAGAGAAATTTAAAAAAAGAAAGAAATATGAACTGGGCCTCAGAGACCTGTGGGACACTATTAAGCATACCAACATATGCATAATTTCAGTCCCAGGAGTAGACTAGACAGAGAAAGGAGTAAGAATACTTAAAAAAAAAAAATGGCCAAGGCTGGGCATAGTAGCTCACACCTGTAATCCCAGCACTTTGGGAGGCCGAGGCAGGCAGATCACCTGAGGTTGAGAGTTCAAAACCAGTCTGACCAACATGAAGAAACCTCGACTCTACTAAAAATACAAAATTAGCCAGGTGTCATGGCGCATGCCTGTAATCCCAGCACTTTGGGAGGCCGAAGTGGGCAGATCACCTGAGGTCGAGAGTTCGAAACCAGCCTGACCAACATGGAGAAACCCTGTCTCTACTAAAAATACAAAATTAGCCAGGCATGGTGGTGCATACCTGTAATCCCAGATACTTGGGAGGCTGAGGCAGGAGAATTGCTTGAACCTGGAGGTGGAGGTTGCAGCGAGCCAAGATTGCACCATTGCACTCCAGCCTGGGCAACAAGAGTGAAACTCTGTCTCAAAAAAAAAAAAAAAAAGGCCAAAAACATGCCATGTTTCATGAAAAACATGAATCTGCACATCTAGTTTTTTTGTTAAACAAACACTAAGTAGAATAAACTAAAGGAGACACATAACAAATTGTTGAAAGACAAAGAATCTTGAAAGCAGCAAGAGAGAAGTGACTCATCACATAAAAATAATTCTTGGCCGGGCGCGGTGGCTCACTCCTGTAATCTTAGCACTTCGGGAGCCTGAGCCAGGCAGATCACCTGAGGTCAGGAGTTCGAGACCAGACTGGCCAATATGGCAAAACCGTGTCTCTACTAAAAATACAAAAAAAATTAGCCGGGCCTGGTGGCATGCACCTGTAATCCCAGCTACTCCGGAGGCTGAGGGAGGAGACTCGCTTGAACCCGGGAGGTGGAGGTTGCAGTAAGCCAAGATTGGACCATTGCACTCCAGCCTGGACAACAAGAGCAAAACTCCTTCTCAGAAAAAAAAAAAAAAGTAATAATAAATACAAAGAGAAAGAAAGAAAAAAGAATTCTCAACAAAATTAACAAAAGATTTCTCCTCTCAAACCATGGAGGCTTGCTGGGTGAAGTGGCTAACGCCAGTAATCCCAGCACATCAGGAGGCCAGGGCAGGCGGATCACCTGAGGTCAGGAGTTCGAGAACAGTCTGGCTAACATGGTGAAACAGCTGGAAGACTTATATCACCCAATTTCAAAACTTGATTACTGTAGGTTTATAGTAGGTTTTAGTACTGATAAAAGGATAGGCATATAGATCAATGGAATAGAATTGAGAGTCCACAAATAAAGTCTATGACTATACATCTATGGTCATTTGATTTTTTTTTACAAGGGTACTGAGACCAATGGAGAAAGAAGACTCTCTCCAGCAAATGGTTCTGTGACAATTGGATATTCAAATGCAAACAGGGCTGGGCATGCTGGCTGATGCCTGTGATCCCAGCACTTTGGGAAGCCAAGGCAGGTAGATTGCTTGTGCCCAGGAGACCAGCCTGGGCAATATGGCGAAACCCTGTCTTAAAAAAGCCAAGAGTGATGCACGTCTGTGGTCCCAGCTACTCAGGCGGGTGAGGTGGGAGCATCACCTGAGCCTGGGGAGGTCAAAGCTGCAATGAGCTGTGATCATGCCACTGCGATCCAGCCTAGGCAACAGAGTTGAGACCCTATCTCAAAACAAACAAAACAGCCAGGCACGGTGGCTCATGCCTGTAATCCCAGCACTTTGGGAGGTCGAGGTGGGGGGATCACCTGAGGTCCGGAGTTCGAGACCAGACTGACCAACATGGAGAAAGCCCATCTCTACTAAAAATACAATATTAGGGGGCGTGGTGGTGCATGCCTGTAATCCCAGCTATTTGGGAGGCTGAGGCAGGAGAATCGCTTGAACCTGGGAGGCGGAGGTTGCAGTGAGCCATGATTGAGCCATTGCACTACAGCCTGGGCAAGAGCAAAACTCCGTCTCAAAAAAAAAAAAAAAAAACCAAAAAACAAAAACAAAAAGCCAACGATTTGCAAAACAAATGTCAATGAATGAATGAAGTTGGCTCCTTTACCTCACATCATTTATACACCATTTACGAGAACTGAAAAATAATCAAAGATCTAAGTTTAAGACCTAAAGCCAGAAAATTCTCAGAATAAAACAGGCAGGCCAGGAGCGGTGGCTCACGCCTGTAATCCCAGCACTTTGGGAGGCTGAGGTGGGTGGCTCACTAGGTCAGGAGTTCAAGACTAGCCTGGCCAACATGTGAAACCCCATCTCTACTAAAAATACAAAAATTAGCTGGGCGTGGTGTCGCGCACCTGTAATCCCAGCTACTCAGGAGGCTGAAGCAGGAGAATCACTTGAACCCAGCAGGTGGAGGTTGCAGTGAGCCGAGATCGTGCCACTGCACTCCAGCCTGGGTAACAAGAGTAAAACTCTGTCTCAAAAAAAAAAAAAAAAGAAGTATATATATATGTATATATATATATATATGTATATACATATATATATGTATATATATATATATATATATGTATATATATATATATGTATATATATATATATGTATATATATATATATATATGTATATACATATATATATATATATGTATATGTATATATATACCAATTGCCAATAATAACATGAAAAGATGCTTTAGTTTCATTAATCATTAGGTAAATGCAAATCAAAATGAAAATGCAATGCCACTTCACACCCACTAGGATGGCTGTAATCTACAAGATGGATACTAGCAGGTCTGGGTGTGGTGGCTCACACCTGTAATCCCAGCACTTTGGGAAGCTGAGGCAGGTGGATCACCTGAGGTCGGGAGTTTGAGACCAGCCTGACCAACATGGAGAAACCCCATCTCTACTAAAAATACAAAATTAGCCAGGAGTGGTGGTGTATGCCTGGACTCCCAGCTACTCGAGAGACTGAGGCAGGAGAATCACTTGAACCTGCGAGGCGGAGGTTGCAGTGAGCCGAGATCGTGCCATTGCAGTCCAGCCTGGGTGACAAGAGTGAAACTCCAACTCAAAAAAAAAAAAAAAAAGATGGACACTAGCAAGTGTTGGTAAGAACGTGGACATTGGAAGAAGCCAAAATATTTGTAAAAATATAAAATAATTAGTGGGGCGTGGTGACGCATGCCTGTATCCCAGCTACTCGGGAGGTTGTAGAAAGTAAAAAGTTTCCTCTTCAAAGTTTCCCTTCTTGTTAAAAAATAAATTATAAGTGTTTCTTTTAAAGACTAACTTCCTTCAAGCCTCCTTGCTTCGTGCTAATAACTCTTTGTTAAGCCCTATCCTATGGAGCTGTTAGATATAAAGGAATAAGGACATTCTATGTCCTTGTACTTTAACCAAAATATTTGTGCTGGACGTGCTTACAGGCATGTCCCAGCTTGCAGCCTATGCCCCTTCCTTATTTGGGAATATTATTACTTTTCTAAGTCCTTTAGTAAGCAACTTCCTCTTTTCTTCTGTTCTCCATTGCTTTTACCTATTTAAAAAAGGGTTTAAGCTGTTAGCCCATCGGGTTCAGGTCTGGTTCCAGCCAATGCAGACAGGACACAGTAGCAGGGACAAGCTGCATTAAGAGATAAAAATGCTTCCCTCCTTTATTCAGGTATGCTCTCGCCATCATTCCATCTGCAAGGAGCACCCTTTCTGCAGAAAGTAAAATTGACTTGCTGAGAACTTTTTGTCTGAATGCTGATCTTTCCTTATGGTACCAGGGAACATTCTGCTTCTAAATAAACATTTTACATATAACAGAGGCTGAGCCCAGAGAATCACTTGAACTCGGGAGATGGAGGCTGCAGTGAGCCAAGATCTCGCCATAGCACCCAGCCTGGGCGACAGTGAGACTCTGTCCAAAAAAAAAAAAAAAAAAAAATATTCAGGGAGGGGGAAACGTGGAGCCTCAGCCCATGTCATTACTGAAAATCAGAACAGAAATCCTACCTCCCTAACAAAGCAACCTTGCCATTCCCATGGTTCCCTTTTAACACTTGTATAGGCAGGGAGAATTCTGCACAAACTACTCAGAACACAAGCAAGGTATCCTTTAGCTTTTCCCCCGACGTATGTATTTTCATGATTTGTGCTTTAAGTGACTGCCAAAGTCCTGTTAAAAAACAATTGAGGCTGCCATGTGTGGTGGCTCTCATGCCTGTAATCCCAGTACTTTGGGAGACGTAGGTGGGTAGATCATCTGAGGTCAGGAGTTTGAGACCAGCCTGGACAACATAGTAAAACCCCGTCTCTACTAAAAATACACAATTAGCCAGGCATGGTGGTGCGCACCTGTAATCCCACTACTTGGGAGGCTGAGGCAGGAGAACTGCTTGAACCAGGGAGGTGGAGGTTGCAGTGAGCCAAGATTGCATCACTGCACTCCAGCCTGGGCTACAGTGTAAGACTCCATCTCAAAAACAAAACAGTTGAGGTCAAAGCCCAGCTAAAATGCCTGGAGGATGATTTTGTATCAGATGTCATCTTACAAAGAGAACAGGAGACCACAACAGAGATTTCTTCTTGGAAAATAGGAGACTGACAGATGAGTCTCCCTTGCTGATTTAGCATGGGAGGCACGTGATGCCCACCTAGGAGGTGTTCCTAGGGGTACTGAGAGGCAGGGGAAACCAGCCAGGCTAGGGTGGGGACTGCAGGCGTCCACCCAACCTCAGAGGAAGTATTCACTGGAGAAAGTGACTAGAGACTCCAACCTCTGGGACAAGGGGGCTGAAGACAGGCAAGTTAATTATGAGGCTACCAGTCACAGTGGGGTTCCTGATACCCCCTCATCCCCACTAAGCCTCGAATAATGCTGGACACAGAGAACGTAAGCCCACCCAGCAGACATGTGTTTCCTCTGCAGAAACTCTGGAAGTCGCCTAGGTGCTCACCCTGGGAGCCCTCCACCCATCCCCCAACTGTGGAGCCCCATCAATAGACTAACCCCCAACACCAGGGGTCTCATGTCAAGGGGAGCCTCCCGCAGGAAGACATAACCCAGTGAAGAGGCAGTGGCCTACAGAGTAGGGCACAGGGAGGGCACCCTCCTTGGAACCTCCCAGACAACAGGCCATTTGGGGACACTGTACTGAAAGGACCCTGGCCCTCAGTTGATTCTAAGATGCTGTGGCTTCTCCAGGCAGCACGGCTCTGATTCCTGAGGCCTGTGCATGGTTTTGTGTGGCTGCGGCACCTTTGCCTTCCTGTGACCAGAGGGCTCTCTAGCCGCAGCACCAAGGTCCCTGACATGGCCCTGGCATCACCTAAAGGCCACAGGTTTTTCCTTTCTTTTGGAACAGACAGTGGTCTTCCCAGTTCCTTTCAGAGTCCTAGTATAACAGCCTGCTTCTCTCCTTGCTGGCCTGTCAGTGCCCTCTCCCGTGGGGCTCTTGTCCCCGTGCCCCGCCTGCCCCTGGGTCCTGGCTCCACTGTGTTGCCTGCCCAGCCCCTCGTGGGCATCTCACCTGGGCTGACTCAACTCTGAGGAAGCCAGGCCGGGTGCTCCTCCCTGCTCCATCCCAATCCCACACCAAGGCGATGGCCTTGCCTGGGCCCCATGCCATGCACCCTGGGCCTCCTCTGCAGGGCTCCAGCTCCAGCCTCAGTCCTAGCAGTAAAGATGGTGTTAGGTGGTTTCTGGGTGCCTCAGCTCCTGGCAGGCCCTCAAACCATGGCTATGGTGTATTCTCCTTCCCAGCACCGCTCCTGGCACAGTACCACAGAGCAATGCACACAGCCCTCTGAGCCTGCATGGCACCCGCCAGGGCTGAGAGTGCACCTGATGCAGCAGCAGAGCCCTGGTCGGCAGGAATGCTACCCAGTAAGTGGACTACAGCAGCCCTTGCCAGGGAGGAGGTGTGAGGAATGCCAAGCCCTGCAGACAGAGGCTTCTCACCCCCATGCCCTGGGGCCCTACACGGACAGCGGGCCAGGAGCTCAAATAGCTGCTGAAACAGACACTCATTTATTTCCCCAGAAGGAGGCAGAATGGGGTCCTTGGGGAGTCTCTGTCCCAGCCCGGACAGGCAGATCTCACTTCCAGAAGAGCACATTCCAGAAAAGCAGCCAGCAGGGGTAGAGGCCCAGGGACAGCAGTGGGAAGAGCAGGGCGCCGTAGGTGTGGTGCTCCAGCACACCCTGGGCTAGCGCTGCCAGGAAGAGCTGCCAGCCCTCGGCCAGTGACAGTGGCGCCTCCTGCAGCTCCCGCCACAGGAACAGGCTGCCAAGGAGCGTGGCTGCCGGGCTGGTCAGCACCAGCAGGGCAGCATAGAGGGTCCTGGGTGGAGAAGCAACATCAAGGTAGGCTCCATGGTGGGGGCATGGGCACCAGGTTGGGGGAAAGGGCTACTGAATGAGGGTGCGGTCTGTGATGAGGGCACAGGCATTGGGGGAAGTGGGGCTGATCCATACATACCGGGGCCCATGAGGCTTGGCAAGCGCAGCAGTGGGCACCATGGTGGTGGCCAGCAGGAAGCCCAGTGAGAAGTTGGTGAGGGCGATGCAGCCCAGCTGCAGTGCTAGGTAGATCAGGGCTACCAGCTTCAGTGCCATCCAGCCCCTGTCTGGGGCCTGTGTGCTTACCACCCTGTAAGACAAAGGACTCAGAGGCAACCCACAAGCTGTCTGCATGTCCAGGGGACCTCTACCCCTGCCCCCAACAACCAGCCCAGCCTCTTACCGGTGGGTATTGTGGGGCAGGGCCAGGCCAGCTGCATAAATCGCCAGCAGTGTCAGCACCACAGCCTCAGCCTCTGCCACTGGGAAGTGCTGGGTGGCAACGTGTTGGCCCAGCACTGGCAGGACATAGAGGGCCAGTCCCATGGCCTGTGAGATCAGCAGAGGTGCCACGAGCGAGGCCAGCCCCACACCCTGCAGGGCACACAGGCTCTTGGAGATGGACCCTGGGGCCAGGGGATCCCCAAAGACCACCACCATCCCACCAGCTGAGGCTAAGTTGCAACACTAAACACCAGTCAGACCCCAGAAGCCCATTCCAACAACAGAAGGGGGTGCCATCACCTGTGATGGGGGAAGGGGTACACTGGGGCCAGGGGCACCCCCGGGCTCCTCAAGGCCCATTCCAGCCTCATGCAGCTGCATCCACAGTTCCAGAGCGTAGCCCAATCAAGGACCCCAACAAGAGGTGTAACGGGATCTGCCCAGAGGGGGACCCAGGGCTCACCCCCGTACCCCACCCCCCATCAGGATGGAAGACTCTCCCCAGCCTAGAGTTGAGGAGACTGGAGGCTGGTCACAGGTAGATGGCAAGGGGCAGAGGATATCTTGAGACCAAGGACCAGGAGCAAGAAGCCGACAGCGGGCATGTAGAGGCCGATGGAGACGAAGCGGGAGAGGCCGGGGAGCAAGTAGAGGAAGAAGGACTGGTGCAGGCGCTCCAGGAGGTGGTTGAGCTTGCGGAACATGCCCTCCAAAGCCCTGTCAGGTGTGGGGCAGGTTCACGGCTGGCCAGAGCCACCAGGCCATCCCCCACTCCGCTCCAGCTAGACCCCATCCTGGGCATGGAAAGGGGGGACCAGAGACTACTTACTTGCCCACTGCCACCAGGTCATACTTGTACTGGCGGAAGCTATTGATGCCACGCAGGGTTAGGGCCTCCACACGGTAGCGCAGGAAGAGGCCATGGGAGCCGTGGGGGCGGCCGGAGGCCTGCCGCAGAACCATGAGCAGCAGTGTCTGCAGGCCCTGCAGCGGTCCATCCAATGATGTCCAGTCCTCGGGCTGCAGCTTTAGAGGTGCAGGACAGGATGAGACAGCCCCTCCCACAGACCCTGTGCCCTTCAGCCCTCAGGCAGGCAGGCAGCCCCACCTTGCCCTGAAGCGTGCACAACAGGCCCCCTTTCTGGCAGAAGGTCTGGAAGAGATTGAGCAGGTCAAGGTTGGGCAGCTGCCCGTTAAGCCCCTCCACGGCCACATCGAGGCTGGTGACCACATCACTGCTCAGCTCCAGGGCCACGGCTGCCTGAATGGCCCCAGCTCGGCCCTGCAGGGGAGACGACTGCATGCCTGTAGGAGCAAGTGAATGAGTGCTAATGGAGGACGTGGTGAGGACAGTGACCCTGAGAGGGGGACCAGGGCAGGCAGGACAAGAGAACCTACCAGTGACATTGACATCGTGGTAGGCTTCAAGCCAAGCCTCAGTGCCCAGAAGGTCATGTTCTGTTACCAGGAAGACGATATCTTTGGCCCAATAAATCTGCCCTGGAGGCCAGAAGCAGGATCAGCAGGGTCTGGGGCACTGACCAAACCCCTCCACGGCCAGCAGCCCTGAGACTCACCCCGGAAGTGGGCAGCCAGTGCCAGCAGCAGCCCCACAGCCTGGCTGTTGGTAGAGTCAGAGCCACAGGGCACGGTGAGCACAAGCGACTCGGTGCTGGCAGCACGCGGGGCCCGCAGGATGCCGTACACGTTGGTGCCCGACACCATCTGTATGCAGCATCGGTGGGGGGAGCCTCAGTGTAACTTTGTGGTAGGGGGCTGAAGGGCCCCCCACAACTTTCCTAGCCCTCCAGTGCCCACCAGGGATTTCCCTCCCACTGAGCTTCCTGGCCCCATGACACCCCCGCAAGGTGATACCCAGCCCAGACCCCTCCCTCCAAGGTGCTTTCTGGGCCCAGGCACACCCCACTCCCCCAGTACATAGCGCTCGTGGGTCTCATCTGGGAAGGGCAGTTTCCGGGAGAAACTCTGCGTGTAGACCTCCAGCCCTACTGACCGCATCGTCCGTTCAAGCCAGGCCACTGGCAGAGCCCTGCAGACACGAAGGGAGCCTCTGAGCAGAGCTCCCCGGCCTTAGCCACCACTGCTCGCCCCATACGCCCTGCTCTGCCGCTCACCCCGACTTCTTGCGGTGGGCGGCGAAGTCCCGGGCAAAAGCCCGGGCACGGTCTCCGCCCGCAAACTGCTCCTCCACCATGGTGGAGCCCATGGCGTTCTCCGACATGTAAGTGCGCTGGGTCAGCGGCGGGAAAACCAGCGCCAAGAACCAGGCGATGCCCGCCACGTAGCTCAGCACGCTGTGAGAGAGGACGGAGGGGCACCGGAGCGTCAGCGGGTCCTCAGACGCCGACCCGAGGCCACAACCTCCGCACCCGGGGTCGATCGCGCGGGTCTGGGAGACCTAAACCCGGAGTCCTGCATCGGGACGCCGGACCCGAGCCCTAAGCCTGGGCCTGATACCCTCAGTGCTTCCAGAGGGCAGGAGCGGAAGGGCGCGAGCAGCCGGAGGGGCGCGAGCAGCTGGAGCGGCCCCGGCCCTCGATGGGGACCGCGCATGGGGCCGCCGGCGCGAGCCCAGGGCCCTCGGGTCCCCGCCTCCCCGGGCCCTGTCCTCACCACAACGGCGCGTTGAGGCGCAGCACTAGGCGGGCGAGCGCGCGCCGGCGAACCGGGTCCGACAGGAGGCCCATGGCGGGGCAGGGCGGCGCGGCTACGGACCCTCTCCCGCCTCCAACTACCGCCGCGGTGCCCACAGGCTGCTCCTGTCAGACCCGGGGACCCGCGCTCGCCCGCACTTCCGGTCCCAGAGACGCTCGCGACGGCGCGCATGTCCAGAGCAGAGGGCGCGCCCCTAACACTGTGTGCTGCCGGCGCGCAAGCGCAGAGCCGCGGCCGGCTGGAGGGTGGGCGGTGCCGGTGAGGCCGGCAGGACCTGAGCGGGTTTGGGAGTCCGCTAGGCGCTGCCCCCACTAGAGTCGGACTCGCAGTGCACCCCCCGGGAGGGAGGCAGGTAGCCCTACAGCCGGAGGACAGCAGAGATGCCCGACAGCAGGCCGAGCTGGTCGGGGGCTGCGAGATAGCGCCGGCTGGAAGGCCCGCAGGAGTCAGAGGTGATGAGCCGGGCAGGTGGGTGGAAAGCCGGCGGCGGTCAGAGAATGGATGCCAAGCGAGACTGCCAATGACTCAGGACGTCCCAGTGGAGTCACAGCGTGAGCCCAGCACCGAGGTTTTCAGAGTCAGATGACTGCAGAGAAGATGCTGATGGCACTACTGGCCAAAACGGGCTTCACTGGAGCTGGGGTGTGTGCATTATAAAGTGGGGGATCATACTGTCACTGTCCGGGCCAGGAGATCCGTGGAATATTAGGGGAGAAGCAGTCCCAGGGTCCAGACTGCAGGGACTGGTAGTCGGGGCTCGGTGGGCCAGAGGTGAATGAAGGGGGAGTTTGCTCAAGAGGGTGCACTTTGGGAAGGTGAGGTGGGTGGATCCTTTGAGATCAGCCTGGACAACGAAATGAGACCCAGTCTGTACACACAAAAAAATTCCTTTTAAATTAGCCAGGTGAGTGGGGCATGCCTGTAGTCTCAGCTCAGGAGGCTAAAGTGGGAGGATCACTTGAGCCTGGGAGATCCAGACTGCAGTGAGCCGTGATCACACCACTGCACTCCAGCCTGAGCACAGAGCAAGACCATGTCTCAACAAACAAAATAGTGGTGGGCAGAGAGAAGGGTCAAAGCTGAAGACTCCATGTGAGAACAAGTTTTTTTTTGTTTTTTTTTTGAGACAGAGTCTTGCTCTGTCACCCAGGCTGGAGTGCAGTGGTGTAATCTTGGCTCACTGCAACCTTCAACTCCTGGTTCAAGTGATTCTCCTGCCCCAGCCTCCCTAGTAGCTGGGATTACAGGTGCCTGCCACCACACTAATTTTTGTGTCTTTAATAGAGATGGGGTTTTACCACATTGGCCAGGCTGGTCTCGAACTCCTGACCTCAAGTGATCCATGAGAACAGGTAATTTTTGTACTTTTATTTTTTTTTAGATGGAGTCTTGCTCTGTCGCCCAGGCTGGAGTGCAGTGGCACAATCTCGGCTCACTGCAACCTCCGCCTCCCAGGTTCAAGAGATTCTCCTGTCTCAGCCTCCTGAGTAGCTTGGATTACAGGCATGTGCCACCACTCCCAGCTAATTTTGTATTTTTAGTAGAGACGGGGTTTCGCCATGTTGGCCAGGCTGGTCTCAAACTCCTGACCTGAAGCAATCCGCCTGCCTCAGCCTCCCAAAGCTCTGGGATTACAGGCGTGAGCCACCATGCCTGGCTGTTGTACTTTCAGAGCCCAAGGTAAGCAGCAGGAAAAGCCCAGGGGGCTCCAAACCATAGTCCAGAGGTTGTGGGACATGGCCCCCACATCCCTAGGGTGGGTACCCAGAGCCAGCTGAGTTCTTCCTCAGCCCTTTGCTCAGGGCCCCCGATGTGCTGGAATAAGGGTAACAGATTCCTCAGTCTAATGGCCTGGCTCATCTTGCCAGGCCCTGCCTCCTGCTCAGCTGCCTTGAGTCCTTACTGGGACATGCTGCTTTTTCCACCCAGGGCCTCCCCTACAGAAACCCCCTAATCCACTGTTCTCTTCAGGGTTTGAATCAGGCTACACAGAGATAGGCCGTTCATGTGTGGGCGAGGGTCCCTAATCATCCCCAGGAGCCAGCACCAGACCAGGCTCTGCCAGCCTTCACATGGCTCTGAAGTGCTGTTAGGTGATAACGTACAGTGAGGGGTGTGTGGGCAGAGGAGGGTTTTATTCTGGACATGGGTGGCTGGGTGGTCAGTCCCCCAGCAAGATAGAGGCCTCACGCACATGCTGCCGGACCACTCGATCTAAGAGGGTGTGCACATCTCGGGCAGCCTGGGCAGCAGCCTCCAACACCCGCTCCAGGTGGTCCTCGTGCAGCCGGGCATCCATCTCAAGCAGCGCAATCTGTCCTGAGGCTGGCAGCAGGGCCAGGGCCAGCTGGGGGCCACCAGCTGCTTCCTCCACATGGCTGAGGTCCGCCAGGGCTGTGCCGTCCACGAAGCCAGCTGAGCACGCACACACAAAGTCTCTCATGGGTATCCCGGCATCCAGCACTGCCAGCGTGGCTGCATTCACACAAGCTGCATAGGTCCCACCATCTGCCTGTAGCACCTGCAGGGAACCCAGGGTGTCAGTCTATCAGACTCCCTCCCCAACCCCATCACACCCTTCCCTCCCTGGATTGACGGCTGCAGCTGGCTCACCTGCACATAGATATCAATCTGGGAGCGTGGGTGCAGCTGTGTGAGGATGGCTGCTTCGAAAGTCTGGCGGAGCTGCAGGCCCATCTCACAGGACTTACGGTCCCCATGTGGCCGTCGCTTGCGCTCACCTGTGCTGAAGGTCGCTGAACTATATTGACAGTTCACTAGGGCCCTGTCCGGCAGGGCTCGAGCCCGGGAGCCCCGGATCTGGAAGAGGACAGACACATGAGCCAGGCCCACTCCTTCCAGCTCACACTCCACTGTCCTCTGTGGGTCTGCCTCTCCCTCCACTTTCAATGCCTCAGCAAGGGGCAACTGCGTTACCTCCAAAACAAAGCCCCCTGTTTTGCGCTCTCTGTCTTGCATGTGTCGCCCTCTGGCACCTTTTAATTGGCTTCCTTGTGTCCATCCTTGCCCCATTCCCTGCCAACCCAAGTTTACAAACATCAACGCTGCTTCTGTCTCACCTACACACTCAAATCCTAACTACCTTACAAAGGTTTCACATTACATATGAAATAAGATCCCAAATCATTTCCCTACTCTACAAAACCCTAAGTCCTCACCTCCCCGGGAACCCTCAACCTGATTTGGAGTTATCCCCTCTTTCCCCACCAGCAGTCTTTCTGCTCTGCATAAGTGCCTTGCTTGTTTTCACCACCGTGGTCTTCGCCCTTCTGGTTCCCTCCGCCTGGAAAGCAGAGCTCCCACACTCATGCGCTAAGCAAACACTCTTTCAATACCTTCGCTGGCCAGGCAGTTACAGCGCTGGAAGCACAGTAATGAAACCAGATAGTTTTATGTAAAGTTCCTTTCTTTAGGAAGCTTATGTTCCAGCGAGGAAACAAAGGGGAAAATGCTTAAGCAAAATAGGCATTTGAGATTGTAGGTGCACAAAACAAAGGGTTTATTGTAGGGCGAGAAGTACCGCGTGGATAATAAGGTCGTCTGGGAAGGAGTGACGTCGGAGTAGAGCTGAAAGGAGAGGGAGCGAGTGGGGGAGTGCCTAGCACGTTGAAGAGCCGCAAAGAGGAAGGAGGGCGCAGGGACAGAGGCCGATGAGAAAGGCAGGACCACCGCGCAGCACACTAAGGACTTGCGTTTACTCCGAGTGAGATGCGGTGCTGAGCATCGGCTGTGTAGACTGAGGCGCGCCGGCCGTTGCCCCTCAAGTCCCCGAGCCAGCGCTCAGCCCGGCTGCCCCGCAGCTCCCACGGCCACACGATTCCCCATCCCGCGCGCCCACTCGCCTCGTGCGGGCCGTAGACCACAGCCAGTGCCTTGGTGTTGCCCTGCTCAATGTAGGCCGAGCCGTCAGCCTGCGCGAACACGCCCATCCGCGCCTGGATCTTGCGCAGCTCCCCGGCGCGCCGCCCGTCCACCCGGTAGCCCTGGTCCGACAAGAGCTCCAGCCCCGCCATGCTGCCCGGCCGCCAGGTCCGCTCTCTGCCTACTTCTCTGAGCCGCGGGAGAACTACAGCTCCCGGCGGCTCCGACCGCCCGGAATCTACGGTTTCCGGAGGTCCGCCATCACTTCCGGTTCCGGGGAACTACAGCTCTCCGCGGCCCTGACCTCCGTGGATCTGCGGTTTCCGGCGTTCCGCTGTCACTTCCTGTCCTGGTGAACTGGAGTTCACCGCGGCCCCGACCTCCCCGGATCTACGGTTTCCGGCGGTCCGGCTCTACTTCTGTCTCCGGGGAACTGCGGCGGCGCTATCGGGGAAGCAGCGGCTGGGCCCGCAGCCGTTCCCGGAGCTGTGCCACGGGTGCCAGGAGGTGGGCGCCCGCCGAAGGAGGAATTGCCCAGTCACGCCCTCGTGACCAGTGGTGCCTGCATTCAGCCCTTCCCCGCGCCCCAAGTGTGAAAGTGGAAGGATGAACCCAGTGGGGTGCGACACTGACAGGAGAAGGCATTGAGCGGTCCTAGGAAAGTGACCAGGCTGGTGTCCCAGGATGGTCCACACCTGGCACCTCTCCAGTCCTCTCATGCCCTCCCTTTACACCGAGCTTCCACACTGCAGTCAGGTGGGCCTCCCTTTTCCCTTTGAGGATGCAGATTTCCTCATCCTTTCCAGAGAGGGGTTGTATGTCTGTTTATCTCTTGCCACTTAACCTCAGCGGCTTCAAATAATAAAAATCATTCTATTATTATGTGCTGCAATCTGGGGTTATCTAGGCTCAGCTAGATAGTTTGCACTTAGGATCTCTCCTACAGTTGCTGCCAGATGGTAGCTGGGGCTGCAGCCATCCTAAAGCTTTCTCCCTCACATCTTTGGTGGCTGATGCTGGTGGCGGGCCAGGACCTCATCTGTGCCTGTCAGGCAGCACACCTACATGTGGCTTCTCCATGCAACCAGGGCTTCCTTGCAGTATGGCAACTGGGTTCCAAGGGTAGCCTTCCAGGACAACAAGGTGGACAACATGTGCATGGTATTTTTAGGACCTAACCTCAGAAGTCACATAGTGTCCCTCCTGCCACACTCTGTGGGTCAAGGCAGTCAGACAGATCTGCCCAGGCTTAAGGGATGAGGACAGGGACCCCACCCTTCAGTGGGAGGAGTGTCAATATTAGACTGTAGGAAGAGCAGGCGGGCTAGGGAAATGTGGTCTGCTGCAGGGGCCCAAGTTCAGTTGTCACAGCATCCCCTCCAAGGTGGTTAAGCTCTCCTGAAAGACTGAGGCATGAGAGTGAGTGAGCAAGCCACAACCCTGCTGCTGCAGCTGGTCTGAGGCCATGATGGGTCACCACCCTCTGCCACTTGCCACCCCGGATTCCCCACCCTCTGCTCTACAGCCACTCTGCTTATTGTGGAGCCCTTTTCCCCTTTCAGTCTGAGCTCTTACTGTCCCTGTTCTTACTGAGTCATCGTTTTTTTCGTTTGTTTCTTTGTTTTGTTTTGTTTTTTGAGATGGAGTCTTACTCTGCACCCAGGCTAGAGTGCCGTGGCACAATGTCAGCGCACTGCACCCTCCACCTCCAGGGTTCAAGTGATTCTTCTATCTCAGCCTCCCAAGTAGCTGGGAAGGTGGGATTACAGGCACCTGCCACTATGCCTGGCTAAGGTTTTTTTTTTTTTTTTGGAGATGGAGTCTCACTGTCACCCAGGCTGGAGTGCAGTGGCACAATCTCAGCTCACTGCAACCTCCACCTCCTGGGTTCAAACGATTCTCCTACCTCAGCCTCCCAGGTAGCTGGGATTACAGGCATGCACCACCATGCCCTGCTAACTTTTTTTTTGTAGTTTTAGTAGAGATGGGGTTTCACCATGTTGACCAGGCTGATCTTGAACTCCTGACCTCAGGTGATCCACCTGCCTCGGCCTCCCGCCACCACGCATGGCCATTACTGGGTTGTCCACTGACAGTCCTTGCCGCATGCGGGAAGACTAGACGCCCAGGGAGCTCTGTGGACTGCCCACCCCAGTTGTGTAGCATTGACCGTAGCAACTCAGGACAATGAGGACGATGTTGGTCTTCAGCCTAAGGTGTCCAAAGTGGGCCAGTGATAGCCGCTACTTCAAGATCAGTGGAACCTTTGCTGTGTTCCCTGGTGGAAGTATTCATCTTCAGGAACCAGGCCTCCAACCTGGCAGCATTACAGGTTTAGGATTATGGGGCCACTCCTACCTCACACCTTTGGTTCTCTGACCCTCGTACTCCAGCTTTAGGGTACACACATGGGTCGATTCAAATTTTGGAGGCCTAAAGCTTATACAAATTCAGGGGCCGTGAGAGGTATCCCCAAGACCCCTCCAGAGTAACCGATTTGCTAGAAGGACTCACTATAGACTTGTCTTCACGCCTAAGATTATTACACAGAGAGGATATAAGTCTGAATCAGCAAAGAGAAAAGGTGCATGGGATGAATTCCACAGGAAATCAGGCGTGAGCTGGCCACGTCCTCTCCTGGTGGACTCCACGGGAAGAAGCTGGAGCCGTGTGTGTGAAATGCTGTCTGCCAGGGAAGCTTCTTAGACACTCAGCGCCCTGGGGTTTTATGGAGGGCTGGTCACATACACAGTCTGTGCCAAGCATGTGCCCAAATTCCAGACCCCTAGAAGCAACACAGGTGTTCAGCATGAGCCATATTTGTACAAACAGTCTAGGCACAGTGAGACACGCTTACCAGAGAGTGGGGGAACCATGAAAAACCCAAGTTCCCAGACACCCACTCTTCAAACTTGCCTGTGAAGAAGAGCTTCTCAGGCCTGCTGTTAACTCTTCTATGCAGTCTTCTTTTGAAACATAAGACAAAATTGTATATCCAAAACTAAGTGAATAGTGAGAAAAGAAGTCCCAACACATAACAAACATTTTAAAAGTTGTCAAATACTACAAACATCACAAAATGCAGAAAACCTGCCTGACATATTTGACTCCAACAGGTTTCCCCTACATTTCTTTGATGCGTTCTCTGATGCTCTCTTAAGATGACAACACCTTTTTATAACGTAACCTTCTATATGTAGAAAGAATATGGCAGACGCGGTGCTCGCGCTTGTAATCCCAGCACTTTTGGGAGGCAGAGGCAGGCGGATCACTTGAGCCTAGGAGTTCAAGATCAGCTTGGACAACATGGCAAAACCCCATCTCTACAAAAAATGCAAAAAATCAGCTGGACATGGGCCGGGCGCGGTGGCTCACGCCTGTAATCCCAGCACTTTGGGAGGCCGAGGCGGGCAGATCACGAGGTCAGGAGATCGAGACCATCCTGGCCAACACGGTGAAACCCTGACTCTACTAAAAATATCAAAAATTAGCCGGGCGTGGTGGCGGGCACCTGTAGTCCCAGCTACTCGGGAGGCTGAGGCAGGAGAATGGCGTGAACCCAGGAGGCGGAGGTTGCAGTGAGCCGAAATCGCACCACTGCACTCCAGCCTGGGCGACAGAGCGAGACTCTGTCTCAAAAAAAAAAAAAAATTAACTGGACATGGTGGTGCATACCTGTGGTCCCAGCTACTTGGGAGGTGGAGGTGGGAGGCTCACTTGAGCCCAGGAGGTCAAGGCTGCAGTAAGCTGTGGTCACACCACTGCACTCCAGCCTGGGCAACAGAATGAGACCCTGTCAAAACAAAAAACAAATAAACAAAAACCAAGAAAATGATTTAGTTTCTCCTCTCACATGTTTGATCAAAATTTAATTTTATTACTAATAATTAAGTTGCTTTCAGGTAAAAGCTCCTTTGGGTAATATGTACATTTTTAGAATTGTCATTAAATTGGAGGAAACCGCTTATCAAATTTCTTCCACATATGAGCCATAACAGTTCAGGGCTTGGCTGGGTGAGGTAGCTCGTGCCTGTAATCCAACACTTTGGGAAGCTGAGGCAGGAGGATCGCTTGAGGCCAGGTGTCCGAGACCAGCCTGGGCAACATAGTGACACACTATCTCTACAAAAAAAAATTTAAAAATTAACTGGGTATGGTGGCACACGCCTGTAGTTCCAGCTACTTGAGAGACTGAGACGGGAGGGTGGCCTGAGCCGAGGGAGTTGGAGGATGCTGTGAGCTATGATCGTGCCACGGTACTCCTGCCCATACCACAGAGCCAGGCTGTCTCAAAAAAACAAACCAAAAAACCCAGAACCACCCCCCGCCCCAAAAAAATGAATTTGAGTTTGGGTTTTCTTGTTTGTGACTAATCTTAGATCCTCTTTGAGTTGGCACTTGGCCAATTTCATCAGCTTGTTGTGTCATGACATGCAGCCGAGGGAGGTGGGTGTTTCCGGAAGCCATTTCTACACCAGAATGACTAGCGATAGCATAACTGTATCGGGAAGTGACTGTTCCCGCTAAGCCCAAGCAAAACGTAGCTTCAACTCAACCTCCCGGGAGCTGGACCCCACAACACCCCCTCCAGCTCTATGCAGCAGGGGAGGGGGTAACTGATGGGGGTAACTGATGGCAGGTTGCAGGGGGAAGAGACAGTTTTAGCTGGTTGTGTTTAAAATATTTCACTTTTGCAAATTTTACGAAATATATGACTCTGTAAATACTTTGTTGGGGCCCAAGCCGGGAAGGGGCTGTGGGACTGAGGATCCTGGAACTGATCCCCGAGATTCCTGGTGAGCCTGTTTCTCGAGCGCCAACTCCTTACAGCAGCACAGGCCGTATCCCAGCAGAAGTGCCCCTCCCTGGAAGGGGCTGACATCCAGCAGGCAGTGGGGCAGGGCCTTCAGCAGACTGTGCCACTATTCCGTTGGGCTGACAAGGGTTTGGGAGACAGTGAGTCCCAGGAACATGAGCTCATTGCCACACAGTAGGCTCTAAGGTGGGTTGTTAGGATTTTTTTTTTTTTTGAGACAGAGTCTCGCTCTGTCACCCAGGCTAGAGTGCAATGGCATGATCTTGGCTCACTGCAACCTCTGCCTCCCGTGTTCAAGCGATTCTCATGTCTCAGCCTCCTAAGTAGCTGGGATTACAGGCGTGTGCCACCATGTCTGGCTAATTTTTGTATTTTTAGTAGAGATGGGGTTTTACCATGTTGGCCAGTCTGGCCTCAAACTCCTGACCTAGTGATCTGCCTGCTTTGGCCTCCCAAAGTGGTGGGATTACAGGTGTGAGCCACCACACCCGGCCGGTCGTTAGTATTTATCATGGTCCAGTGGAAGGTAAGACATTCCGAAAGCTTGGGATAGAGGTGCTGGTGGAGGAGCTGTTGGCAGGAAGAGCAAAGTTGCGTTCAGAGTAGGTGTCGGTTCTGGGAAGAACGAATCGCTGCTCCTCCAGGTGGGAGGGGCCTGAGGTCTTTGTTATTGTTTTTTGAGAAGGAATCTCATTCTGTCGCCCAGGCTGGAGTGCAGTGGTGCGATCTTGACTCACTGCAATCTTCGCCTCCTGGGTTCAGGCGAGTCTCCTGCCTCAGCTTCCCAAGTAGCTAGGATTACAGGCGCCCGCCACCACGCCTGGCTAATTTTTGTATTTGTATTTTTAGTAGAGATGGGGTTTCACCATGTAGGCCAAGCTGGTCTCCTGACCTCAGGTGATCCGCCCACCTTGGCCTCCCAAAGTGCTGGGATGACAGGCGTGAGCCACCACGCTGGCCACACTTGAGGTCTTTGGTCTCTGCTGCTATGGGCTGGACATTCAGCAGTCAGTAGGACCATACAGAGCCACTGTCCCTGCCACCATGGCCACTCTGTTCATGGGCCTTTGCATAAGCTAAGCTTTGACATCTTTGCCTGCAAAGCCCAGAGTCTGGGCCCCTTCAAAGGCACTTACTGTTGCCTGCTCTTCATCCTGTGTGACAGTCATACCATCCTGAAGTCAACATATCAAAGGGACACCTGCACCCCCTTGTTTATTGCAGCACCGTTCACAGTAGGCAAGATATGGATTCATCCCACGTGTCCATCGGTGGATGAATGGGTAAAGAAAATGTGTGTATACACAATAGAATACCTTTCAGCCACAAAAAGAATGAAATCCTGTCATTTGCATCACCCTGGAGGTTATTATGTTAAGTGAAATAAGCCAGGCACAGAAAGACACACATGGAATGCTCTCACTCACATGTGGGAGCTAAAAAAGTTGATCTTGCGGAGGTAGACAATAGAATCATGGTCCCCAGAGACTGGGAATGGTGCGTGTGTATGTTGCGGGGTGGTGGTAAAGAGAGTTTGGTTAATGGGTAGGTAAACATACAGGTAGATAGGAGGTATAAATTGTAGGTCGGGCGCGGTGGCTCACACCTGTAATCCAAGCACTTTGGGAGGCTGAGACGGGCAGATCATTTGAGGTCAGGCATTCAAGACCAGCCTGGCCACCATGGTGAAATCCCATCTCTACTAAAAATATAAAAATTAGCCCGGTGTGGTGGTATGTGCCTGTAATCCCAGTTACTTGGGAGGCTGAGGCAGAAGAATCACTGGAACCCGGGAGGTGGAGCTTGCAGTGAGCTGAGATTGTGCCACTGCACTCCAGCCTGGGCAACAGAGCGAGACTCCGTCTCAAAAAAAAACAAAACAAAACAAGGCATTGTACATTTAAAAATAGCTTGAGGTGAGGACTTGAAATGTTCCCAACACACGGAAATGACACATACCCAGGTGACGGATGTCGTAAATACCCTAAATACCCAGACATGATCTTTACACTTTCTGTGCATGTAACACAGTATCACATATACCCCATAAATATGTACACATTTATTTTATTTTTTAATTTTTCTGAGACAACATCTCACTCTGTCACCCAGGCTGCAGTGCAGTGGCACGATCTTGGCTCTCTGCAGCCTCGACCTCCTGGGCTCAAGCAATCCTCCCACCTCAGCCTCCCCGGTAGCTGAGACTACAGGTGCATGCCACCACCCCCAGATAATTTTTTTGTGTTTTTTTGCGGAGCTGTGATCTCGCTATGTTGCCCAGGCTGGCCCTGAACTCCTAGGCTCAAGTGATCCTCCCGCCTTGGCCTCCTAAAGTGCTGGGATCACAGGCATAAGCCACCACACCTGACCAATATGTACAGTATGTATGTATCAATACAAAATATAAAGAGTCACACTATCCTCTTTCTTTGCATGTCTCATCATTTTTGTAGAAAACTGGACACTTTAGGCTGGGTGAAGTGGCTCATGCCTGTAATCCCAGCACTTTAGGAGGCCAAGGCGGGAGGTCAGGAGTTCGAGATCAGCCTGGTCAACATGGTGAAACCCTGTCTGTACTAAAAATACAAAAAACTAGCCACGTGTGGTGGCACGCACCTGTAATCCCAGGCGCATGCCTATAATCCCAGCTACTTGGGAGGCTGAGGCGGGAGAAGTGGGACACTGCACTCCAGCCTGGGAGACAGAGTGAGACTCCATCAGAAAGGAAAGGAGAGGAGAGGGGAGGAGAGGGGAGCGGAGGGGAGGAGAGGGGAGCGGAGGAGGGGAGGGGAGAGGGGAGGGGAGAGGGGAGGGGGGAGGGGAAGGGGGAGGGGAGGGGGGAGGGGAGGGGAGAGGGGAGGGGAGGAGAGGGGAAGGGGGAGGGGAGGGGGAGGGGAGGGAGAAAGGAAACTGGACACTTTAGAGCGTATATCACATCAACTTTGGGTTAGGATTGGCCGATGGCCCTTGTGATTTTGCTGCTGTTTTTTCATGTTGTTTAGTGGTTTGCCTGGGCCAATTCCATGTGTCTGTTTGCCCCACAGTGTGTAGCTTCTGTCTCTGCTCCGCTCCTCCCTCCTTATTTTTAAGAACTTCTGGCTTCCTAGAAATCACGCCTGGGTCAGCCTAGTTTAGCGCTCACCACCAATTGGTCAAAGGTTGTATTTAACCTCCCCAAGCCAATGAGGCTCCTGTAGGTCCCTCAATTTCTCTGAAAAAAAAATTTTTTTTTTTTCAAGACGGAGTTTTGCTGTTGTTGCCCAGGCTGGAGTGCAATGGTGCGACCTCGGCTCACTGCAACTTCTGCCTCCCGGGTTCAAGGGATTCTCCTGCCTCAGCCTCCTGAATAGCTGGGATTGCAGGCGTGCGCCACCATGCCCGGCTAATGTTTTGTATTTTTAATAGAGATGGGGTTTCATCATTTTGGTCAGGCTGGTCTTGAACTCCTGACCTCAGGTGATCCACCTGCCTCAGCCTCCCAAAGTGCTGAGATTATAGGCATGAGCCACCACGCCCAGCCCCAATTTTTTTTTTTTTTTTTGAGATGGAGTTTTGCTCTGTTGCCCAGGCTGGAGTGCAGTGGTGTGATCTTGGCTCACTGCAACCTCCACCTCCTGGGTTCAAGCGGTTCTCCCGCCTCAGCCTCCCAAGTAGCTGGGATTACAGGCACCCGCCACCACACCCAGCGCAATTTTGTATTTTTATTAGAGACGGGGTTTCTCCATGTTGACCAGGCTGGTCTTGAACTCCTGACCTCGTGATCCACCCACCTCAGCCTCTCAAAGTGCTGAGATTCCAGGTGTGAGCCACGCCCCCCAAGCTTCTCCCAGTTTCCTTCTGTGTCCTGACCAAAAATCAGAGGGCCTTGACCATTCTGTGACTCAACAGCTGCAGTTTTTTTCCAGCAGGTTTGAACCCACACCGGGACCTTGAACTTTCCCAGGCACTAATAAAGGATCTGGGTTTACTAGAAAGAAACTGGCCCGGCCCTGAGCCAAATGCCTTAAACCCACACATAAACTCCGTTCCCCGGCCACCTTGCTTTGGGCACGCCCGGGCGGAACAGCCCTTTTTTCTCCTTGTTTCAAGGACTGCTGCAGCTCTCTGTCCCTGAGTTCCCCTAATTAATGCTCTGGACTAGTCACCCTGGCGTTTAGTGCTTCTTTCTTTGGAAACCCAATAGGCTCAATCTTGTGACAGTTTGGGGCACTCCCTTGGGGGAACCCCCATGCTGCTGTTTTTGGGGTGATTCCAGCCTGGGGTTCGGTGGGATAAAGCAGCTCCATCCTTTGCTGATGGATGTGTGTGTGGTTGGAAAGCTTTCCAATCTGCTCCGCATTCAGCAAGCGTGGTGGCTAAATAACAACCCCAAAGACACTCAGGCCCGAATCACTGAAGCCTATGAATGTACCTCATTTGGCAAAAAAGACTTTGCAGATGAGATGCAGTTAAGGAGGCTGAGGCGGGGAGGCGATCCCGGGTGACCCAGTGGGCCCTGAATGTCATTCCAAGCGTCCTTTAGGAGGGAAATGGAGGGAGATTTGACTACAGGAGAAGAGAAGGCTGTGGGACCACCTGGGTAGAGATCAGAGTGATGTGGCTGCAAGCCAAGCAGTCCCGGCACACACCAGGAACTGGAAGAGGCAGGGCACCTGCTTTCCTCTGGAACCTCCAGAAGGAACCATCCCTGTAAAAGCCTTGATTTTAGCCCCATAAGACTCATCTTGGACTTTTGGTCTCCGGGACTGTAAGATAGTAAGTTTCTGTTGTTTTAAACCTGCAAGTCTGTGGTGATTTGTGAGGGCAGCAATAGACAGCCAGCACACCCAACCACTCAGCCTGGGTGCAGCCTGGCACCGGTGCAGAGGCTTCTGGACTCCCAGGGGTGGATGCAGTATCTGCAGGATCCTTTCTTTGTTGTCTCTGTCCCTGGTTTTCAGCTACACTCCAGGCTGGCCTGCCATTTCATTTGCTGCTATCAGTTTCACACAGCTGTCCGCTTTTTCCTAATTGCTCTCCACTGAGCTTCCCACAGCCTGCCACGCACCTTAGGCGTGACTTTCCCACACTGTGCTTCCTAAGGAAGGCAGCCCCATGCAGCAGCCAGCCCTGCCACCGCGTCTCACTGGGGCAGCATCTGTGGACCTGGGGGTGGGCGTGGTGGCCTGCTTCTCCCGGAGTGAGACCCCTGTGCTGTGGCAGGTGTTGGGGGACGGGAGGCCTCGTCTTCTCGGCGTGTCCCTCCCTATGTGGTGCCTCTGCCTTGCAGCCAGGAGCTGGGAGGAAGGAACCCGTGTCCTCAGCTGCACCTCCTGGAGTAGAGCTTTTATGATGGAGCCAGGGACCGGGGGAAGCAGGCTGAGCTCAAGCACCACAGATTCCCCCTGTTCTGATCAAGACTTAGTAGATCTTCTTGAATAAATGCTTCTTGCTTTGCTGTATGCCCCTTGGTCAATTTCCAAAGTGAGAGGGCTACACAGCCCACTGGGCGTCCTGCCCTGTGTGGGGTCTCAGGTGGAGGCCCGGAGAACACAGAGCGTCACTTCCCCACACTCTTCCCGCACAGGCCAGTCAGATTCCACAGCATGAGAACTGGACTTGCCTCCCAAGGGCCAGGGCAGCGTGTTCGTCTAAAGTGGCAGCCATGGTGGTGGTGTCAACTGAAGAATGGCGAGGTTTATACATTTGGAAAGGAGAGCTTTATTTCTCATAAAGGGTTGCAGTCTGCAGGGCGGCCATTCTGACAGGCAGGGAAGCGTAGCCTCCAGTCAGAAGTCAAAAACAGACACTTCATGGGAGGGGCAAGGGGAACAGGAATTTATG
Source organism: Homo sapiens (assembly GCF_000001405.40). NCBI lineage: Eukaryota > Metazoa > Chordata > Mammalia > Primates > Hominidae > Homo > Homo sapiens. Next base: position 144,068,241 of record NC_000008.11, on the reverse strand, counting down.
CTGAAGGGAGTGGCCAAATATACATATTCAATGAGCTATAAGAGGAGTCATGAATATTTATGAAAGGGGAGCACACAAACGCACAATTTAGCTTCATGCCTCCCCATGGGACTCATGTTCAAAAAATGGTGGCATTATCGTGATCTGAGGGTGGGGTTTTCAGGCTTCCAGCGTCAAATGGTGCAGCAGAGGACACAAAACCCCTCCCTGTGCTTCCTCCATAGCCGTAGAGCCACTCCGTGGCCAGTGGTCTCTATCAGGAAGGAATGCAGGCTGGCAGGTTGTTTCGGCAGGTTGAACCTCCGCCTCTTGGGTTCAAGCGATTCTCCGGCCTCAGCCTCCCAAGTAGCTGGGATTACAGGCATCTGCCACCATGCCCGGCTAATTTATGTATTTAGTAGAGATGGGGTTTCACCATGTTAGTCAGGCTGGTCTCGAACTCCTGACCTCAGGTGATCCATCCGCCTCAGCCTCCCAAAGTGCCAGGATGACAGGCGTGTGCCACTGTGCCCGGCCAACACATTTTCTATCTTTGTTCATCTTGAACTGTCTTTATTTCACCTTCATTTTCAAAAGTGGTTTTCCTAAATATCGGATTCTTGCTTGACAGTGTTTTTCTGACTTTGAGTCTTCTGGTCTCCACTGCTTCTTCTGAGGAGTCAGGTGTTCATCTTATTTGGGGTTCTCTTATATGTGATGAATCATTTTTTTATCTTGTTAACTTTCAAAGCTTTCTCTTTGTCTTTGCTTTCCAGTATTTTTACCATGATATGTCAACTCCTGGAAGCTGCCCACATTCCTTGCTCTGAGACTCCCCCAGCAGTGGAGACTCTCCCCTGTGTGGAATCTCTTTCATGCTTTGAGTTCTTTCCACTGGAAAGAGACCCATCCTTTGGAAGGATCACGTGATTAGGTTAGGCTCACCCAAAACCATCTCCTTTATCCCCCAGCAGTGTCAAAAAACATAACCTAATCATGGGAGTAAAGTCCATCTTATTCACAGTCCTGGGGATTATGCACGGCATGTACAGCAGGAAATCCTGGAAGCCTTCTGAGAATTCTGCCTATCACGCTTTACCCTCTGGCTTTCGGAGTGTGTGAGTTGAAAGTTGACTGACTGAGCCTCTCATTCTTTTTTTTGTTTTTTTGTTTTTGAGACAGAGTCTCACTCTTGTTGCCCAGGCTGGTGTGCAATGGTGTGATCTCGGCTCTCCACAACCTCTGCCTCCCAGGTTCAAGCGATTCTTCTGCCTCAGCCTCCCGAGTAGCTGGGATTACAGGCATGCACCACCACGCCTGGCTAATTTTGTATTTTTAATAGAGACGGGGTTTCTTCACGTTGGTCCGGCTGGCCTCAAACTCCCGACCTCAGGTGATCCGCCCGCCTCGGCTTCCCAAAGTGCTGGGATTACAGGCATGAGCCACCTCGCCTGGCCGAGCCTCATTCTTTTGGGGTAAAATCTCTCCAACTATCAGAAATACTCTACTCCAGGCCAGGCTTGGTGGCTCATACTTGTAATCCCTAATCCCAGCACTTTGGGAGGCCAAGGTGGGTGGATCACCTGAGGTCAGGAGTTTGAAAACAGCCTGGCCAACAGGGTGAAACCCTGTCTCTACTAAAAATACAAAAAAATTAGCCAGGCATGGTGGCACACACCTGTAGTCCCAGCTACTTGGGAGGCTGAGGCAGGAGAATTGCTTGAACCCAGGAGTCGGAGGTTGCAGTGAGCCGAGATGGTGCCATTGCACTCCAGCCTGGGTGACAGAGTGAGACTCTGTCTCAAAAAAAAAAAAAAAAAAAAAAAGAGAAAAACTCTACTTTGGCCAGGTGTGGTGGCTCACACCTGTAATCCCAGCACTTTGGGAGAACAAGGCAGGAGGCCAGGAGTTTAAGGCCAGCCTGGGCAACATAGTGAGACCCCGGGCCAGGTGCAGTGGCTCACGCCTGTAATCCCAGCATTTTGGGAGGCCAAGGCGGAGGGATCACGAGGTCAGGAGATAGAGACCATCCTGGCTAACACGGTGAAACCCTGTCTCTACTAAAAATACAAAAAAAAATCAGCCAGGTGTGGTGGCGGGCACCTGTAGTCCCAGCTACTCGGGAGGCTGAGGCAGGAGAATGGCCTGAATCCGGGAGGCAGAGCTTGCAGTGAGCTGAGATCACGCCACTGCACTCCAGCCTGGGTGACAGCAAGATTCCATCTCAAAAAACAAAACAAAACATAGCGAGACCCTGTTTCTACCAAAAAAAAAAAACAAAAAAACTAGCCAGGCATGGTGGTGCATGCATCTGTGGTCCCAGCTACTTGGGAGGCTGAGGTAGGAGGATCCCTTGAGCCTGGGAGGTCAAGGCTTCGATGAGCTATGATTGCACCACTGCACTCCAGCCTGGGTGACAGAGTGAGACCCCATCTCAAAAAAAAAAAAAAGTAAATAAAATAAAATAAAAAAATAAAAATACTCTACTCCATTTTCTTCCTAATTATAGGAATTATTTTATTGTAGTTGAGACAGAGTCTTATTCTGTTGCCCAGGCTGGAGTGCAGTGGCACGATCTCAGCTCACTGCAACCTCTGCCTCCCAGGTTCAAGTGATTCTCCAGCCTCAGCCTCCTGAGTAGCTGAGATTACAGGTGCCTGCCATCGCGGCCAGCTAATTTTTGTATTTTTTTTTTTAGTAGAGATGGGGTTTCACCATGTTGGCCAGGTTGGTCTCGAACTCCTGACCTCAGGTGATCTGCCCGCCTCAACCTCCCAAAGTGCTGGGATTACAGGTGTGAGCCCCTGCACCCGGCCGAGAATTAAATTGTCACAATTTCTGTTGGGATTCAGTACAGTTGCCCCCAGTCTCCTGGAGCACTAGTCTCAGGGGCACTGCCCCCACTCGCACAGGTGAGGGGCCCTGCGATGGCTCCACTCGAGTAGCCAGGGAAAGGAGTTTGAGAATCCCAGGACAGTCTACAAATCAGCAAGTGGAAACTAGACCATCAAACAAGCAAAAGAGAAAAATGATGTAAAATACATAATAATCATAATGTAAGAAAAAGCCAGAAAACCAAAGTAACTGTGCAGAAGTGTCCCTTTAAAGACAGATTGGAGGCTGGGCGCGGTGGCTCACGCCTGTAATCCCAGCACTTTGGGAGGCTGAGGTGGGCAGATCACGAGGTCAGGAAATTGAGACCATCCTGGCTAACACAGTGAAACCCCGACTCTACTAAAAAAAATACAAAAAAATTAGCCAGGCGTGGTTGCGGGCACTTGTAGTCCCAGCTACTTGGCAGGCTGACGCAGGAGAATGGCGTGAACCTGGGAGGCGGAGCTTGCAGTGAGCCCAGATGGCGCCACTGCACTCCAGCCTGGGCGACAGAGCAAGACTCCATCTCAAAAAAAAAAAAAAAAAAAGACAGATTGGATAGAAGAAGAAAGTCCTTTATGTGATCTAAAATGCAAACCACTGTCACCACTGAGGGTGAGGGTGGCTCTCCTGTCCCTGGGGAGGTGTGTCTTTAGGTCCTGGTCCTCAGCCTCTGGTGGGCCGCCTGGCCCATCCCCTTCCTTGAGGTTATGGCCCAGATGTGGTGCCTCTTCCAGGGCACCTGCCTGCTCGCTGCAACCTCCATGTGACAATGCCAAGGCCCTGTGCCCCCAGAAACAGGCCCAGCCTCCCTTGTGGTGGCTCTAGCACTGCCTGGTGCATCCCTTGGCCTGCAGCCCCCTCCCATGCTGTCCTAGCGTGCTCTCGGCTGGCTCTGCCCCTGTAGCCCTGGCCTGCCCTGGTTGCTGCTGTCCAGCTCCTGCTGTTGCTGGGCCCCATCCTGCAGGGCAGCCACGCACCCACCCTTCCTGATCCCTTCAGAAGCTGTGCCAACCGTGACTGCCGACATACCACACCTGGTTGCCTAAAACTATGTCCTGGCATGGCCAGGCCTGGAGGCTGTGGCTGGTGGCCAGTGGGCTGTCAGACGGGTGGGTGCGGAAGCCTGCATCCCATATCCCTTCCCCCACGACACACCTGGGCTTGGCCGGGTCAAAGAAGCTTCCATCTTCTAGGAGGAGGATTCCTGGAGTGAGCCAGAGACCTGGGACAGTTCTGGGCACCCACTGGCCATTTGGCCCTCAGGGGGCTGGAGGTCAGAGGTCAGGCCACCTCTGCCACGGGGTGGTTGGAACAGCTGGGTCCTGACCCTGAAGGCCCGGAATGCGGCTGAGGCGAGGGGGCAGGGGCAGCTGCTGACCTCACAATAGCAGGGTCTGCTGTCCCTGGCCGGCCTGCTGGCCCCCGCCAGCTGCCGCCGCTGGCTGCCAGGCATGTCCCTCCTCAGCAGCTATGAGGGCCTGCGGCAGGAGATCCAGCGGCTGGCACAGGAGAACGAAGAGCTGCGGCGGCTGGTGCAGCTCATCCAGGAGAACCAGGAGCTGAAGCTGGTGCTCAGGAACCGCGGCAGCAGCCTGGGCTTCTGCAGCTCCGGGTTCCTGGCTGAGGTGGCTGCCAGTCCCTGGCTACCCAGGCGGAGAACGATCAAATTCAAGAATGCTGAGAGAGGTGAGCCGTACCGGGGCCCCAAGACTCTGTGGAGTTGGGCAAACCCGCTGGGTGCTGCGGTGCCTCTGGAGCAAAGCCAGGGCCCTGGGGCTCTTCCAGGATGTGCGGCGGGGAGAAGGTGCCAGGTCTGGGAAAGTGACCTCTGAGCAGAGCCTGAGCGGGCGAGGGAGCTGCCAGGCTGGGGCGCGGCTTTCCAGGCCCAGGGAACAGCCTGTGCCAGGCCCTGAGGTGGGTGCAAGTTGTCTGTGCCTGAAGCTGTCAGAGTCACTGCAACGGCAGACTCTGTCCTCCCAGCCCTGCGCTCTCTGGTGGTGGGGACAGCCATATCCCTGGGGGAACGTGATGGAAGCCTGGCCGGGGTGGAGGTGTGAGAAGTAGCAGCTCTGTGTTCTGAAGGTGAAAGTAACAGGACTTCTGGCAGATTGCGTGTGGGGATGAGAATGGGGCTGGGGCAGCTCGCTGGGTGGGGGAGCCGCTGCTGGAGTGGGCCACTGGTAGGTGGCCTGGGGCTTGGTTTTGGGACGTGTCTGGCCATGCAGTCAGAGGCGCCACTAGAGAGTAGGGGCCGGGCCATCCCGCAGGCCTGGAGCTGCCTCTGGTTGCTGTGGAGGGGCTGCGTGGCATTGCCAAGGGGAAGCTGGGACCCAGCAACATGGAGGGACAGAGATAAAGGCCCAGTGGGGTAGGAGGCAGGTGGGGCAGCCAAGGGAGGCCTGAGCCTGGGTGGGTGGGGGTTGGCTTTTGTTGGTCTGCCCCCGAGACGCGCAGTGGAGTGGGGTCAGGAGAGCCCAGGAGGCAGGCGGAGGTGGGGGAGGTGGACACCTGGAGGTGCACGGCAGTGGGATGCCGCTAGGGAGCGTGGGGACAGGCCCTTAGAGGTTTCGTCTGTGAGTGGATAGCACAGGCCCCTGGAGTGAACAGAGAGGCGAGGGGGTGGCTGGGGATGGTGGAGGGCAGTGAGAGAGTTTGGGGTCTACAGCACAGGCCTGGCGGGCAGCCTGAGTGCGTACAGGGCAGCAGATGGTGGGGGTGTGGGTGGGTGGGGTGTGGGAATCTCTCCTGATAGATCCTGGGCTGACAGGCAGGACCAAGAGGCTGTGCTGGGGATGGGTGGAAACCAGAAGGCAGGGCAGTCCCGCAGGAGTGTGGGCTGGCCAGGCAGAGGCTGTATGGCTGGTGGGGAAGGTCCTCGGCTGAAGTGGGGTTGCTGACCAGAGCTGCTTCCCACGGACTGCTCAGAGCAGGCAGGTGGGGCTCCTGCATGTGGGCGTGGCATGATCATCTGGGGCCTCAGCTGGGCCTCAGGATGGGAAGGCACTAGGAGGTCCATGGGCATGGGGTCTGGGGGTGGCATCACAGCAGGCACGTGCCACTTACAGGGCAGTCATCTGGACATGAGCAGCAGCCCATCCATGGGGAGGGGTTCCTAAGTGCCTGATCCTGGGCCCCATCCCTGTCTATGGGGAGCTGGAGTCCACTGCCCTTGGCACAAATGTTACAGGAAAGGGGTCCCAATCCAGACCCCAAGAGAGGGTTCTTGGATTTCTTGAAAGAAAGAATTCAGGGCGAGTGCCTAAAGTGAAAGCACGTTTATTAAGAAAGTAGAGGAATAAAGAATGGTTACCCCATAGACAGAGCACCCCGAGGGCTGCTGGTTGCCCATTTTTTTTTTTTTTTTTTTGAGACGGAGTCTCACTCTGTCGCCAGGCTGGAGTGCAGTGGTGCGATCTCATCTCACTGCAAGCTCCGCCTCCTGGGTTCAAGCGATTCTCCTGCCTCAGCCTCCCAAGTAGCTGGGACTACAAGTGCGTGCCACCACGCCCAGCTAATTTTTGTATTTTTAGTAGAGACAGATTTTACCATGTTGGCCAGGATGGTCTTGATCTCTTGACCTCATGATCCACACGCCTCGGTCTCCCAAAGTGCTGGGATTACAGGCGTGAGCCACCGTGCCAGGCCGGTTGCCCATTTTTATGGTTATTTCTGATGATATGCTAAACGAGGGGTGGATTATTAATGCCTCCCCTTTCTAGACCATATAGGGTAACTTCGTGCCGTTGCTGTGGCCCTGGTAAACCGCCATGGCGCTGCGGGGAGTGTAGGACGATGGTTTTGGTAGGTTTGGCCAACTTCTTTACTGCAACCTGTTTTATCAGATACAGGGTTTTTTTTTTTCTTTTTTTTGAGACGGAGTCTCGCTCTGTCGCCTGGGCTGGAGTGCAGTGACACGATCTCTGCTCACTGCAGCCTCCGCCTCCCGGGTTCCAGCGATTCTCCTGCCTCAGCCTCCCGGTAGCTGAGATTACAGGCGCGTGCCACATGCCTGACTAATTTTTGTATTTTTAGTAGCGAGGGGGTTTCAACCGTGTTGGCCGGGCTGGGAGATACAGGTTTTTATGACCTGTGTGTTGTGCTGACCTCCTATCTCATCCTGTGACTTAGAATGCATTAATCGTCCGGGAGTGCAGCCCAGTAGGTTTCGGCCTCTTTTTAGCCAGCTCCTATTCAAGATGGAGTTGCTCTGGTTCACACGCCTCTGGCACAAGGAGGGCTGGAGATGAGGGAGACCCGGTGAAGAAGGCCAGAGATACCGCACAGGAGAGGCCCACGGGGCCGGGAGCTGGGGCTGGTAGAGAAGGCCGCAGGGCCTCCCCTCTCCTCTCTGTCCTTCAACGCCCCCTCCACGGGGAAGGACGTCCGCCAGTGGGAAGCCCTGTTGTGGCCTGGGCTGCCAGCTCCCCTTGCCCAGGACACCTGGAGGTGGGATCCTGGGGCGCCCACGCTAGGCGAGCCCAGGCCCGGCGCCGGAGACCCGAGGGCCGCAGAGCCAAGGTGCCCTTGATCCTGCGCCCGTGGCCCGGGGAAGCGCAGGGCGAGGACGGAGGCGCGGGGGGCGGGCCCGGCCTGATGTAACCGCGAGTGCCGGGACCAGTGGCGCGGGGGGCGGGCCCTGTAGGCTCCTCCCCGAGGCGAGGCTGGTGCGGGCAGGGCCGCCGGGAGCGCAGGCAGAGCCGACCGCGAGCGACCGAGCCGGAGCCGAGCGCCAGGTGGGGCCTGCGCCGGGCGGCCTCCCCTCCGCGGCCCTTCCCCGCTGCCTCCCGGGCTTCCCCTCCGCGGCCCCTTCCCCGCTGCCTCCCGGGCCGCTCCTCACGCGTCCCCGCCTCGGGTCGCCCCGTCGGTGCTCAGGCTCCGTCCTGTCCCGGGGCCCGCCAGGCTTGGGTCGAAGGTCGAGCAAAGCGGGAAGTGGGGTCCCCCGGCCAGCTCGCCCCAAACCCCCTCCCCGCACTCCCGTGCCTCTTTCGTGCTGAGGGACCCCGCCCGAGGGCTCCAGGGTCCAGCGGCGTCCCCACCTCCCGTGCCTGCTCCGCTGCCTGGGTTTCGGCCCAGTCCAGGGCCCGGAGAAGCGCGATGCTGGGCATGGGGGCATCAGGCCGCTGACCGCCGGCCAGGCTCTCGCTCGGGCCCAGGCTGCCCTCGGAGCTGGGCCTGCGGCTCTGGCTCTTCCCAGAGTCGTGCCCGTGGGTCTCTCCCTCAGGAACCCCCCGCATGCGCAGGGCTGGGGAGCCTCTAGTCCCACTCGCAGGTGAGCCCGGGCTGACCCCGCCTCCGTCCAGTTTTTCCAGGGCTACCAGCTGAAGAGCTCCTGTGGGACTCCAGCCCCACCACCATGGGCAGCCCCGAGGGCCGCTTCCACTTTGCCATCGACCGTGGGGGTACCTTCACAGACGTCTTTGCCCAGTGCCCAGGGGGGCACGTGCGGGTCTTAAAACTGCTCTCAGAGGACCCTGCCAACTATGCGGACGCGCCAACCGAAGGCATCCGCCGCATCCTGGAGCAGGTGGGCCAGGGCGGAGCGGGTGGACAGGGACCCCACGGCCAGAAGCCCCACACTGACCACGTGGTCCCCAGGAGGCCGGCATGCTCCTGCCCCGGGACCAGCCGCTGGACTCCAGTCATATCGCCAGCATCCGCATGGGCACCACAGTGGCCACCAACGCACTGCTGGAGCGGAAGGGGGAGCGGGTGGCGCTGCTGGTGACACGTGGCTTCCGAGACCTGCTGCACATTGGCACCCAAGCCCGTGGGGACCTCTTTGACCTGGTGAGCTCCATGTTGGCTGGGGACCAGGCTGTGTGGTGTACACCCCCCAGGGATGCCTTGACCCTGTGGGGAGAGCAGTTGTTGGATTAGTGATGGCTCATGGGCACCAGCCGACAAAGAGGAAGCTCCCGAATTCCCAGTGGGACCCCAAGTTCTCCTAGCCCTCGGAGTGGGCACAGGATGCCCTGTTCCTGCCTGCCGCCATGCCCACCCTGGATGCTGGTGTGGGGCCACCCAAGCTACCCTGTTCAGGCAGAGGAGGGGTGGAACCCCGCACCTACTGCTGCGTTTCCGGAAGAAGCTGCCTTCGTGGGGGTGGAGCAGTTGGCTGCACTCAGCTGCCTAGGGGGTGGAGAGCTGCCCCCTTGGTGAGCCTTGCTGGGGCTGCCAGGTATGACTCTCCTGGGCCTGCCGACCGGCCTGTTGGGACACAGCCACTCACCTGTACCACCCACTCACACAGGACCCCGGCCTGGACCCTCAGGCCTGGGCCTCTTCTGAGTCTCTGCCCGCCCCCAGGCCGTGCCCATGCCTGAGGTGCTGTATGAAGAGGTGCTGGAGGTGGACGAACGCGTGGTGCTGCACCGTGGAGAGGCGGGCACCGGGACGCCTGTGAAAGGTGTGTGTGCCGCCGCTGCTGTGGGATTTGGGGCCGGAGGGTCCTGCTGGCCTTTAACGGGGCCTCCTGGGCTTTTCTGGAAGGCCGCACGGGGGACCTGCTGGAAGTGCAGCAGCCTGTGGACCTGGGGGCCCTGCGTGGGAAGCTGGAGGGGCTGCTATCTCGAGGCATCCGCAGCCTGGCTGTGGTGCTCATGCACTCGTACACGTGAGTGAGGTGGGGCTGTGGGCTGCGGGAGCAGGTGCCGGGCCTGGTGGGAGACGAGGTGCCACTGGGTTTTTGTCATAGGTGGGCCCAGCATGAGCAGCAGGTGGGTGTGCTGGCCCGGGAGCTGGGCTTCACGCACGTGTCACTGTCCTCGGAGGCCATGCCCATGGTGCGCATCGTCCCTCGGGGGCACACGGCCTGTGCCGACGCCTACCTCACGCCCGCCATCCAGCGCTACGTGCAGGGCTTCTGCCGTGGCTTCCAGGGCCAACTCAAGGTGAGGCTGTGAGGCACCCCCACTGCCCACTCCTGGGCCTGGGCCTGGGCCTTGGCCTGCCCCTCATGGCCCGCCTGCTGCCCGCTCGCAGGATGTGCAGGTGTTGTTCATGCGCTCCGATGGCGGCCTGGCGCCCATGGACACCTTCAGCGGCTCCAGTGCTGTGCTCTCGGGCCCGGCCGGCGGCGTGGTGGGCTACTCAGCCACCACCTACCAGCAGGAGGGTGGCCAGCCTGTCATCGGCTTTGACATGGGAGGTATGAGGGCCGAGGGCTGGGGTCTCGGGGAGGCTCAGCTGCTGGGCCCCTGGGTCTTCAAGTGACCCACCAGCACCCCACCCCTGCCAGGCACGTCCACGGATGTGAGCCGCTATGCTGGGGAATTCGAGCACGTCTTCGAGGCCAGCACAGCTGGCGTCACCCTCCAGGCCCCGCAGCTGGACATCAACACCGTGGCAGCGGGAGGGGGTTCCCGCCTCTTCTTCAGGTCAGCTCTCCTGCTTCCCAGGCTGGGACCCCAGCCCTGTCTCCCTCCTCGTGTCCAACTCCAACCCCAGCCCTTCCTTCCCCTAGGTCTGGCCTCTTTGTGGTTGGGCCCGAGTCAGCAGGAGCCCACCCAGGACCCGCCTGCTACCGCAAAGGTAAGAGTCAGGATCTGGCCGGCCTGGCCTTGCCCTCCGCTTGCCGCCGCAGGCCCAGCCCCTCCTGTCAGCCCTATCCCTGCTGCCTACTCCTGCTCCCCTGCCTCCAGCCCCCAAGCCCCACACCCTGTCCACCTCCCAGGGGGCCCTGTGACAGTGACGGATGCTAATCTGGTCCTGGGTCGCCTGCTGCCTGCCTCCTTCCCCTGCATTTTTGGGCCGGGAGAGAACCAACCACTTTCCCCTGAGGCCTCCCGCAAAGCCCTGGAGGCTGTGGCCACTGAGGTCAACAGCTTCCTGACCAACGGGCCCTGCCCGGCCTCCCCGCTGAGCCTGGAGGAGGTGGCCATGGGGTTCGTGCGCGTGGCCAACGAGGCCATGTGCCGGCCCATCCGTGCACTCACGCAGGTACGTCCACCTCTGCTCTCCCGCCTGTCCTGCCCCCAGCCCTGCTCCCTGCCCCAGGCCTCCTGCTCAGGCTGGGGGCTGGATGGGGTAGAGTAGGAGAGCCCACTGACCCCTTCTGTCTCCCTAGGCAAGAGGCCATGACCCCTCAGCCCATGTGCTGGCCTGCTTTGGGGGAGCTGGTGGGCAGCATGCATGTGCCATCGCCCGGGCCCTGGGCATGGACACGGTGCACATCCACAGGTGGGCCTGGGTGTGGGTGCACGGAGGTGGTGTGATCTGCGCCGGGCTTGGGAGGTGACCTCCCATTGCCATGCTGCCCATCCCTGCAGGCACAGTGGGCTGCTGTCGGCCCTGGGGCTGGCCCTGGCTGACGTGGTGCATGAGGCACAGGAACCCTGCTCCCTGCTCTACGCGCCTGAGACCTTCGTGCAGCTGGACCAGAGGCTGAGCCGCCTGGAGGAGCAGTGTGTGGATGCTCTGCAGGCCCAGGGCTTCCCCAGGTGGGCTCCCAGGGTGCCCTGGACAGAGGGCTTACGTTGTCCTCACCACGCCCTTGGTGGGTGTTCCTCCTGATGACTTCCCAGGTGGTCCCGGGGTGTGCGAGAAGCAGAACAGGTGTCCTTGCCGGGCGCTGGGTGGGGTGGGGTCAGGGCAGGGGGTTTGGTGTGAGTGCCCCCAACCACCTGCTGCAGGTCCCAGATCAGCACTGAGAGCTTCCTGCACCTGCGCTACCAGGGCACGGACTGTGCTCTGATGGTGTCTGCCCACCAGCACCCAGCCACAGCCCGCTCGCCCCGTGCGGGGGACTTCGGGGCAGCCTTTGTGGAGCGGTACGTGGCTTCCTGACTCCGGATCCCTGGCAAGGGGCCCTCCTGTCTGGCCGCCTCACTCTGACCACTCCTTGGGTCCCCGCGGGGAGTGCAGGTACATGAGGGAGTTTGGCTTTGTCATACCTGAGCGGCCGGTGGTCGTGGACGATGTGCGAGTGCGGGGCACCGGCCGCAGTGGTCTTCGCCTCGAGGATGCCCCCAAAGCCCAGACCGGGCCTCCCCGGGTGGACAAGGTTGGTGGTCCTGCCTGTGCCAGCCTGACAGCACCCATGGGGCACCGGGATGGGGACCAAGCCCTGTGAGAGGCATCGGGGAGGGTGCTGGGCCCGGGCGCTGTACTCACCCGCACCCTCTGCAGATGACCCAGTGCTACTTTGAGGGGGGCTACCAGGAGACCCCTGTGTACCTGCTGGCAGAGCTGGGCTATGGGCACAAGCTCCATGGGCCCTGCCTCATCATCGACAGTAACAGGTGGGCTGAAGTCCGGCCAGGGTGGAGGATGTGGACGGGTCCACTGCGGGGCCCCTGGTGCAGGGTTCTCTGGCCCAAGGCTGCAGGGGCCTGCAGGACTCTGTATCCCACCATCGTTGGGGTGGCCCCTGGCCTGGGGCCGTGGCATCTCTGGTTGGAGGGGTGTCGCCTGGCCCCATGCAGCCCTCTGTGCCCTCTGCTCCCCAGCACCATCCTGGTGGAGCCAGGTTGCCAGGCAGAGGTGACCAAGACAGGGGACATCTGCATCTCCGTGGGGGCCGAAGTCCCCGGCACAGTGGGCCCCCAGCTGGACCCTATCCAGCTGTCCATCTTCTCACACCGCTTCATGAGCATTGCTGGTGAGTGGCCGCTGCCAGGCTCCCTGTGGGATGAGGCGCCGGCTGTGTCATGGGGTAGCTGGCAGGGCTGTGCCCAAAGGGAGAGGCAGAAGCAGGACCCCCTGGCGACGGGGCGGGCAGTGTGGCCGCAGCACTGGTGTGGTGCAGTTGGCCATGAGAACAAACCTTGGGCAGGGAGGACACCTTCCCCCCTTACCTGCAGCCATGTGATCCAGAGAGTGCCCTCCTAGCTAAGGAAGGGATACTGAGGACAGCACAGGGAACCCATCTGTGCAGGGTCAGGCCAGCGGCTTGCTGGGAGCCCAGAGGTCAAGAGCCTAGGAACCAGGTTCTTGCTGTGCCAGGCAGGGTGGGAGGGTCGAGGGGTGGCACTGGGTTCTTGCTGGGGGCTCCAGGCAGGGCTGGGGAAGGTGGTGTCCTTTACATAGGCTAAGACGTGGCCAAGTGGGCACACCGTCAACTTGGTCTTCCCCAGGAAAAAGCTGCTGGGTTTTTCCTGGGTCCTGGGTTTGAGTCCTGGTGGGTCCTGTTCCTCCCTTTCCTGGGGCCAGGCTGTGGGTGGGTGGGGCCAGCGGGCCTGGTCACTTTGTGCTCCTAGAGCAGATGGGCCGCATCCTGCAGCGCACAGCCATCTCCACCAACATCAAGGAGCGTCTGGACTTCTCCTGTGCCCTCTTTGGGCCCGATGGGGGGCTGGTGTCCAATGCCCCCCACATCCCTGTGCACCTGGGTGCCATGCAGGAGACGGTGCAGTTCCAGGTGGCCCTTCCCCCGCCTCACCCTTCCATCCCCCTCCCTCACCCTCCACCCCCCCCCCACCCCGCTCTGGCCCCTGCTCCCCTGTGCCCACTCTGCACCCATCTCCTGGTTTCAGATTCAGCACCTGGGGGCCGATCTCCACCCTGGCGACGTGCTACTGAGCAACCATCCCAGTGCCGGGGGCAGCCACCTGCCAGACCTGACTGTTATCACACCGGTGAGGGGTGCTGCCCGCCTGCCTCTGCTGGGGCAGTGGTGGCCGATGCAGCTGACCGTGGCTCTCCACCCGCTAGGTGTTTTGGCCGGGTCAGACGCGGCCTGTGTTCTATGTGGCCAGCCGAGGGCACCACGCAGACATCGGGGGCATCACACCAGGCTCCATGCCCCCCCACTCCACCATGCTGCAACAGGAGGGTGCCGTCTTTCTGTCCTTCAAACTTGTCCAGGGGGGCGTCTTCCAGGAGGAGGGTGAGTGGGAGTGGGGTGGGGCAGGCCTTCTGTAGGCTGGGACACATGGCCACTGCTGGCAAGCAGGCCTGGCTGGACCGTGGGATGCAGCCCATAGGCCCAGGCCTGCCTTGAGGCTGGGAGGAGATAGGTGGTTACCCCAAAGGGCAGCTGCAGATCGGATCCCGGGAGCTGAGATGAATTCAGCCTGGGCCCAGGAAGGCCTCCCGAGGGGTGGTTTTGCGGGTGGAGAGTTAGCCAAGACGTGGAGGGTCAGGGTGCTGGAGAGAGAAGCCTGTTTCAAGGTGGGTGGCTGCTTGTGGTGTGTGCAGTCATACTGGGTGGGGTCCGCAGAGAAACAGCAGGGCAGGGGCAGGGCCCAAAGGCCCCTGTAGAGTTTTCTGGGCCTAGGTCTGAGTCACTGGGTGGTGGGTGGCCGTGAAGGGCTTTCAGCTGGGCCTGCGCTGAGCTCCCACTGTGCCCACGTGCAGAGAGGATTCGGGGTCTTGAGAGTGGCCTGGAGGCTGGGGGGCAAGGTGGGGGGAAGCTGCAGTTGCCCTGGATGATGCTGATGTCTTGGGCTGAGTGGAGAGCGAGGGCGGGGGGTGGGGGACAGTTTTAGAGGTGGAGGTGGGTATTTGGAGGGATTTGGGAGAGGGGGCCAGGGGTCAAGTTTGGGCAGCTGGAGGTGGAGGGCCTGGCACTGAGCAGCTGCAGGGAAGGGGGGATGGAGGCTGCAGGGGTGCCTGTGGTGGGGGTGGGGGTAGGAGAGACAGGGAAAAACAGCCCTGGTCTGAGGCTGCAGGTCTGGGAGCCCAGGGGAAGTGGCGTGGCCAGGGTGGAGGGTGGTGGCAGAGGGTGGGTGTAATGGAACCACAGGCTGTTCTGGGTGTTGAGGACACAGATAGGGTGGCCCATTGCTGGCTGCTCCCTTGGTCAATGTGAGCTGGGGCAGGGGTTGTGGACCACAGAGGGACATGCACAGGCACACTGCAGAGGGCCTTGTGGCTGCCTCAGAGGGGACCCTGAGCCAGGCTCAAGGAGAGGGGCTTTCCTGAGGTGCTGAGCAGTCCCAGGCCAGGCCTCGGTGCTTTCTAGGGGCCAGAGACCTTGTCTGGATCTGGGAAACCTGGGTTGGGGGTGCAGACAGGGTTGGCCAGGGGCTCAGTGATGACACTGTCCATCCAGCGGTGACGGAGGCCCTGCGGGCGCCAGGCAAGGTCCCCAACTGCAGCGGAACCAGAAACCTGCACGACAACCTGTCGGACCTCCGTGCCCAGGTGGCAGCCAACCAGAAGGGCATCCAGCTGGTGGGGGAGCTCATTGGGCAGTACGGCCTGGACGTGGTGCAGGCCTACATGGGCCATATTCAGGTGGGCCTGGGCACAGGAGTGTGGGCGGCAGGGCCATCCTGCAGGTGACCTGGCCACCACTGATCCTGCTCCCTGCCAGGCAAACGCTGAGCTGGCCGTGCGAGACATGTTGCGTGCCTTTGGAACCTCCCGGCAGGCCCGGGGCCTGCCCCTGGAGGTGTCCTCGGAAGACCACATGGACGACGGTTCCCCCATCCGCCTCCGTGTGCAGATCAGCCTGAGTCAGGTGGGCCGTGGGGAGAGTGCCTCTAGGCGGCAGGGGCACGGTGCGGCCGCTGACAGCCTCTCCCTTCCCTCGGGGCGCGCAGGGCAGCGCCGTGTTTGACTTCAGCGGCACTGGGCCGGAGGTGTTTGGTAATCTCAACGCACCGCGGGCCGTAACCCTGTCCGCCCTCATCTACTGCCTGCGCTGTCTGGTGGGCCGCGACATCCCACTCAACCAGGTTCGCAGGGGTGTGTGCGCGAGGGGGGGCCCCAGCCCGAGGTCACCCTGAGTGCGCCTCCTGGGCCCAGCCACGGTCTGACCCCACGGGTGCTGGGGCGGGGGGTGGGGTGCTGTTTCTCCCGGAGCCCACCCCAAGAGCTCCTGAGAGCCGCCCGCCCCGCACAGGGCTGCCTGGCGCCAGTGCGCGTGGTCATTCCCCGAGGCTCCATCCTGGACCCGTCGCCCGAGGCGGCGGTGGTGGGCGGCAACGTGCTCACGTCGCAGCGCGTGGTGGATGTCATCCTGGGGGCCTTTGGGGCCTGCGCCGCCTCCCAGGTGCGGGGGCGGGGTGGGCGCAGCTCGGGGGCGGACTGGGTGGGCAGGCTGGAGTAGGAGCGGGAGGGCGAGGTGGGGACGCCCTGCCCCAGCCCAGCGCAGCGACCAGGTGCCCTCACCAGGGCTGCATGAACAACGTGACCCTGGGCAACGCCCACATGGGCTACTACGAGACGGTGGCGGGCGGCGCGGGCGCGGGTCCCAGCTGGCACGGGCGCAGCGGTGTGCACAGCCACATGACCAACACACGCATCACCGACCCTGAGATCCTGGAGAGCCGGTGAGCGGCGTGCGCGGAGGCTGGGGGCACGGCCGGGTGGGAGCCGGGGCTCGGGCCACGCTGAGTCTTTGCCCTCGTCCTCGCCCTCGCAGGTACCCGGTCATCCTGCGCCGCTTCGAGCTGCGGCGGGGCTCGGGGGGCAGAGGCCGCTTCCGAGGCGGCGACGGCGTCACCCGCGAGCTGCTCTTTCGTGAGGAGGCGCTGCTGTCAGTGCTGACCGAGCGCCGCGCCTTCCGGCCATACGGGCTCCACGGTGCGCGGTTCCCCAGCCCTCGCGGCCCTCCCCGCCCCCGCCCCCACCCCCGCCCCTGGTCTCTCTGGACTCCTCGCCTCCCTCCGCAGGGGGCGAGCCTGGCGCCCGCGGCCTAAACCTGCTGATCCGCAAAAACGGCCGGACGGTGAATCTGGGCGGCAAGACGTCGGTGACCGTGTACCCCGGGGTAAGGGCCGCGGCCTGTCCTGTCCCCCTCCCCTCCCCTCCCCTCCCGGCCCCATCCCACAGAGGGGGAACAGTTGCAGACCTGACCAGAGGCCGAGTTTAATTTGGCCCCGGAAGGAAAGGGGGCGCGTACCGGGCCTCCGTGGTCCATGGGGGCGGGTGATGGACGCTGCCCGGTGGGGAGGGGACTGCGCAGGTGACAGGGAGGGGCCACGCCTGCACTGAGCCCGCCTCCCCGCCCCCCCCCGCGCCAACAGGATGTGTTCTGTCTCCACACGCCCGGCGGCGGTGGCTATGGGGACCCGGAGGACCCCGCCCCACCGCCGGGGTCGCCCCCGCAAGCACTGGCCTTTCCCGAGCACGGCAGCGTCTATGAGTATCGCCGGGCCCAGGAGGCCGTGTGAGGATCCCGCAATAAAGATGCCTTAAGTCTCCCGGTTCTGGGGACGCAGCTACGGCGCCTAGTTCGTGCTCCGAGTCGTGTCTGTGCGCGCCAGCCGCGCGCCCCTCATCTGTGCTTGCCTTAGGAGGACACTGAGACTCGGAGCTGCAGGCGCACTGCCCGGTGGTCCGTGAGCCCCTCCAGGGCGGTACTGAACGTCACCTGCTCCACCTCCTGGGGGCGGGAGTCAGGTTGAGGGTCGTCCCAGTGCCGCAGGCCCAGCCACCCGGGAACTCCGCGGTACGTGATGTAGTCCAGGCGCCGACCTCTCCAGGGCTTAGCTCGGCGGCTTCTGCCGGGAAGGCCGGCCAGGTAGAGGTGGCGCCCTTTCTCCTGCTCCAGGGCCCTGGTAGGGGGGCGGTGTCATCAAGGCCAGGGCCCCTCCGCGCGCTTCGGGCGGGCAGTGCCTACATCCAGGTCGCAACTCACCGCCTCGGCATCTTGGGGGAGGAGGCCATGGACTGGTGGAGCACGGAGGTGCTCAGCGCGGTCCCTGGGGGATCCGGGGGAGGGCGGCATCAGCCAGAGCCTCAGCCGACGGCGCTCCCCAGGTCCACTTCCCGCTCCGATACCCTCCCCCTAAGCACGATACCCAGGGCCCAGGGCTGCTCTTGGCGCGTGCCCAGCCGGCGGGGGTACCCTCCCCCCAAGCGCGATACCCAGGGCCCAGGGCTGCTTTTGGCGCGTGCCCAGCCGGCAGGGATCCTGGAAACAGCGGAAGAGCTCGTGCTCCTGCTCTAGCCGGTGGTCTGCAGAGAGAGGCGGGCGCGCGGTGGGCGGGGCCGGGCCTCCTGGCTCCGCCCCTCCTCGCCCTCCTCTCCTGCTGGACCTTTCCAGCAGTTATCGAAGTTTAGGTCGCCCAGGAGCACGCTGAAAGCCACGACCTCTCCACTTTGTTCTCTGTCGGCCTCAAACTTCTCGGCCCCAAACTTCTCGGCCCAGTCCAGCAGCGGCGTCAGCTGTTTGCTGCGCAAGGGCCCGTCTTCTGCGTGGGGGAGGGGGGGGTGGGGTGGGCTTGGCTCCAGATTCGGACCCGCATCCTGGGCAGTCAGCTCCCGTCTCCGCAGTTCCTGATCTGTGAGCCCCGACAGGCACTTCTCAGGAATTCCGGTGCCGGGGGCAGTGAACAAAGGGTGGGAGGTGGGGGGCGGGGTGCAGGCGAATGTAGGGATCAGCAGCCGCTATGGAGAGGCGGGACCTGTTCCGAGGACCCATCCGCAGGGCTCACCAGCCAGTGCTTGCAAATGCGTGCAGTGCAGGAATCCCACGATGCGGCGCCCGTCCAGGCTGCCCAGCCTCGCCTGCAACACCACGGACGGCTCCAGCTTTCTCCGCCTTCTCGGCCGAACCCCCGCCCCCTCTGCGGGCTGCACCGGATAGGCCAGTACCTGTGCGGACGGTAGTCCCTTGGAGGCCAGCGCGTCCTCGCCACGTGCGTGGGGGAAGCAACGGAAGGTGGCGCGCAGCAGCGGGTAGCGCGAGGCCAGCAGCAGCCCGCTGTCCAGCAGCTTGAGGTGCCGCCCGGGCTGTAGGCCGAGCGTGCCCACGTCGTACAGCAACGGGCCCAGGTTGGGCGCCAGGCGATTCACCAAGCGACGAGCCCTGCGCAGATCGAATACCTCCTGCAGGCACACAAAGTCCAGACCCACGGGCAGCGAGGCCACCAGCGTCCCGCGCGGCGCCCTGGACCACGGCTGGCTGCAGTCCGTAGCCCTGTAGAGCGCGGGCCGCGCGGCGCCAATGGCCTCGGCCGGTCGCTGGCTGTGCGGTAGGTTGCCGAAGCGCGCTTGCCCGTCGGGGAGCAGGCACAGATTGGCGGTGAGGAAGACGAAGCAGCGCCCGGGTTCGGCAGGCGGGCGCCAGAGCGCGGGCGGCGCCCAGCACAGCGGAGGGGAGCGGTAGCAGAAGGGGCGGCGCCAAACCTGCGGCACCAGCCAGAGCGGCAGGCCGGGCAGCGCCAGGGGCGGGCCGACCACCAGCAGCAGCAGCAGCAGCGCCGCCCGCCGCCCGCCGCCCTCCTCAGCCACCCTGCAGCTGGTGCAGGGCCCAGTAGGCCGGGAACAGCAGCGCGCGGGCCAAGCCGTGGAGGGCGTGCAGCGCCGGGGGCGGGAAGGGCGAGGGCCGCGGGGCGTCGGTCGCCGGGGACCAGTCGGGCGGGGATTGCATGGTACACCTAGCTCTTCGGCCACGGGGCGCCGGGGAGACTCATTGGCTTCCAGAGGACAAGCTGACTCGTCGGTGCATCCGCGCGAGCTGCGGGGAGTCACAGGGGTGAAGGCCGCGTGGCACAGCCTGTGTGCAAAGCCGGTGAGGTGCTGACGCAGCGAGCCTGGCGGAGGCGCGGGCGGAGGCAGAGGGGCGCTTCAAAAAGAAAACCCGAAAGGGACCTGATCTCAAATCCCCACCCTGGATCCTCCTCGTCCCGCCCCATCCACCCGCGAAGGTCGCACCGGGAACCTCTGAGCCCCGCCCGACGCAAGCGGGATCGGGATGCAGCCAGCGGCACGTGGAGGACGACCTGCCTTGAGTGCGGGCGGCGCAGCGCTGGTGAGGAGCGAACAGTGTGCGCTGCCTCCGGCTCCCCTGTACCCGCCCCCACGCAGGTCAGCATGGAATAGGCCGCGCACTCCAGCTGCCCGGGCGGCAGAATCCACCCCACCCCCTAGGCGTCTCTCTGTGGCTCTGCGGCCCCGCGGTGTCGGGCGCCTGAGTTCAAAGACCTGACACCTGAGGAGGGATGGACTCCCGCCCAGCGCCCCGCAAAGTCCCCCAAAAGGCCAGCCCGCAGTGGTGACGGCCTTGTGGCCCTACCCCATGGAGCTTCCAATCTAGGGGGAGGGACCTTTGGTTCTGCCCTGCGCGCAGCTCTGCCGGGGCACGCGACAGAAGCGTTTCCCCATTCGTGGAGCCCTCTGGCATCCCCTCAGGAGCTCCCAGGACAGGGCGGCCGGTAGCTCCCAGGCTCTGCTCGCCTCCCATCTTTCTAATTGGGCCTGTGAACTACCACACACTCCCGCCGTCAGCTGGGTGCAAGCGTCTCTTAAATAGCTCTGGGAGTTTGGGTCAGGGCTGCCCTTCCTGCTGGCTGGCAGGGAGGTGGAGGGGCTTCTGGCAGGAGCTCTTCCCTGCCCTTCCCAGGGACTAAGAGGCTGGTGTCTGGCTGGATTCCCTGGAGGTCTGGGAATGGGGAGGGCAGAGGCAGGAAGCTCAGCAGCCCAGGCATCCCCGGAGGGCCGGACACTTTGCATACCCTCTCCAGCCCCGGACTCCTTGCTGGTTGCTGAAAGATTCCCATTGGAACTCAGACCCTGTGGGTCCACTGTTGCCTTCTGCCATCCTCTCTGGCTGGCAAGCACTGGTGCTCCAGGACCCTCCTCAGTTGGGGTTCTAATCCCCCTCCCATCACAGCCGGCCTCGTTGCCTTCCTGCATGCAGGCTTGCTCCTGTCTCACCCTGTGGCCACAGCCCCTCTGGGCTTTCCCACACTGCACTTCTCTCTTCCCATGTCTTCCTCCCCAGGGACTTCCTATCCTGGCCGGCCCCCTCAGCTTCCTGCACTCTCCACAAGCCCTTCCCAGCACCCCATCTGCCCTCAGTGCACTGTGGGAGGCCCCTGGCCTGCCCCCAAATCCTGCTTGTGCTCCTCAGCTCCTGCAGCAGGTGGGGTCTGCCCTTGCCAGCTCTCAATCCCTCTCAAAGTCTCCAGGACGTGTGGGATGGCCTTGGGTGTCTTGGGAAGGGGCCAGCACTTCGCTGGGCTGCCCCATGCCCAGGTTGGGGTGAGACTGCTTTCTCCCGGCTCTTCTGCCTTGAATGTCCTCTTGTCCTCAAGGCCTGGAAGACCGCCCCCCCTCCCCGCCCCTCACCCAGCCCCGGCCTAGTATGGGGGCAGGGATCACACACCTACATCCTTGTCTCCTCCCACCTCTGCCAACTCCGTGCCCCTCACCACTGCGGCAGGCACAGAGCCACGGCCCTTTCCTCCCTGCTCCACCCCTTCCTGGTTCCTACCCTTCCCCATCCCAGTCCCAGGAGCTCCCACTGCTCTTAGTGCCGTGGGAGGGAAGCCTGGGGGCCTTCAGACCAACCCCTCGCAGACCACTGCTGAGCCTTGGCCTCTCGGGCTCTTGAAGAGGGTCCGGTATGGGCATTGACCTCCAGGGCAGACAGGGCTGAAGGGGCACGGTGCCGGGGCCCGGTGAGCCACCCCAGAGGAGGCAGCACCACCCAGGAGCGCTGGCACAGGCCCAGCGACCAGTGTCTGTGGGAAGCTTTAATGGCCGTGCACAGGGCTGTGGGGCTGAGCGAGCCTGGACCTCCCAGCTCCAGCGTCACCAGATGAACATGGGCTTGCCGTCATCGTGCGCCAGCTGGCTGAGGCAGGAGAGCAGCAGCAGCGCGTCGGCGAGCATGCCGGGGTGCACGGTCTCCACCACCACACGCTGCAGGAAGTCCACGGTGTAGGGGCCGCCCTCAGACGCCGCCAGCTCCGGGCGCTCTCGCAGGATGCCATAAGCGTTCACCAGCTGCTCGGTCAGCGCAGGGTGCACCCGCCCGTTGTAGCCCAGACTCTGCAGCCTGTTCATGACGCTCACATAGCGCTGTGTGAGCCTCTGGCACAGCTTCTCATCCAGCTTGTGGTCACTGGGGTTCAGGGAAGCCTGTGGGGACAGCGGCCATCAGGGACCCTCCCTTGCCACACCTCCACACACAGGCAGGTAAGGGGAAGACCGAGGGGCAGGTGAGGCTGTGAGATGGCCAGGATCCGAGGGGTGTGCGGTGGGGAGGTTCTGCGACAGACCTCAAGAATCTAGGACAGGGGAACCCAGTGGGCAGAGCCTGACAGGTCTCCAAGGCCTGATCCGGGCAGGGCAGGTGGCTCTCAAAGCTCCCCAGTAGGGCCTCAGCCACAGGGTGGAAGAGGATGCCCCAACCCTGTCGTCTGCTCCACGCACCACCAGGGAGTGCAACTGGGCTGAGGCCTCCAGGGACTGAGGGCAGGGGGCGTGGCTAGGCATCTGGAGGTGCACAGGGTCCCCTGACCCAGGAGTCTGGGGTCTTTCCCAGGCCTCCTCCTGGCTCCGTGCTCTGCTCCCTTTCAGCGTCTGAAGGCCACCCCCTTCCTTACCCTGGCCTCCATCCTCAGCACCCTCTAGCCTGCACACCCCCTAGGGGACTCCCTTTCCTCCCCCATCACTGAACTGACAACCCCAGGCAAGTGTTGGCCCCAGCGCTGAGGGGCCTGTCTCCATCTGCGTCCTCCTGGGCCTGGGGCCAGGGCCAGGGCCTGGGAACCAGCACATCTGGGTCAGTTTCCACTCACTTCCTCATGCCCTGTGTCCTCCCACCAGCCAGGCAGTGACTGGCTCCCGCCCTAAGGCATGTAATCATGAAGGCAGCCCCTCCCACTCAGCCTGCCGCTGCCCCCTGGATGTGTGACCTGGGCAGTTGTGGGAAGCCCAGTGCCCAGCTCAATGCGCTGTTGGCACCATCCTGAAGTTCTAAGTTTTGAATTATTTTCATTTTGCACTGGGCCCTGCCAGTCTTGCAGCCTGTCACAGGTGCAGCTGCCCCTGCCTCCAGGCTTGGCCCTGCCCGCTCTCTGCACAGGCCCACAGAGCCACGGGTCTAAAGTGGAGTTGGGTGGGCTATCCCCTGCCCAAGCTCCTCCTGCAGTTTCCGCTGCTCCAACACTTGGGGGAGGGCCACCCTCCAGTGTCCCCCCATCTGTCCCTGCACCCCTCTTCCAGCTATGTCCTGCTGTGTCCCAGATGGCTGACGTGGTGGTCCCCAACCTGCAGGGAATACTCTTCCCTACTCCTTGCCCACACAAGCTGTTCAGGCACCACCCCTCGGGGAAGGCTCCAGGCGCAGGGTACCAGTCTTGGGGCTGGACTCAGGACCGGGCCCGGTTAATGTGACGTCAACCTCTGCTAAGTGCTCCCAGAGCCTGCGCTCAGCACCCCTGTTGCCTGGGACGTGCCTGGGATGCGCCTGTCTCTCCCCAGCTGGAGGTTCTTGGCTCCTGAGCCTTCTAGGCAAACGAGTAATATGCACAGTTGTGGGGGGCAGGAAGACACCATTGAGGTTCAGCGCAAGAGTGAGGGCCCGTGGACAGCCGTGCTCAACGGCTGCTTCTGCATCACACTGGGACTGAGCCTCAGTTTCCCTGCTGGGATGGGAAGGAAATCACAGTGCCTCCTGCAGGAGTGTACTGGGGGTTACAGGCAGCGGCCCCAGTGAGCACTGAGCACCAGGGCACGCAGGGGCCCCCACCTTGGGGGATGGCAGTGCACTCACATCTCAATGCAGCGAGTTGTGTCTTTTTGTTGTTGTTTTGAGACGGAGTCTCGCTGTGTTGCCCAGGGTGGAGTGCAGTGGTTCGATCTCAGCTCACTGCAACCTCCGCCTCCCGGGTTCAAGCAATTCTTCTGCCTCAGCCTCCCAAGTAGCTGGGATTACAGGCGTATGCCTCCACGCCCAGCTAATGTTTTTGTATTTTTAGTAGAGACGGGGTTTCATCACATTGGCCAGGCTGGTCTCAAACTCCTGACCTCAGGTGATCTGCCCGCCTCGGCCTCCCACAGTGCTGGGATGACAGGCGTGAGCCACCATGCCTGGCTGAGGTGTGTCAGTTGTGTCTTACAAATATCACCCTGTCTTAAAAATATTCCTTCAAGGGCCGGGCTTGGTGGCTCACGCCTGTAATTCCAGCACTTTGGGAGGCTGAGGCGGGCGGATCACGAGGTCAGGAGATCAAGACCATCCTGGCGAACACTGTGAAACCCCGTCTTTACTAAAAATGCAAAAAAAAAAAAATTAGCTGGGCGTGGTGGCGGGCGCCTGTAGTCCCAGCTACTTGGGAGGCTGAGGCAGGAGAATGGCGTGAACCCGTGGCGTGGAGCTTGCAGTGAGCCAAGATCGCGCCAATGCACTCCAGCCCGGGCGACAGAGCGAGACTCCATCTCAAAAAAAAAAAAAAATTCCTTCAAGGAATAGGGAAGGCAGGGCATCCAAGATGCTCAACTATGAGGCCAAGGTCTGGGTGGGGAGATTGCAAGGCAGTACCACCTTCTCTCTGCTCCCCTGTTCCCAGAGCATGCATCACCTCTATTATTGATGTATTGCTTTACGCATTTACTGAATGCCTCCCCAGGAGAGTGGATTGACTCAGGACTGCCTGGTGTACACCTGGCTCGATACTAGTCAGGAGTGAGTGAGTGCAGGGGGAAGGTGGCTGTGGACCAGGGAGCAGGTGACAGCAGTTTGGACCAGCGGAAGGTGTGAAGGATGAGAGAAGTGAGCAGCAGGAGAGTCTGTAGGACCCAGTGTCAATGGGATGTGGAGGAGTGCACACGTGACCGTGTCCACACCGTCCTCCAAGGCGTGTGCCCGTGCTCAGCACCCAGGCCTTTCCTATGCAGCACTCGGGACACTGCCACGGACGGGCTCCACGGCAAGTGAGTGGCAGCAGGTGTCACAGAATCTCTGTCTGAACACAGGGTGGGCGCATTACAAATCAATCCAAAGACAGCCAAAAACCCCTGTGAAAGTTGCTGGTATCAAAATAGTCACTTATGTAAAAAAAAAAAAAAAAAAAAATGTAGTCCATAGGCCAGTGCAGTGGCTCGTACCTGGAATCCCAGCACTTTGGGAGACCGAGGCAGGTGGATCACTTGAGCCCAGGAGTTCAAGGTTAGTCTGGGCAACACAGTGAGAGTTCATCTCTATAAAAAATTTAAAGCTGGGCGAGGCCAAGGCAGGCGGATCACAAGGTCAGGAGTTCGACACCAGCCTGACCAACATGATGAAACCCCGTCTCTCCTAAAAATACAAAAATTAGCCGGGCCTGGTGGTGTGTGCCTGTAATTCGAACTACTTGGGAGGCTGAGGCAGGAGAATCGCTTGAACTTGGGAGACGGAGGTTGCAGTGAGCCAAGATCTGGCCTCTGCACTCTAGCCTGGGTGACAGAGCAAAAAAAAAAAAATGTAAGGCTGGGCACCGTGGCTCACGCCTGTAATCCCAGCACTTTTGGAGGCAGAGGCAGGCAGATCACTTGAGGCAGGGAGTTTGAGACCAGCCTGGCCAACATGGCAAAACCCCATCTCTACCAAAAAAATACAAAAATTAGCCGGGTGTGGTGGCGGGTGCCTGTAATCCCAGCTACTTGAGAGGCTGAGGCAGGAGAATTGCTTGAACCCAGGTGGCGGAGGCTGCAGTGAGCTGAGATTGTACCACTGCACTCCAGCCTGGGTGACAAGAGCAAGACTCTGTCTCAAAAAAAAAAAAAAAAAAATAGCCAGGTGTGTTGGTGCATGCCCGTAGTCCCAGTTAGCAGAGAGGCTGAGATGGGAGGGCCACTGGAGTGAACCATAATTATGCCACTACACTCCAGCCTGGGCGACAGAGTGTGACCCCATCTTAAAAAAAATTGCAATAGGGAAAGGCCGTGAAGAAGTCCTCTCGCACACAGGCCTGTAACAGGATTTATCACAAAAACGTCCTCAAGAGTGCAGGATTCCAAGACACTGCTTGCTCAGGGCCACTCGCCTAGCAGTGGCCTTCACCAATGAACAAGGCCACTGCAGTGAGCTTCTGTGACCTCTAAACTTGGTTTCAAGACAGCTTACATGGACGCCTGTGTCTTTAAAAGCTTCCCTTTCGGGGCCGGGCGCGGTGGCTCACGCCTGTCATCCCCGCACTTTCGGAGGCTGAGGCGGACGGATCACCTGAGGTTGGGAGTTTGAGACCAGCCTGGCCAACATGGAGAAACCCCGTCTCTACTAAAAATACCAAAAAGTTAGCCGGGCATGGTGGTTCATGCCTGTAATCCCAGCTATTTGGGAGGCTGAGGCAGGAGAATTGCTTGAACCCAGGAGGCAGAGGTTGTGGTGATCCGAGATCGCACCATTGCACTCCAGCCTGGGCGACAAGAGCAAAACACCAACTCAAAAAAAAAAAAAAAAAAAAAAAAATATATATATATATATATATATATATATTAGCTGGGCGTGGTGGCGTAAACCTGTGGTCCCAGCTACTTGACAGGCTTGAACCCCCAGGAGTTTCATGGTTGCAGTGAGCTAGGATCACGCCACTGTACTCCAGCCTGGGCTGTGTCAAAAAAAGAGGCTGGGGCAGCAGAATCGTTTGAATTGAGAGGCAGAGGTTGCAGTGAGCTGGGTACATACACTGTTGTGTACTCTTTTTCTTTTTCAGGTGGAGTCTTGGTTTGTTGCCCAGGCTGGAGTGTAATGGCTCAATCTCAGCTCACCCTGGGCAGGTGACAGAGCGAGAGTCCATCTGAAAACAAACAAACAAAATCCCACACACACAAAACTAACCCAAGGATGCTTTAACCAGAGGCAAAGCTCCAACCTGGACCCACGCAGCTCACAGTAGCTCCCGCTTAGGCTACACACAGGCCTGCAATCCACAGATAAACACAGCTGGAGAGAAAAAGCAGCCGGGAATGCAGCTGGGCTGTTTTCTCAAGAGAAGCCCAAGTGGTAAGTAGGGATGCAGCCGCCCTCCCTGCCCAGCAGCCGCACACCCCCAACCGAGCTTCCCCGTGCCTTCTACAGCCTGCCACACGCATGGCACAGACGCACACTCCGGCATGCTGGCAAAGCATCATCCTCCAAGTGCGTCCACAGAGGAGGCCATCCTGGTGGCAAAGGGGGAGAGCCGCCCGACCATGCTGAAAACCCCCACCTCGCCTTCCTCTGAGGAGACCGTGGGCTCCCACTGCCAGATGCCCCAACACCTGCAGGCCGTTGGCACTGAGCAGTCAGCTTCCTCTATCCCAGGGACTCCTCAGGTCCTGGCAAGTTTGGCCTGGCCAGAGTGCAGGGTCCCCACGGCCCCTCATGGGCCAACCTGCCCCCTGTCCCTGCAGGACCCCTGGCCGCACACCTGGATGATCTTCTCTGGGATGTTGGAGACAGTGAAGCCGTAGAGCCGTACGCGCTCTGGGAAGATGCTGGACAGGATCCTGCGGTCCAGCTGGAAGGCAATCTCACCCACCAGCCTCTCCCAGGCCAGCTGCTTCGACTCTGGGGACACAGGGTCTCGTCAGCCCAGGTGAGAGGGTGAGAGGAGCTGGGCTCAGCAGCCCAGGCAGGCGGCAGGGAGAGGGCCTGGGGGCCCGACCCGCGTGGAGCCCGCAGTGTCACTGACCTCGGGGGTTCTCGGGGAACTTGCTGGTCTTGCGGTGGGCCAGCTTCCGTTCCACCTCCATCATGCTCTTCGTCGACGGTTCTGTGGTGCGTGGACCTCGAGAGTCATTGACTGAAGCCGGGGAGGATGAGGTACGAGGTGGGGAGTGGGCGTTGTGTGGAGGACAGTGGGGGACAGGCAGGTTCTGGGTTGGGGAATTATGCATTCGGGAAGGGGGATGGGGGGCACCCTGGGCGATGTGGGTGGTGCTTGAGGGTGTGTAGCTGGTGGCAACCTGGGGGGCAAGGGCGGGGGCAGAGGCAAGGACGGTGACCGTGGGGGAGGTGGTGGGGGAGGTGGGGACAGATGCAGGGACCACTTGTTCCTGGGCGGCACTGGGCTGGGCCTGTGTGTCCGAAGTGTTGAAGGAGAAGGCCGTCTTGGGAGCAGGTGTGCCCATGGCTCCGATAGGGGTGGAGGTCTGGAGGGGTGCTCCTGCAAACGCCATGCTGAGAGGCTCTGGGTCCTGGGTCGACTGGGGGGGCTCAGTGGAGAGTGGGACTAGTGATGTGGAGGGAACAGAAATAAAAAAAGGGGGATTAGAGTGAGGTGGGAGGGCTCTGCCCCCCCCCACTCTGCCACCCACCACCCACCACACCTGTTACCTTTGGTGGTGGCAGTGGGTACCACGCAAGCTGGGGACTGGGGCCCAGTGGGGCCTCCGCGGAGTGGCTCAGCCAGCCGCAGCCTTGGGGCCTCTGGCAGGACCAGGTTGCTCATGGGGTTGGCCAGCAGGTTCTGAGAGACCCCTGGTGGGGTGGCAGTGGAGCTGAGGAGGGGGCTGCTCAGAGAGACAGCCACCGTGCCCATCACAGGGGCTATCAGGGGGCTGCTCTGGGACATGGCCACAGGGCCTGCCACGAGGCTGCTGGGAGTCAGGGTGCCAGTGGAGGGCAGGCCCAGGGAACTGGCCAGTGTGCCTGTTAGGGGTCCCGCAATGGGACTGGTCAGGAAGCTGGTGAGGGGGCTGCTCTGTGACGTGGGTGCTGGGCCAGACAGCAGCGTGCTGAGGGTGCCTGTCAGGGGGCTCATGAGTGAGCCCGGTGTGGCGCTGGGCTGCAAGCTGGTTAGCATCTCGGCCAGGGGTGCCAAGGCCATGATCCCCACTTCTTCGAGGACTCGTTCGTTTGCCACTGCTGGGGACGGGGGCAGGAAGACACCTGGGAACACAGAGAAAGCACTGAGACCCCAGGGGAGCCCCTCCAGACCACGGCGAGGGTGGTCACAGGCTCTGTCACTGTGGTAGGGCCTGGCCATAGTGCCCATCTGTCCCCGATGAGCTGACTGGTCCGACCTGGTCTCTGAGCCTCACTTCTTAGGCAGGCCAGGGTGGTGGCGTCTCTGCCTCTGTGGGGAGTCTGTGTCTGCTCAGAGGAGCCTGGGAGTGGCTCCCCAAGGCCTCATCTCCAGCCCTGATTTTTGGGTCAGTTCTCCCAGGCTCACTTCTCTGACCACTTGCCCACTGCCCCCAGCCATGGGGACGTCCCGCTGCCCTTTCCTCAACCGTGCCCACCCCTTGCCCAGCAGAGGGTCTCCAAGCAGCTGGATTCTCAGGTCACCAAGTTGGCCCCTCTGTTCTTCGGTGGAGAGAAGAGGGCCCAGGCCTCCTGACCACTGTCTTTGTGGTGGGGGCTCCTCAGGGGGTCCGTGCTGCAATGGGCAGAGCCTCACGTGGCCCGGCACCCTTGCATGGTCCCTGCCCTGTGGGGCTTGCTGTGGCCTAAACAGGGATGCAGGTCAGAGCTGGTCACACACCCTGGTCCCAGACACTGCTTTATGCTCTCTCCCTGCCCCTGAGAGCCTGCTTTCCTTGGTCCTGGAGGAGTGCTCCTTTTTCTGGCCACTGTTTCGGGGAGAAGCCCCCTGATCCCCGGGGATGCAGCTGCTGGCAGTAGTGGTGGGAGTGCAGAGAAGGTTTTTGTGAGTATGCAATTTCATTGAGAACTTCCACTTTTGTTGTTATAAATGCAGTACATGCTTATTATAGAGAAAGAATGGAAATACAGAAAAAAAAGATGAAAAGCCACAGATAGTTCCATCATCCCACAGTTAGTCTCTATTGAGGAGCTGCGTGTTGCCTTGGAGACCTTCTCTACCGTGCGTATATAGCTCAGGAGTTGGCAAGCATTTTCTGTGAAGGTCTGGAGGTAAATACTTCCACCTTTGCCAGCTATATGGTCTCTGTTGCAACCGCTCAAGCCTGCCGTTGCCTTCAGAAGGCAGCCACGGGCAACCCGGAGGTGAATGAGGGAGGGTGTATGGCAACAAACCTTTATGGATGAATACGACATTTTGGATTTCATGGGTCATGTAATAGTAGTCTTCTTTTAACCATTTAAAAATGTAAAATTCAACCGCCTGAGCCCAGGAGTTCCAGACCGGCCTGCTCAATATGGAGAGACCATGTCTCTACAAAAAACACAAAAATTAGCTGGGCCTGGTGGCACACACCTGTAGTCCCAGCTACTCGGGAGGCTGAGGTGGGAGGATCATTTGAGCCCGGGAGGTTGAGGCTGCAGTGAGCTATGATTGCACTGTGATCGTGCCACTGCACTCCAGCCTGGGTGACAGAGTGAGACCCCATCTCAAAATAATAATTTTAAAGAAGTAAAATTCATGCGGTTTTTTTTTTTTTTGAGACAGAGTCTCGCTCTGTTGCCCAGGCTGGAGTGCAGTGGCACAATCTCGGCTCACTGCAACCTCTGCCTCCCGGGTTCAAGCGATTCTCCTGCTCCAGCCTCCTGAGTAGCTGGGACTACAGGTGTGTGCCACCAGGCCCAGCTAATTTTTGTATTTTTAGTAGAGACGGGGTTTCACCATGTTGACCAGGATGGTTTTGATCTCTTGACCTCATGATCTGCCTGCCTGGGCTTCCCAAAGTACTGGGATTACAGGCATGAGCCACTGCACCTGGCTGTAAAAATCAATTTTTTTTTTTTTTTTGAGACAGAGTCTCACTGTCGCCCAGGCTGGAGTGCAGTGGTGCGATCTCGGCTCACTGAAGGCTCCGCCCCCCGGGGTTCACGCCATTCTCCTGCCTCAGCCTCGCGTAGCTGGGATTACAGGCGCCCGCCACCTCGCCCGGCTAATTTTTTGTATTTTTAGGAGAGACAGGGTTTCACCGTGTTAGCCAGGATGGTCTTGATCTCCTGACCTCATGATCTGCCCGCCTTGGCCTCCCAAAGTGCTGGGATTACAGGCGTGGCCACCGAGCCCGGCCAAAATTCATTCTTTTTTTTTTTTTTTAATTAATCTATTTATTTTTATTGATCATTCTTGGGTGTTTCTCGCAGAGGGGGATTGGGCAGGGTCATAGGACAATAGTGGAGGGAAGGTCAGCAGATAAACAAGTGAACAAAGGTCTCTGGTTTTCCTAGGCAGAGGACCCTGCGGCCTTCCACAGTGTTTGTGTCCCTGGGTACTTGAGATTAGGGAGTGGTGATGACTCTTAACGAGCATGCTGCCTTCAAGCATCTGTTTAACAAAGCACATCTTGCACCCCCCTTAATCCATTCAACCCTGAGTGGACACAGCGCATGTTTCAGAGAGCACAGGGTTGGGGGTAAGGTCACAGATCAACAGGATAAGAATTTTTCTTAGTACAGGCAAAATGAAAAGTCTCCCATGTCTACCTCTTTCTACACAGACACGGCAACCATCCGATTTCTCAATCTTTTCCCCACCTTTCCCCGCTTTCTATTCCTCAAAACCGCCATTGTCATCATGGCCCGTTCTCAATGAGTTGTTGGGTACACCTCCCAGACGGGGTGGTGGCCGGGCAGAGGGGCTCTTCACTTCCCAGTAGGGGCGGCCGGGCAGAGGCGCCCCTCACCTCCCGGGCGGGGCGGCCGGCTGGGCGGGGGGCTGACCCCCCCACCTCCCTCCCGGACGGGGCGGCCGGCTGGGTGGGGGGCTGACCCCCCCACCTCCCTCCCGGACGGGGCGGCTTGCCGGGCGGGGGTCAGCCCCCCGCCCAGCCGGCCGCCCCTACTGGGAAGTGAGGAGCCCCTCTGCCCGGCCAAAATTCATTCTTAACAGGCTGTGTACAAAGGTGGTGGTGGCATAGATCACATATCCTTTTGTACCTTGCCACTTGTCACGGGACACACACCATAGCAGCTCCGGCATCATGATTCTTTGCAAATGGTGCTATTGTAGCTGCGGAGGCCTCATCTTACGGACGTGCTATTTTTTTACTGAGCCTATCTCAGTGGATGGGCATTTCAATCGATTCCCGTGTTCCCTGATGACAAACACCCTATTACGTAAGTCTTGATGATTGATTTTTTTCCTGGAAATAGACATTTTACAGGCTCCCTTGGAAGTGTTCTGATGTTCCCCAGGAAGTCTCTGAGTGCACTACTTCTATCTCTTCAGAGCTAATCCTCTGTGATGTGTGGTGAGATGTTCTGCCACTTTATTTGCCTTTTGAATTCTAAGTTCTGGGCCGGGTGTGGTGGTTCGTGCCTGTAATCCCAGCACTTTGGGAGGCTGAGATGGGCAGATTGCTTGAGTTCAGGAGTTCGAGACCAGCCTGGGCAACATGGTGAAACTCCGTCTCTACAAAAAATCCAAAAATTAGCCGGGTATGGTGGTGTGCACCTGTAGTCCCAGCTACTTGGGAGGCTGAGGTGGAGGATCACCTGATCCCAGGAGGTTGGGGCTGTGGTGAGCCGTGATCGTGCTACTGCACTCCAGTCTGAGTGACGGCATGAGATCCTGTCTCATAAAAACCCAAAACCTTCTAAGTTCCGCTTTCCAAACAAGTAAATCAAAATTGCACAATCCAGTCAGCTGCTCTTTTACTTATGTATTTATTTTTAGTTTTAGAGATGGGAATCTAACTCTGTCGCCCAAGCTGGTCTCAAACTCCTCAAGCAATCCTCCTGCCTCAGCTTCCTAAAATGATGAGATTATAGTTGCGAGCCACCACTCCCAGCCTGGTCTTTTATGATTTCTTGTTCTGACTTTTTAGAAAGTTTTGTTTTAGGACCCAGGAGACAATAAAGCTTGTGGGCCAAAGGCAAGCAGTCCATGGAGAGGACAGACGTGAAGGAGAGGGAGCACAGAGTGGGGCAGACAGAGGGATGGGCTGCATGTGCTGAGGTGGAGGATGGAGCTCAGAGTGCGGCTGTCTGTCCTGCTTGGCCTCCAATTCCTTAGGAGAGCCCAGGGTCTGGGTGATGTGGGAAAGGACCACTTGGGGGCAACATCTCCAGGATGACTGGGGAGAGGCAGTCAGGGGCCACTGTCCCCGCACAGCCAGGGCAGCCTAAGGAGCGCCGGTGGTCCTAATGTTTGAAGCAGCCAGGTCAGGTGAGAAGACAGGACAAATGTTTCCTCTTGCCGCCTACTCTGGGAAGGTGGCCGCTGTGGAGGGGCCAGCCGGTCAGGGCTGAGAGAGGGCACAGCACTGGACAGGCCATGGTCTCGTCCCCAGAGGGAAATGGCCCGGTCTGTTTTTCGACCAAGTTGGATTCCAGGCAGGACCATCACGTAGCACACAGAAGGTAACTGAGGGAGCAATTCACAGAAAGTCTAACACCAAAATGTATAAAGCAGAAGCCACGGGGACTCCCAGGAGGCGCTGGAGTGGTAGCTTTGTCAAGGTCCAGGACAGAAGGAACAATGGCGCCGACACAGATGGTGGGATTACAAAGCCAGTCTACTGTCTGATGTGCTGCTGCACACTGAGAGGGTGGTGTGGCTGCCGTGAGCTGGGTGCTATTGGTACCCTCTACCCCTCACCCAATACAGTAAGTGCTACCCACTTTCTTCCCATGCTGCCCTCATCCTGCTAGGAACGAGGGCTCCAGGGAAGGCCAAGTACAGATCAGAGACAGAAGCATGTGGACAGAGTTGATGGGGGAGGGCAGGCGGGCCTGGGGAGGAGGGCCTGTGAGAGCAGGGGGCAGATGCCAGGCCTCAGAAAGACCCATCCTGTTTGTCTGTTAATGATAAAACCTTGGCACAACAAACCACGGAAAAATTGTTCAGCAAATCATGAAATGTTCAAATGTATAATAGCTTGATGTGAAATCATTTACAGTACTATTTGTAAAGAAAATATGAGAACACAATGAAATGCTTATAGTAAATATTAAAATTGTTACATCAAGTGTAGGAATGTGGATTAAAAGCTGAGAGTTGCCAGGCGCAGTGTTTCACACCTGTAATCCCAGCACTTTGGGAGGCCGAGGCAGGTGGATCACGAGGTCAGGAGATTGAGACCAGCTTGGCCAACATGGTGAAACCCCGTCTCTACTAAAAATACACAAAATTAGTCAGGTGTGTTGGTGTGTGCCTATAGTCCCAGGTACTCGGGAACCTGGGGCAGGAGAATCGCTTGAACCCTGGACTCGGAGGTTGCAGTGAGCCAAGAGTGTGGCATTCCACTCCAGCCTGGTGACAGAGTGAGGCTCCGTCTAAAAATAAATAAATAAATAAATAAAAGCTGAGAGTTGCATTCTCCACTCTGAAAAAGAGGTGGGTAAATACTCCCCATGTGTCTGGTGGTGACCTTTAAGGGGTGTATGTAAATGTCAAGTTAATTTTTTTTCTTCTTTATATTTTCATGTACATTCTAAAATTTTCACAATATGAGTATGTATTTTAAAAAACAAACTTTATGAAGAAAAGTGTTTTCTAAAAAAAAAAAAAAATGCATTTCTGCCTGGTTTTGTCTTGAGACCAGGAGGGGCCACAGCCCTGCTCACACTTAGCAAACAAAGCCAGGCCCTTACGGGCAAGGCTAGTCCAGGGGTGGCCCAGCCTCATGTGGAGAGGGATCTGTGCTTCCTTCCCAGCCTGTGCTATGGAGGCCCGTGCATGCCCAGTCCTCTTGGTGGCACCTTTGGCTTCCCTGTCCTCCAGCACTCCCTCTACAACATGCGCCTCCCCAGGAGCCCTCCTGCCTTCCCTGGCCAATGCTGGGCCTTTGTGGTCAACTGGGCAGGGCCCTGTAAACAGGCCAACTGCAGAAGAGGGAGGGGAAGAACTCAGATTGATAGAAGTAAAGGTTAGGCCCTGAAAAATAAGAGATTTTCAAACCCAAGTGGCCTGGCTGCATCCCGCCAGCACGAATGCAACCTCAGCTCTTTCAGGTAGAGCAGGGAGCCCAAGGACTATCTCCCCATCAGGATTCCTTGCCGTCTCCTTCCTTTTCAGGTGGGATTTGCCTGCCAGTGCTGAATAGTGATGTGGTCCCCTTTCCCAAGTCCCTGTGCCTCTGCTGGTGGTGATTCCCAACATATTTCAGCATGGACTGAGAAAAGCCAATGTTAGCATAAAACCAAACCCCACATGAGGCTCTGGAGACACAAAGTCACTGAGGCCAGTGCATGCCACCCACATCAGTCTGCAGGGCCAGTCACATCTGCTTTCACTGCCCATGGGTAAGGATGTGTGTGCTGCATTTGTCTTTCCCTTTGGACTCAAACTAGCCAGACAGGTAGCAACTGAAAATGGAGGATTAGAGAGCTCCACAATTTCAGCCCTCCACCAAAGCTACGATTAAGCTGGCAAAAATGATCAGAGTAAACTTTTTTTGGGTCTCCAGAATCTAATAAAAATCTTACAATAACCAGGGGAATGCTTAATGAGGAAGCTACTAAATTTTGGGAGGAAAACATAGGCATTTTAACTTTTCTTTCTTTCTTTTTTTTTTTTTGAGACGGAGTCTCGCTCTTGTTGCCCCAGGCTAGAGTGCAATAGCACTATCTCAGCTCACTGCAACCTCCTCCTCCCGGGTTCAAACGATTCTCCAGTCTCAGCCTCCCAAATAGCTGGGATTACAGGTGCGTGCCACCATGCCCAGCTAACTTTTTTGTATTTTTAGTAGAGACAGAGTTTCACCATGTTGGCCAGGCTGGTCTCGAACTCCTGACCTCAGGTGATCCGCCTGCCACGGTCTCTCAAAGTGCTGGGATAACAGGCGTGAGCCACTGTGCCCAGCCTAACTTTTGTTTCATGCCATGTAATTTTTTTTTTTTTTTTTTGCTGTTTGTTGAAAACTGGACATTTGAAATATTATAGTTTGGTAACCCTGGAAATGAGATTCACCTCCTCCCCAGGCTTTGCTATTGCTGCTTGTTGTGGGTCGTAGTTGGTCGTTGTTTAGTGACTTTTCTAAACTGCTTTTATAAAGACCGTATTCTTTGTTGTGTGTGCTCATGGAAATCCCTATCTGTGCATATGACACACAGAAGTCACTATCCTCACAGACACCTAATATCTCCCACTCTGTGCATCAGTGATGGCCATAAGGTTGGCGGTCTGCCTTCCTGGTGTGGCTTGCTCGCATGAGGGGGAGCAATATGGACAAAAATTACAATATTTTGCAGAAAACAGTTTAGAAAAGTCACTAAACAAACAAGTATGACCCATAACAAGCAGCAATAAACCCTGGGGAGGGAGGAATAATCTTATTTCCAGAGTCACCACGTTATAATATTTAAAATGTCCAGTTTTCAAAAAGCTAAAAAGCATTCAAAATGCCAGGTGGGGTGGCTCAGGTCTGTAATCCCAGCACTTTGGGAGGCTGAGGTGGGCAGATCATGAGGTCAAGAGATCGAGACCATCCTGGCTAACATGGTGAAACCCTGTCTCTACTAAGAATACAAAAATTAGCTGGGCATGGTGGCGGGCACCTTTAGTCCCAGCAACTCGGGAGGCTGAGGCAGGAGAATGGTGTGAACCCGAAAGGCGGAGATTGCAGTGAGCCAAGATCGTGCCACTGCACTCCAGCCTGGGTGACAGAGCAAGACTCCATCTCAAAAAATAAAATAAAATAATAAAAAATACCATAACTAAATTGAAAAATTCACGAGAGGGATTCAACCGATCTGGGCAGGCAGAAGAATGAATCAACAAACTTGAAACTAAATCCATGGAGATTATCCAGTTTCAGGAATAGAAAGAAAAATGAATAAAGCCTAAGAGACCTCTGGGACACCATCAAGCATAGCAACATACTCTAATAGAAGTCCTGGAAGGAGAAAGAGAGACGATAAAGAGAAAGGAGCAGAAAAAAAAAATATTTGTAGAAATCGACCAGGCATGGTGGCTTACACCTGTAATCCCAGCACTTTGGAAGGCAAAGGTGGGCAGATCGCTTGAGCCCAGGAGTTCAAGACCAGTCTGGGCAACATGGCCAAAACCTGTCTCTACCAAAAATACGAAAAATTAGCCGGATGTGATGGCACATGCCTGTGGTCCTAGCTACTCAGGAAGCTGAGGTGGGAGAATTGCTTGAGCCTGGGAGGTGGAGGCTGCAGTGAGCCAAGATCATGCCGCTACATGATGGGTGACAGAGTGAGACCCTGTCTTCAGAAAAAAAAAAAAAAAGAAAGAAAGAAAAAAAAAGAAAAAGAAAAAATAGTTGAAGAAATAATGTCTGAAAATTTTCTAAATTTAGTGAAAGATATGGATCCACATATCAAAGAAACTCAGTGAACTCCAAGTAGAATAAACTCATAGAGATTTTCACTGAGATACATTACAATCAGACAGTTGAAAGACAGAATCTTTGAGGCCAGAGGATCGCTTGAGGCCAGGAGTTCAAGACCAGCCAGGGCAACGTAGTGAGACCCTATCTCTCTAAAAAAAAAAAAAAAAAAAGAAAAAAAAATCTTGATAGCAGCAAGAGAGAAGTGACTCATCATGTACAAGGGATCCTCTATAAGATTAACAGCAAAATTTTCATCAGAAACTATGAAGGCCAGAAGGTAGTGGTTTGACATATTTAAGCTGTTGAAAGTAAAAAGATCAAAGAAGA
Organism: Homo sapiens; assembly: GCF_000001405.40. Taxonomy (NCBI): domain Eukaryota; kingdom Metazoa; phylum Chordata; class Mammalia; order Primates; family Hominidae; genus Homo; species Homo sapiens. Next base: position 144,031,293 of record NC_000008.11, on the reverse strand, counting down.
ATTCTATATTCCATAAAACTATCCTTCAAAGATGAATGAGGAATTAAGACATTCCCAGATAAACAAAAGCTGAGGGGATTTATTGCCAGTAGACCTGCCCACAAGAAATGCTAAAGGGAGTCCTTTAGGCTGAAATGAAAGGAAACTAGACAGTAACTAGAAGCCATATGAAAAAATAACACCAATGGAGGTAACTACATATGCTGATGTCAAAGCCAGTATTATTGTATTTTTGGTTTGTATCTCCCATTTTTCCTATATGACTTAAAAGACAAATGTATAAAACAATGATTATAAATATATGCTAGTGTGCACATACTGTATAAAGATGTAACTTGTGACAATAATAACATAAAGGGGGAGGACAGAGTTATATATTATTTATATACTGTATGTATATTTTGCATACTATTAAAGCTAAGTTGCTATTAATTTGAACTAGACTGTTATAAATTTAAGATGTTTATTGTGACCCCCAGGGTAACCACTAAGAAAATAACTTTAAAATGTACAGGAAAAAAAAAGTAGGAGAAGGAATCAAAATGGTATACTAGAAAAAATTAATTAAACACAGAAGACAATAAAAGATACACTGAGGGGAAAAAAGACATAAGACATGCAGAAAATAAACAGCAGGCCAGGCATGGTGGCTCATGCCTGTAATCACAGCACTTTGGGAGGCTGAGGCGGGTGGATCACCTGGTGTCAGGAGTTCAAGACCAGCCTGGCCAGCATGGTGAAATCCAGTCTCTACTAAAAATAGAAATATTAGCCAGGCGTGGTGGCTGATGCCTGTAATCCCAACTACTCAGGAGGCGGAAGCAGGAGAATTGCTTGAACCCAGGAGGCGGAGGCTGCAGTGAGCTGAGACGTGCCACTGCACTCCAGCCTGGGTGAAAGAGTGAGACCCTGTCTCAATACATACATACATACATACATACATACACAGCAATGTGGCAGAAATAGTGCTTTCTTATCAGGAATTCCTTTAAATAGAGTAAAATAGGCAGTCAAAAGGTAAGAGATTGGCAGAATGGATAAAACAGTCAACCAAAAAACACTCCCATGTTCCTATTATATGCTGCCTAAAAGAGACTCACTTTAGATCGAAAGACACACATAGATTGAAAGTGAAGGGGTAAAAAAAGATATTCCATGCAAATAGTAATCAAAAGAGAGCTGGGTGGCTATACTGATATCGGACAAAATAGACTTTAAATCAAAAATTGTTACAAAAGGCAAAGAAGAACATTATATATTAATAAAAGTTTCAGTACAATAAAATGTAACAATGATTAACATTCATGCACTTAATAACAGATCCGGAAAATATATAAAGCAGAAATGGACAGAATCAAAGTCAGAAATAGACCGTTCTACAATAATAGTTGGAGACCCCACTTTCGGTAGTGGATAGAACCGGACAGAAGATCAGTAAGGATATAGAGAACTCAAACCTTTCTATAAACCAACTAGCTCTAATGGACATATACAAAACACTTCCCTCCAACAACAGTAGAATATACATTATTCTCAAGGGAACATGAAACATTCTCCAGGATGGATCACAAAAAAAGGTCTCTAAGTTTTAAAATATTGAAATCATATAAAGTATCTTCTCTGACCATAAGAATGAGACTAGAAATCAATAACAGATGGAAATCTGTAAAATTCACAACTGTGGAAATGAAACAACACACTCTTTATTTTTATTTGTATTGTTTTTGAGACGGAGTTTTGCTCTTGTCACCCAGGCTGGAGTGCAGTGGTGCGCTCTCGCCTCACTGCAACCTACACCTCCCAGGTTCAAGTGATTCTCCTGCCTCAGCCTCCCGAGTAGCTGGGATTACAGGCACACACCACACTTGTCAGATTTTTGTATTTTTAGTAGAGATGGGGTTTCAACATGTTGCCCAGGCTGGTCTCAGAACTCCTGACCTCACGTGATCTGCCCAACTCGGCCTCCCAAAGTGCTGGGATTACAGGCGTGAGCTACCGCGCCTGGCCCTGTACCAACTGATTTTTGGCAAGTGTGCAAAGACAATTCAATGGGAGAAAATCTTTTTTTTTTTTTTTTTTTTTTTTTTTTTTAGTTCTGGGGTACATGTGTAGGATGTGCAGGTTTGTTACATAGGTAAATGTGTGCCACAGTGGTTTGCTGTACCTATCAACACATCACCCAAGTATTAAGCCCAGCATACATTAGCTATTTTTCCTGATGCTCTCCCTCCCCCAACCCCTCCGACAGGCCACAGTGTGTGTTGCTCTCCTCCCTGTGTCCATGTGTTCTCATTGTTGAGCTCCCATTTGTGAGTGAGAACATGCAGTGTTTGGCTTTCCTGTTCCTGGGTTAGTTTGCTGAGGATAATGGCTTCTAGCTCCATCCATGTCCCTGCAAAGGACATGATCTTATCCCTTTTTATGGCATAATATTCCATGGTATATATGTACCACATTTTCTTTATCCAGTCTATCATTGGTGGGCATTTTGGTTGATTGCATGTCTCTGCTATTGTGAATAGTGCTGCAATGAATATACACGTGCATGAATTCTTCATAATAGAATGATTTATATTCCTTTGGGTATATACCCAGTAATGGGATTGCTGGGTCAAATGGTATTTCTGGTTCTAGGTCTTTGATGAATTGCCACACTCCCTTCCACAATAGTTGAACTAGTTTACATTCCCACCAACAGTGTAAAAATATTCTTATTTCTCCACAGCCTCGTCAGCATCTGTTGTTTCTTGACTTTTTAATAATTGCCATTGTGACTGGTGTGAGATGGTATCTCATTGTGGTTTTGATTTGCATTTCTCTAACAACCAGTGATGATGAGCTTTTTTTCATATGTTCGTTGGCTGCTTGAATGTCTTCTTTTGAGAAGCGCCTGTTCATGTCCTTTGCCCACTTTTTAATGGGTTTTTTTTTTTCTTGTAAATTTGTTTGAGTTCCTTGTAGACTCTGGATATTAGACCTTTGTCAGATGGATAGGTTGCAAACATCTTCTCCCATTCTATAGGTTGTCTGTTTGCTCTGATGATAGTTTCTTTTGCTGTGCAGAAGCTCTTTAGTTTAGTTAGATCTCATGTGTCAATTTTTGCTTTTGTTGCAATTGCTTTTGAAGTTTCTGTCATGAAATCTTTTGCCTGTGCCTATGTCTCAAATGGTATTGCCTAGATTTTCTTCTAGAGTTTTTATTGTTTGGGGTTTTACATTTAAGTATTTAATCCATCTTGAGTTAATTTTTGTGTAAGGTTTAAGGGGTCGAGTTTCAATTGATAAAATAATCTTTTTTTTTTTGATAGAGTCTCGCTCTGTCACCCAGGCTGGAGTGCCGTGCCACCATCTTGGCTCACTGCAAACTCTGCCTCCCAGGTTCAAGTGATTCTCCTGCCTCAGCCTCCCGAGTAGCTGGGATTATAGGTGTGCACCACCACGCCCGGTTAATTTTTGTATTTTTAGTAGAGATGGGATTTCACCATGTTGGCCAGGCTGGTCTCAAACTCCTGACCTCAAGTGATCCACCTGTCTTGGCATCCCAAATTTCTGGGATTACAGGCATGAGCTACTGTGCCCAGCCTGAGAAAATAATCTTTTTAACAAATGGTGCTGGTATAACTGGATATCCATGTTACAAAAGAATGATGTTAGACCCCTACTTCACACCATATACAAAAGTTAAATCAGAATGGAGTAAAGGCCTAAATGAAGAGCTAAAACCATAGAACTCTTAGAATAAAACTTGGGGTGAATCTGCATGACCTTGGATTTGGCAGTGGATTCTGAGCTATAACACCTAAGGCACAAACAACAAGCGAAACAATAGATAAATTGGACCTCATCAAAATCAAAAGCTTCTATGTTTCAAAAGACATTATTAAGAAAGTGAAAAGACAACCCAAACAATTGGAGAAAATATTTGCAAGTGATATATTTGAGGAGGGACTATATCCAGTGTATATAAAGAATCTTACAAGTCAACAATAAGAAGACAGCCCAATTTAAAAATGAGCAATGGGCTGGGCAGGATGGCTCATGCCTAAAATCCCACCACTTTGGGCGGCCGAGGTGGCAGGATCATTTGAGTCTGGGAGTTTAAGACAAACCTGGGCAACATAGTGAGACCTTGTCTCTATTTTTATATAGAAATTAAGAAATAAGCTGGGTGTGGTGGCTCACGCCTGTAATCCCAGCAGTTTGGGAGGCTGAGGCAGGCGGATCATGGGGCCAGGAGATCGAGACCATCCTGGCTAACATAGTGAAACCCCGTCTCTACTAAAAATCCAAAAAAAAAAAAAAAAAAGAAAAAAAAAATTAGCAGGGCGTGGTGGTGGGCGCCTGTAGTCTCAGCTATTCAGGAGGCTGAGGTAGGAGAATGGCATGAACCTAGGAGGTGGAGCTTGCAGTGAGCCAAGATCGCGCCACTGCACTCTCTAGCCTGGGCAACAGAGCGAGACTCCGTCTCAAAAAAAAAAAAAAAAGAAAAAGAAAGAAATTAAAAAAATAAAAATGGGCATTGGATCTAAATAGATATTTCTCAAAAGATATACAAATGGCCAATAAGCACACCTAAAGAAGCTCAGCATCATTAGTCATTAGGAAATACAAATCAAAACTGCATTGGAATATCACTTCACACCCACTAGGATGGTTATGATTTTAAAACATCAGATGATAACACATATTGGCAAGGATTTGGAGAAATTGGAACCCTCATACGTTTCTGGTGGGAATGTGAAATGGTGCGGCGGCTTTGAAAAACAATCTGGCAGTTCCTTAAACAGTTGAACATAGAGTTACCATATGACCCAGTAATTCTACTCCTAGATATATCCAAGAGAGATGGAAACATGTCTGCACAAAATCTGTACATGAATGTTCATAGCGGCATTATTCATAATAGCCCAAAGGAGGAAATAACCCAAATGGCCACCAACCAATGAATGAATAAACAAAATGTAATATAGCCATACACTGGAATAGTATTCAGCCATAAAAGCGAAACAAAACAAAAAACCCTAACTATAGCCAGGAGCTACCGCATGGAAGAACCTTGAAAACATTATGCTTAGTGAAAGAAGTCAGTCACAAAAGACCGCATATATGATTCCATGCTTATGGAATGTTGAGAATGGGCAAATTCATACAAACAGAAAGTAGATTAGTGGTTGCTTAGAGCTGGGGAGGGGGTGGTGAGAGGGTAGGGGTGTGATAGCTAAAGGGGATGAGGTTTCTTTTTGGGGTGATGAAAGTGTTCTAAAATTGATTGTGGTAATGTTTGTACATACCTGTGATTATACTAAAAACCAGTGAATTATGCACTTTAAATGGGTGAATTGTATGGTTATATGAATTACATCTCAGTGAAGCTGTCATTTAAAAAAGATTCACTGGGGTCACAGGCATTTATTGTGGCAGAAAAGGCACATTTATGGTTCAGGGGCCAAGCTAGTGCACACCTGGGAGGCATTACAGGCTCTGCAGGCACAGACCATGAGGAGCATATGCCCTGCTCACACTGGGATGGCCTCAGTCTACGACCCATCAGAATCACTGATGAGATCTCAGCAGCTGCCTTACCGAGGTCCCTGGTCAGGAAACAGGGTACCTTTGGGTTCATGACTGCAAGATGCCATGGGTGGAGGGAGAGTCCTCAGCTAACAGACACCCACTGTTAGCTTGTGTTTAAGAGATTTCAGTCCCGTCGCATGATATTCCAAGGCAATATGTACAAGTGATTTCTTAACCTTTTGATAATTTGTGTTTAATTTATTTAGATTTGTGAGTTGAAAATCTTAGGCTCCAGTACAAGTACCTTGAAAAGAACTTGAAGAGAACATTGAAGAGGACTTCAGATTCACTGCGTTTATATGATTATTTAATTATTTAGGTCTCTCAGCAAGGTTTGGTACATCAAACAATTGAAGTTAAAAAGAAAAGTAAAAGCTAGACACCTGGCCTCACGACTGGAATCCCAGCACGTTGAGAGGCTAAGATGGGAGGATCACTTAAACCAAGGGGAGGATTGTGAGGGGAGAAAGTATGAGGGAAGAAGGTCCTGTGGGAAGAGAGTCCTGAAGGGAGAGGGTGCTAAGGGGAGAGGGCCCTGAGGAGAAAGGGTCCTGAGGTGAAATGATCCTGAGAGGAGAGGGTCCTCAGGGAAAAGAATCCTCAAAGAAGAGGGTCCTGAGGGAAGAGTTTCCTTAGGGGAGAAGGTAGGTCCTGAGGGGAGATGGTCCTAGGGGGAGAGGGTCCTGAGGTGAGATGGTCCTGAGAGGAGAGGGTCCTCAAGAAAAAGGGTCCTGAGGGGGGAGGCTGCTGAGGCTGGAGGGTCCTGAGGGAAGAGGATCTTGAAGGAAGAGGGTCCTGAGGGGAGAGGGTCCTTAGGGAGAGGGACCTGAGGTGGGAGGGTCCTGAAAGGAAAGGTTCCTCAGGGAAGAGATTCCTCAGGAAAGAGGGTCCTGAGGGAAGAGGGTCCTCAGGGAAGAGGGTGCTGAGGGGAGAGGGTAGGTCTTGAGGGGAGAGGGTCCTGAGGGAAGGAGGGTTTTCAGGGAAGAGGGTCGTCAGGGAAGAGGGCCTTCAGGGAAAAGGGTCCTGAGAGAAAAGTTTCCTGAGGAGAGAGGGTCTTGAGAGAAGAGGGTCATGAAGGGGAAGGTCCTGAGGGGACAGGTTCTTCAGGAGAGAGGGTTCTGAGGGAAGAGGGACCTTAGGGAAAGGGTTCTGAAGGAAGAGAGTTTTGAGGGGAGAGGGTCCTGAGGGAAGGGGGTCTTGAGGGGAGAGGATCCCAAGGGGGGTCCTGAGGGGAGTTTCAAGGGGAGAGGGTCCTGAGGGAAGAGGATCCAGAGGGAAGAGGATCCTAAGGGAATAGGGTCCTGAAGGAAGGGGGTCCTGAGGGAAGGGGGTCCTGAGGGAAGGGGGTCCTTTGGGGAGAGGGTCCTGAAAGAAGAGGGGTCTGAAAGAAGGCGGTCCTGGGGGAGGAAGTTTATGAGGGAAGAGGGTCTTGAGGGAGAGGGTCCTCAGGGGAGTGAGTAGGTCATGAGGGAGAGGGCCTGGAGGGGAGAGCATCCTGAGGGTAGAGGGTCCTGAGGGAAGAGAGTCCTGAAGGGAGAGGGTCCTAACGGGAGAGGGTCCTGGGGAAAGATGGTCTAGAAGTAGGATGGTCCTGTGAAGAGAGGGTCCGGAGGGGAGAGGCTCCTAAGGGTACAGGGTCCTCAGAGAAGAGGGTCCTGAGGGAAGGTGGTCCCGAGGGGAGAGGAGAGGGTTCTGAGGGGAGAGGGTCCTTAGGGTAGAGGGTCCTGAGGGGAGAGGGTCCTTAAGGTAGAAGGTCCTGAGGGAAGAGGGTCCTGAGGGGGGAAGGTTTTTAGGGAACAGGGTCCTCAGGGAAGAGGGTTCTGAGAGAAGAGCTTTCTGAGGGGAGAGGGTCTTGAAGAGAGAGTGTCCTCAGGGCGAAGGTCCTAAGGGGAGGTCCTGAGGGGACAGGGACAGGGTTCTAGAGGGTTCTGAGGGAAGAGGGACCTTAGGGAAAGGGTTCTGAAGGAAGAGAGTTTTGAGGGGAGAGGGTCCTGAGGGAAGGGGGTCTTGAGGGGAGAGGATCCCAAGGGGGGTCCTGAGGGGAGTTTCAAGGGGAGAGGGTCCTGAGGGAAGAAGTTCCTCAGGGAAGAGGGTCCTGAGGGAAGAGCGTTTTCAGGGAAGTGTGTCCTGAGGGAATAGGAAAGGTCGTGAGGGGAAAGGGTCCTGCATAGAGAGTGTCCTTAGAGAAGAGGGCCACGAGGGGAGACAGTCACGAGAGAGGAGGGTACTGAGGCGATATGGTCCTGAGGAGAGAGGGTCCTCAGGGAAGAAGGTCCTTAGAAAAGAGGGTCCTGAGGGGGGAGGGTTTTCAGAGAAGAGGGTCCTCAGGGAAGAGGGTCCTTAGGGAAAGGGTTCTGAGGGAAGAGGGTCCTGAGGGGAGAGGATCCTGAGGGGAGAGGTTCCTCAGGGGGAGGGTCTCAGGAGAGAGGTCCTGAGGTGGGATGGTCTGAGGGGAGAAGTTCTCAGGGAAGAGGTCCTGAGGGAAGAGGGTAGGTCCTGAGGGGAGAGGGTCCTCAGGGGAGAGGGTAGGTCCTGAGGAAAGAGGGTCCTGAGAGAAAGGGGTCCTGAGGGAAGAGGGTCCTGGGGGGAGAGGGTCCTGAGGGAAAGGAGTCCTGAGAGAAGAGGGTCCTGAGGAGAGAGGGTCCTTAGGGGAGAGGGACCTGAGGTGGGAGGGTCCTGAGGGACGAGGTTCCTCAGGGAAGAGGGTCTTGAGGGAAGAGGGTTTTCAGGGAAGAGGGTCCTGAGGGAATAGGGTAGGTCATGAGGGGAAAGGGTCCTGCATAGAGAGTGTCCTTAGAGAAGAGGGCCATGGCGGGGGATGGTCACAAGAGAGGAGGGTACTGAGGCGATATGGTCCTGAGGAGAGAGGGTCCTCAGGGAAGAAGGTCGTTAGAAAAGAGGGTCCTGACGGGGGAGGGTTTTCAGAGAAGTGGGTCCTCAGGGAAGAGGGCCCTTAGGGAAAGGGTTCTAAGGGAAGAGGGTCCTGAGGGGAGAGTTTCCTCAGGGAAGATAGTCCTGAGGGAAGGCAGTCCTGAGGAGAGAGGGTCGTGAGAGGAGAAGGTCCTGAGGGGAGAGAGACCTGAAGTGGGAGGGTCTTGAGGGGAAAGGCTCCTCAGGGAAGAGGTTCCTCAAGAAAGAGGGTCCTGAGGGAAGAGGGTCCTGAGGGGGAAGGGTTTTCAGGGAAGAGGTTCCTGAGAGAAGAGCTTCCTGAGGGGGGAGGATCTTGAGGGGGAAGGTCCTGGAGTGTGAGGTTCTTCTGGACAGAGGGTCCTGAGGTGAGAGGGTTCTGAGGTAAGAGGGTCCTTAGAAGAAAAGTTCTGAGGGAAGAGAGTTTTGAGGGCAGAGGGCCCTGAGGGGAGAGGGATCTGAGGGAAGGAGGTCCTGAGGGAAGGCAGTCCTGAGGGGAGAGGGTCCTGAGAGAAGGCAGTCTTGAGGGGAGAGTTTCTGAGAGGAGAAGGTCCTGAGGGAAGGCAGTCCTGAGGAGAGAGGGTCGTGAGAGGAGAAGGTCCTGAGGGGAGAGAGACCTGAAGTGGGAGGGTCTTGAGGGGAAAGGCTCCTCAGGGAAGAGGTTCCTCAAGAAAGAGGGTCCTGAGGGGAGAGGGTCCTGAGGGGGAAGGGTTTTCAGGGAAAAGGTTCCTGAGGGAAGGCAGTCCTGAGGAGAGAGGGTCGTGAGAGGAGAAGGTCCTGAGGGGAGAGAGACCTGAAGTGGGAGGGTCTTGAGGGGAAAGGCTCCTCAGGGAAGAGGTTCCTCAAGAAAGAGGGTCCTGAGGGAAGAGGGTCCTGAGGGGGAAGGGTTTTCAGGGAAGAGGTTCCTGAGATAAGAGCTTCCTGAGGGGGAGAGTTTCCTCAGGGAAGATAGTCCCGAGGGCAAGGCAGTCCTGAGGAGAGAGGGTCGTGAGAGGAGAAGCTCCTGAGGGGAGAGAGACCTGAAGTGGGAGGGTCTTGAGGGGAAAGGCTCCTCAGGGAAGAGGTTCCTCAAGAAAGAGGGTCCTGAGGGAAGAGGCTCCTGAGGGGGAAGGGTTTTCAGGGAAGAGGTTCCTGAGAGAAGAGCTTCCTGAGGGGGGAGGATCTTGAGGGGGAAGGTCCTGGGGTGTGAGGTTCTTCTGGACAGAGGGTCCTGAGGTGAGAGGGTTCTGAGGTAAGAGGGTCCTTAGAAGAAAAGTTCTGAGGGAAGAGAGTTTTGAGGGCAGAGGGCCCTGAGGGGAGAGGGATCTGAGGGAAGGAGGTCCTGAGGGAAGGCAGTCCTGAGGGGAGAGGGTCCTGAGAGAAGGCAGTCTTGAGGGGAGAGGGTTCTAAGGTGGGAGGGTACTGATGGGGAAGGTCCCGAGGAGAGAGGATACTGAAGGAAGAGAGTCCTGAGGGAGAGAATTCTCAGGGGAGAAACTGGGTCATGAGGGCAGAGGGTCATGAGGGAAGAGGGTCCTGAGGGGAGAGGGACCTGAGGGAAGGGGGTCCTGAAGGAAGAGAGTCCTGAGGGGAGAGGGTCCTGAGGGAAGGCGGTCTTGAGGGGAGGGGGTTCTAAGGGGAGAGGGTCCTGATGGGAAAGGTCTTGAGGGGAGAGGATACTGAAGGAAGAGGGTCCTGAGGGAGAGAATCCTCATGGGAGAAAGTGGGTTATGAGGGGATGGGGTCCTGGGGGCATCAGGTCCTCAGGGGAGAAGATCTTGAGGGAATGAGAGTCCTGATGGGGGAAGGTTTTCAGGGAAGGAGGTTGTCAGGGAAGAGGTTCCTGAGGGGAGAGGGTCTTGAGGGGGAAAGTACTGAGGGTAGAGGTACTTAAGGTGAGGGGGTCCTGAGGGGAGAAGGTCCTGAGGGAAGAGGGTCCTGAGGGAAGAGGGGTCTGAGGGAAGAGAGTTTTGAGGGGAGAGGGTCTTTAGGGAAGAGGGTCCTGAGAGAAGAGAGTTCTGAGGGGAGAGGGTTTTGATGGGAGAGGGCCCTAAGGGAAGAGCTTGGTCCTAAGGGCATCAGGTCCTGAGGGAAGAGGCTCCTGAGGGAAGAGGCTCCTGAGGGAAGAGGATCCTGAGGGAAGAGGGGTGCGAGGGGAGAGGGTCCTGGCGGGGAGGGTCCTGAAGGGAGAGTATACTCAGGGAGGAGGGTCCTGAAGGAAGAGGGTTCTGAGGGGAGAGGGTTCTGAGGGGAGAAGGTCCTGAGGGGAGAGGATACTGAAGGAAGAGGGTCCTGAGGGAAGAGGGTTCTGAGGGGAGAGGGTCCTGATGTGAGGGGTTCCTCAGAGAAGAGAGTCCTGAGGGAAGAGTGTCCTGCGGGAAGGTGGTCCTGAGAGAAGAGCGTTCTGAGGGGAGAGGGCACTGAGGGGAGAGGGTTATCAGGGAAGAGGGTCCTGAGGGAAGGTAGTCCTCGGGGGAAAGGGTTCTGAGGGGAGAGAGTCCTGAGAGGGAAGGTCCTGAGGGGAGAAGTTTCCAAGGGAAGAGGGTCCTGAGGCGAGAGGTTCTTCAGCGGAGAGGGTCTTCAGGGAAGAGTGTCCTGAGAGAACAGCCTCCTGAGGGGAGATGGTCCTGAGGGAAGAGGGTCCTGAGCGGGGAGGGTCCTTAGAGGGGAGGGATGTGTCCTGAGTAGGGAGGGACAGATCTTGAGCGGGAACGTGTTTCTTGTGGGGTAGAGTCTTGTGGGGTATTGACGGGTCCTGAGGGGCCGGATGCATCTGTGGGGTTCGCAGGTCCTGAATTCAAGGCAGGTTCTCGTGTGAGGGAAACTGTGACATGGGGGCGGGCGTTCGTGCGGGAAGGCCCTCCGGAACTGAGGGAAGACTGCCCCCTGCCGGAGGAGACCTGCCGCAGCCCCCGGGGGAGGCAGTGGGAGAGCAGGACGAGGCGGCCCTGAGGGGAGAGGATCCTCAGGTAGGTGTGTGGGCTCGGGTGAGGGAGGGGTGGTGAGGGCTGGGATGAGGAGGATGCTGGTGGCTAGAGCAGGCCCTCAGTCCTCCTTTCTTGACTGCCTGTTCCGTGCTGACGGCTGTCCCACCTGTCACCTGAGCTCTGTGTGGAGGAGCCAGGTCTGACCGGTGGGGGCAGGAGCCAGTTTTCAGTGCAGTTACTGTTTTAGTGTCTTGAGCCCCCATCTTGGCCCTCATTTCTTGTCTCCCCAGCTACTCCAACAGCCCTATCTCCCTGCAAGCCCCTGAGCCCTCAGGAGCAGGACGCCCCGCAGTCTGCATGCCGCAGCTCCCACCTGCCCGTGCACGGGGCCAAGTCTGAAGCTCTTGGCGCCTGTTCTGTCCCGGTGAAGTTAACTCGGCCAACGGCCAACATTTTCTGATTTCCTGCCTCTTCAGATTACCCACTCTGACCACACAGTTGTACCTTCTGTCTTGGGCAGAGATCACTCTGGCCACCTGGTCTCTGAGCCTCTCCAGATCTCAGTCCACTGGCCTCTTTATTTTCTCTCCATCTGACAGCACTCCTGGTTTTGGCTGCGCTCTCAGCCAGAGCAGCTTTGATGTGCCTGAGCTCTTGCTGAGCCATCCTCGGCACTGCCTGCTTGCCTCCCCCATGCCTGCCCTCAGGCTGCCAAATGCTGCTGGAGAAGGCAGGAGATTGATGGCTGCTGCCTTTGCAAATCCCGAAGATGGTTGCGCCATTCAGCCCACTATACATCCAGACAGACCCTCCAAGTTCTCCTCTCAGTTCCTTCCCCGTCCCTTTTTTTTTTTTTTTTTTTTTTGAGACGGAGTCTCGCTCTGTCGCCCAGGCTGGAGTGCAGTGGCGCGATCTCGGCTCACTGCAAGCTCTGCCTCCCGGGTTCATGCCATTCTCCTGCCTCAGCCTCCTGAGTAGCTGGGACCACAGGCGCCCGCCACCATGCCTGCTTTTTTTTTTTTTTTTTTTGTATTTTTAGTAGAGACGGGGTTTCACCGTGTTGGCCAGGATGGTCTCAAACTCCTGACCTCAGGTCATCTGCCCGGCTCGGCCTTCCAAAGTGTTGGGACTACAGATGTGAGCCACCGTGCCCAGCCCCCCATTTTTACTCTATTTCAGACCTTCCCCGCTCCATCCTTGCTCTCAGAGAAGAACATTTGAACAGAGAAAATTGAAGCCACGGGTCTGGAGTTCCTTTAGCTTCCCACCAGCTGGCATTCACACTCATGCTCTCCTTCCTCCTTCCCTTCTAGGATAGTGGAAGAGACTCTCTTCCTTCAGTCAAGGGCACTCCCCACCCCATAATGTACCTCTTTTATCTTGCGTATTTTCCAACAGTCTCTCCTGGCCTCTTCTTTCCACATGTAAACAAACTCAGGTCTCTGCCACCTTGAAAAGAAGTTCTGGACCTCATGCCCTCCCAGCTACTGCCCTCTCCCTGTCCACTCCCCTCACCCCAAGGCCAAACTCCTTGAATTAAGTATCTCCATCATCTTTTCTCTCCATTTTCTCACTGACTTTTCACCTCACCCTGGTCGGCCATTCCACCTATGATGGTTGAAATCACTCTAACCAAGGTCACGAATGCCAATGTCATGAATTGTCCACTGAATGCTATGGATATTTTTAGTACTTTTCTTGCTTGACCTCTTGGCAGCCTTTACCTTGCTGACACTGTCCCCTTTGAAGCTGTCTCTTGGCTTTTGTGACATTCTGCTTTTGAAGTTTCCCTTGCCTCTCTGCATGCTCCTTTGTCAACTCCTCTACCTGTCCTCAGTCAGGATCTGTCCTTCAGTCTCTTACTGTGCACTCTCTTCCCAGATGGCCTCGCCCCCTACCTCAGCTTGAATTATCAGTAACTCTTGAATCTTTTCTCTCTAGACCTGACTTCTCCGAGCTTCAGGCTCATAGTGCTACTGCTTCTGGACACTCCACGTGGATGTTGTGTGGACATCTTAAAATAATTTTGTCCAAAATACAACTCATTTTCTTGCTCCAAAACTGCCTTTCCTTCTCCCAGGCTCACCTCTAACATTTGCAGGGCTGTGGGCAAGAGTATAAATGAAAGCCCATTTACCAAGTGTCAGAGTAGTTAAAAGTTACCACTCAGGCTAACTGTTAAACTACTTTCTATTTTCTTACCCTGACAAATAAACCTTTGTAACAACCTGGAAGGTCAGATTTGAATTTGAAATTCTTGTACTAGTTTTGTGCCAGGATGTGGTAGATTGGAGAGAGCTGGTCCCCTGGCCCTGCCCTTCTGCACCCCTTCTCTTCCCATCTGAGCTCTGTCCTGCACTGAGAGGAGCCTGGTACACATGCTTATAAACATCCACAGCCCACCAGACCAAGCCCTGCTCATACCTCCCAAGCTGTTTCCTCCTGTGTTCCTCCTCAATGGGGTTGGGCCAGGTCTCTGGACCAGGGGGATTTCAGAGGTAGGGCTGTGCACAGAGCATAAGGGAGAAGGGTAGGCCCAGAAAGAGGAATCGAAGGCCTGAGTTCATGAGGACAAATCAAGAATAAGAACCCGACTCTATAAAGGAGGCCAGTCACAAGGAATGGCCAAGAGAACAGGCAGGTTGAGGAAGTGGCCAGAGAAAGATTCTCTGAGGCAACTATAGAGATCTGCCTTGGCTGGGACAACAGATACATTCTGGATGCTCTCTTTGTCATCCCTCACATCCAAGCAGTTAGGGTTTCTGTTTTCTTATTAAATAACGTGAATGGATTTCTCTCTACCTGTGGCTTATGCTGTCATCTCCCACCTGGAGGACTACAACAGCCTCAGTCTAATCCATCTCCCTGTCTCAGTCTACTCTCCCTCCAATCCATTTCCCCCATAGCATCTGGGGTAACGTTTCTGAAGCACAAACATGATTATTCTCTGTTACAAACCACCAGTGTCAGGCGGGTGTGGTGGCTCATGCCTGTATTCCCAGCACTTTGGGAGGCCAAGGTGGGCGGATCACCTGAAGTCGGGAGTTTGAGGCCGACATGAGACCAACATGGAGAAACCTCGTCTCTACTAACAAAATACAAAATTAGCCGGGTGTGCTGGTGCATGCCCGTAGTCCCAGCTACTCGGGAGGCTCAGGCAGGAGAATCACTTGAACTCGGGAGGTGGAGGTTGCGGTGAGCCGAGATTGCGCCATTGCACTCCAGCCTGGGCAACAAGAGTGAAACTTCGACACTCTGTCTCAAAAACAAACAAACAAAAAAACAAACAAACAAACAAACAAAAACCATCAGTGTCTTCTTAGCGCCTTCAGGAGCAAGTCCAAGCCCCTCAGCATGTCATCCGCAGTCCTTGGTGATCTGATGCCTCTAGCTGCATTTTTCACCTCTCCCTGGCCCCTGTCACACATGAACACACCACACACACACCATATACACTCACACAATCAGACATACGCCAAAATACAAACACCCACATAACACATACATACCACATACACTCTCACATACATTCACACACACACACAGCAACTCACACACACACAGAGCCATATGCACACATTCACTCACAAATCACACACCGTCAAAGCAGATACACCATATCCTCTCACACACACATGCACTGTTTTTTTGAGATGAAGTCTTGCTCTTGTTGCTCAGGCTGGAGTGCAATGGCGTAGTCTAGGCTCACTGCAACCTCTGCCTCCCAAGTTCAAGCGATTCTCCTGCCTCAGCCTCCCAAGTAGCTGGGATTACAGGCACCTGCCACCATGCCCAGCTAATTTCTTTTCTTTCTTTCTTTCTTTTTTCTTTTTTTTTTTTTTGAGACAGAGTCTCAAAAGTCTCCAGCCCAGGCTGGAGTGCAGTGGCGCCATCTCTGCTCACTGCAAGCTCCGCCTCCCGGGTTCACGCCATTCTCCCGCCTCAGCCTCCCAAGTAGCTGGGACTACAGGCGCCCCCACCACGCCCGGCTAATTTTGTTTTTGTATTTTTAGTAGAGATGGAGTTTCACTGTGTTTGCTAGGATGGTCTCAGTCTCCTGACCTTATGATCCTCCACCTCGGCCTCCCAAAGTGCTGGGATTACAGGCGTGAGCCACCAAGCCCAACCTATTTTTTCTTTTTTCTTTTCTTTTTTTTTTTTTTTTTGAGACAGAGTCTCACTCAGTCGCCCAGGCTGGAGTGCAGGGCATGATCTTGGCTCACTGCAACCTCTGCCTTGCGGGCGCAAGCCATTCTCCTGCCTCAGACTCCCGAGTAGCTGGGATTACAGGCGCCTGCCACCACACCCGGCTGATTTTTGTATTTGTAGTAGAGATGGGGTTTCACCATGTTGGCCAGGCTGGTCTTGAACTCCTGACCTCAGGTGATCCGCCCACCTTAGCCTCCCAAAGTGCTGGGATTATAGGCGTGAGCCACTGCACCTGGCCCACATTTTCTTTCTTTCTTTTTTTTTTAAATATATAGATGTTTTATTTTTTAAAAATTTTAAATATTTAAAAATTACATTTAATTTTCTTTTTACAGTACTGCTCCCTGTGCTGGGCGTGGTGGCTCACTTCTGTAATCTCAGCACTTTGTGAGGCTGAGGCGGACAGATTACCTGAGGTCAGAAGTTTGAGACCAGTGTGGCCAGCTTGGTGAAACTCCATCTCTACTAAAAATACACCAAAAAAAAAAAAATTAGCCAGGAGTACTGGCATGCACCTGTAATCCCAGCTACTCAGGAGGCTGAGGCAGGAGAATCACTTTAACCCAGGAAGCAGAGGTTGCAGTGAGCTGATATTGTGCCACTGCACTCCAGCCTGGGTGACAGAGCAAGACTCTGTCTCTCAAAAAAAAAAAAATTTTAAATATTTAAAAATTACATTTAATTTTCTTTTGACAGCACCGCTCCTTGTGAGAAACGCTAACTCCTAGGCAGTATGCCCAGAGTCAGCATCATGCACATTTCCCTACACACATTCATACACACTCATTCACACACCCACACCACACGCTCCATACTCACACTGCAGAGTATGTGTGGTGCATAGTGTGTGCCACATACTCTCATAGCGCATTCACACACGTTCACCCACGTGAGACACACATGGGTCAGGGCTTTAATTGCACATCTGTTTCTCATTCCAGCAATCCCTGGGGCCAGACACTTGTATGAGTCACTTCTACTTGTGGCACGCTCCTTTCCCCTTCACAACCAGTTGGCTGGGCTCACCTCCTCCAGGAAGTCTTTCCTAAGCCTCAAAGCTTGACCTTTTGGGAGTTGGAAGATCTGAAGTGGTCCAAGGATTCCCTTAAGAATGAAAGCTGGGAGGAGAGGGCTTGCTTGGTTAGCCTGGGAGTACGAAACCAGAGTCTAGCTTCTTAAACAGGAAGATTTCTTTCCTTCCTTCCTTCTTTCCTTCCTTCCTTCTTCTTTTCTTTTGTTTTATTTTCTTCTTCTTCTTCTTCCTTCTTTCTTCCTCTCCTCCTCCTCCTTCTTCTTCTTGTTCTTCTTCTCCTCCTCCTCCTCTCTTTTCCTTCCTTCCTTCCTTTCCCTTTCTTTCTCTTTCTTTCTTTCTTTTTTCCTTTCCCTCCCTTCCATCCTTCCTTCCTTCCTCTCTCTCTCTCTTTCTTTCTTTCTTTCCTTCTTTTTCTTTCAAAATTTCGCTCTTTTTGCCCAGGCTGCAGTGCAATGGCGCAACCTCGGCTCACTGCAACCTCTGCCTCCCAGTTCAAGGGATTCTCCTGTCTCAGCCTCCCAAGTGGCTGGGACCACAGGCATGTGCCACCACGCCTGGCTAACTTTTTGTATTTTTAGTAGAGATGGGGTTTCACTATGTTGGCCAGGCTGGTCTCAAACTCCTGACCTCAGGTGATCCACCCACCTTGGCCTCCCAAAGTGCTGGGATTATGGGCTGAGCCACTGCACTCAGCCTATTATTAGTTTTTGAGATGGAGTCTCGCTCTGTTGACCAGGCTGGAGTGCAGTGGTGTGATCTTGGCTCACTGCAAACTCCACCTCTCAGGTTCAAGTGATTCTCCTGCCTCAGCCTCCCGAGTAGCTGGGATTATAGGCGTGAACCACCATGTCCAGAAGATTTTTGTGTTTTTAGTAGAGATGGCGTTTCGCCATGTTGGCCATGTTGATCTCAAACTCCTGACCTCAGGTCATCTGCTTGCCTCAGCTTCCCAAAGTGCTGGGATTATAGGTGTGAGCCACCGCACCTGGCCCCATGTGTATTATTCTTTTTACCCTCTCTGTTGTCTCTGTGTCATTAGGGGTATAACATTTAAAGCTAGAGGTGTCTATGTGCTCGTAATCAGTAAGGGAGAACTGAAGACCAGCCCTATGCCACATTTCAGGTTGTATGGCAGGGAACCCAGTGGGTAGGGGGCAGGGAATTAAGACAGGAGGGGAGTGAGCACAAGCCTGAAGGGCTTTAGCTGCTGGAAAGACCCAAGTTATCAGTCAGAAACATGTCTAGTTTGGAGTGAGCTAAGTTCCAGTGACTCATTGAGCCTGCAGGATCTGGAGGGGATCTTGAGTTCTAGTGGAGAGTTGAAGCTGCGCTGTGGGTACGCTGGCTGAGGGTGGAGGGACAGGGCCTGGACCCAGAGCCTGGGAGCAGCCTCAATTAAGATGAGCCAGAGGGATGGACAAGATGGCTTGGGAACTCAGAAAGAGGGTCATGGAGGAGGGCTATCGATCTCAGATGCCATGCAGAGGTGGAGAAGGATGCAGCACCTAGGAAGGCACTTGTGACCGTTCTAGAGCAGTGGTGTCAGGGTTCGTTGCCAAGCTGTAGAGGCTTAAATAAGCAGAGACCAGAAAGAGCAGAGGTGTCCTTTCAGGGAAGGAGGAAGATTTCATACCTGATGGTGGACAGAGGAGAGGGCCAGGTAAGGAGGGCAAGGTACAGGGCCTGTGATGGAGGCAGGTCACCGCAGGGGTGGGTGGGCTCTGAGCACCTGTGGAGAGGTCCACCCTGGACAGGAGGGAATGCAGCCTCCTCCAGGACAGGAAGCACATTGTCTGGTGAGCTGAGTGTGTTAGAGCAGAGAGGGCAAGGAGAAGGGCACTCCCTCCATGACCTCCTGAGACCTCAGCACACTGAGTCTCTCCTCTCTGGTGCAGTCCCCACTTCCCTCCTCACTCTCTTGGGAGCGAGGCCTCTTACCATTGTTCTGGCGTGAGGAAAGGCCTGCTGTTGCCTCACCAAGCCCACTCGTGAACCCGCTGATGCCGAGCCCGCCTGCCTGAGTCTTGATCGCTGACTTGAGCTCGTGATTCTCCCGAATGAGCCGCACCAACTTCTTCAGTTCCTCATTTTCCCGCACCAGCCTCTCTATCTGATGCCGAAGCCCTTCATAATTGGTGAGTAGAGACATGCCCTGGGGCAGTGGCAAGGGTGCGGCCCACGGGAGGGCACTGCACCTGGAGGCTGCCCAGGGCCCCAGGCCTTGCCTGGGCTGAAGGAGGGTGCAGAGTCTGCAAGGCTGGCCCAGTGGGCCCTGGGTATTGTGAGGTCAGAGGCTGTGCCCTCTTCCTTGCCCTCTCTGCTCTAACACCCTCAGCTCTCCATGCCACCAGGCCTGTACACAGGCCTTGCCTCGGCCTGGAATGTCCTGACCTTTTCTCTGTCTCGCCAACTTCACCCTCATGGTGCCTCTTCCGTGAAACTTCCTCTCCCCCACCGCAAGTTAATTGCTGCCCGCTGGGTTTCCCCAGCAGATGTGTCCTGTGTCATAGCACTTCCCCTGGTTCCAGTTCCGTGCTAGCTCCTTAACATTGTCCACTGGCTTTACAGTGAGGTCAGGGATTGTAACACGTTCCTGGAAACCCCAGTGTCCAGCACAGGGCTTGGCACAATGTTTGTAGGTAAACAGTAAATATTTGTTGAATGAAAACCCACCACTCCACCTTCCTGGCCAGGATGCCCCTTCTTGGTGATCTTGAACATGCCTGGGTTTGGCCTCTCAGCCTTCTCCTGGTTGCTGTGTCTTGAAGGCCTGGACACTCGCCCATGATTTCTTCTGACCCAGGTGCTCAGAGTCTCTATCTTACTGCTGGTCCAGGAGCTCTCTATAACTTGGAGTTTCCATTTCTGGTGACTCAGCGTTCCCTATTCCAAATCTCCCGTCGTTGCCTTCTCCGCACTTGGATCTCTATTCCCCAGCTCCTTGAATTTTCCTGACTTTAGTCCTTCAGGAGCCCAAGACTGCATCCCTCACCTGGTTCTAAGAACTCAGGACTCAGTCCTCATGATGCTCCCCTTCTCTTAGAGCTATCTACAGATAACTCTATGGTACTGACCTTGAGTACTGAGTGAGGCCGTGTCCTCGTGGCCTCCATTGGCTCTGTGGCTGTTCTCCCTCAAACCTCTTTTTGGGGCAGGGAGAGGATAGCGAAGTCCAGGTACAGGCCAGAGGACAGACTCCTGGTAGAATGTGGGAATGAGGAAGGGGAAGAAGGTCAGCCAGGGCTGGGATCGCTGTGAGTTGAGCATTCTGCCTGGACCTCACAATGGGGGGCCTACCCCCACCCCTCCTCTAATGCTTCAGACTGTAATCCTGGCTCAGTCACTCTGGCCCCAGGGACCAGAGCCCCCAAGAACCAGAGTTGAGGTCTCTTCAGTCACCCCTCTAACTTTATAGAGTGTCTCTGTTGGGCTTTCCTTCAACATGTGAAAATTAGCTTGTCATGGTCTTATTTCACTGTTAGCCTCTTGGGTTGATGCAGTCAGTGATGGTTACATTTTATGTGTCAATTTTGTGAGGCTATAGTGTCCAGGTGTTTGGTCAAAATCTAGCCTAGATAGTGCTGTGAAGCTATTATATACTTGTAGCTATTAATCACGTCTATTAGACGTCTAATAGACGTGATTAATAGCTACAAGATGTTGACTTTAAAGGAGATTACCTTCAGTTATTTGGGTGGGCCTCATCCATTCAGTTGAACAACTTTTTAAAAATTTATTTTTTTAATTTTTAAATTTGTTTATTTATTTATTTATTTTTTTGAGGCAAGGTCTCAGTCTGTTGCCCAGGCTGCAATGCAGTGTCACCATCATAGTTCACTGCTGCCTCGACCTCCCATGCTCAAGCGATCCTGCTGCCTCAGCCTCCCAAGTAGCTGAGACTACAGGTGTGTGCCACCACACTCGGCTAATTTTTATTAAAAACATTTTTTTTTGTAGACATGGGGTCTTACCACATTGCCCAGGCAGGCCTCAAACTCTTGGGCTCAAGCAATCCTTCTGCCTCAGCCTCCCAAAGTGCTGGGATTACAGGTGTGAGCTACTGTGCCTGGCAGAAGAACTTAAGAGTGAAAAAAACCTGAAGTTTTCTGGAAAATAAGGAATTCTGCCTGAAGATTGTAGCATAGAATTCCTACCTGAGTTGCCAGCCTGCCTTACAGATTTTGGACTTGCCAGCCTCCACAATTATGTGACCAAGCCCTTAAAATAAATCTCCTAATATAAAAGAACTCCGGCTGATGCACCATCTCTGTTTCTCTTTGCATATGCCAGTGTTCTTTCATCCGAAAACATATGTTGGCCACCAACTGTGGCAGGCATTATGTTAGGAATTGGGGGTTCAGTGCTAGTCATAGCAGGCATTGTCCCCACCTTATCGACTTTACCAGCTAGTGGAGAGTGGCTATGAATTGAATGATCATATATAAATGCTGAGCTTACCCTGCGATAAATGCTGCCTGGGAGAGGCACTGGTGCTGGGAGAGGGTACAGCAGGTGGGCCAGATCCAGTTGGGGAGTGTGCCTCACCAAAGAAACCAAAAGTGTGGTAGAGCACAGAATGAGCAGGGTGGATGTATGTGCTGGGGAGGGATGGAGGGCCCAGGTTGGGACAGGGCCTGTGGCTGTGATCTTGATTGATCTTTAGGGAAGGGCATGTGGGAACAGATTGGAGGGAAGAAACTACTGAGTGGCACACAGTAAGGAGGCCACTGCAGTCCTCCAAGCAAGCAATGAGGGTGGCTGGTTCACAGGTGGTGCCATGGAGGTGGAGAGAGTGGGCAGAGCTGAGAAATGTTTAGTGGTGCTGGGTGGGCTGGTCTTGGAGTTGGCTTGGATGTGAGGATGAAGGCGAGAACGAGGGCAGGATGGCCTTGCGGCTTCTGGCATGGGTGGTGGAGCCTCTGGTTATACCAACCCAATTGGAAGGAAAACCAAGTTTAGAGTGAATATTTGGAGTCAGGTTTGGATGTGCTGCTGAGATCAGGATGTTAAGGAGATGAGCCAGGAGGCAGGGGGTACTGCTCCAGGTCGTAGAGGAGAACCTACTGTGTGGGCTGGAAAGATACACGTTAGAGGTATCAGCTCCTAGATGGCAACTGGATCTGTATGAGCGGATGAGGTTGCCCAGGAATGGGGAACGAATGAGAGAGAATAAGCCTTCAGCCCACTGTGCCTAGTAGAGCCACGACAAAGCCGCAGAGGACATACAGCAGAAGTGCCCACAGCGACAGGAAAACCGGAGAAGGCTGAGCTGGGAGGCCACAGGCAGAGCATATTTCAGGGTTATGTGAAGCAGCGGTGGTATCTAGTGAGGCTGAGAGGTCAGATGAGATGAAGACCGAAAAAGTGTGCGTCAGCTTTAGGGACTTGGAAGTCATTGGTGATGTATCAAGGGCTGTTTGGGTGAAGTGGTTTGGCCAAGTCCAGATTCACAAGTCTGAGCAGTGAGTGGGAGGGGAAGGTAGAGATGGGGCACACACAGCCCTTCCCAGAGGTTTGGATGTACGGAGAAGTGCCGGCAGAGCTGCAGGCGGGTTCCTCTTTCACTGTTCTCTTCCTCCTCTTGTAGCCTGGTGCCAGGGAAGACTGTGGCCCACCACGCCTCTGCTGCTTCCAGCCCCTCCTTAGACTCACAGTGCACAGTAGAGGCCCTCAAAAGACCCCCAGGGTCCCCCAGAATGTTAAGCTGCAGCCTCCTGCTCCTTTCTTTGAATTAGCCTCCGCCAGGCTTCCTCTCCTCCCCCTACTTTTATTTCCTCTTCATTCGCATTTTCTTTTTCTTTTTGTTATGTTTTATATACAAAGTGTCCTTTGGTATCCAAGTCTGTTGGGTTTGAGCTTGGTATAAAGAGTACCACAAGTTTGGGAGTGAGATTCATCCAAAAATGTATCCACATCCATTTGGATGACATGTCTGGGGGCTAGAGTCTGGGGAGTGAGAGACACTGGGCCTCTCTATGCTGCTCTCAGTCCTGCCCTTCTGAGCTCTTGGACAGTGTCACTTGGGAACAGTCCCAGTTCCTGGCTGCAGGGAGGCTGGGCCCGCAGGAGTGACAGGAACCTCCTGGGGTGCACTCGGGGTTTGCGCTCCTCCCGGCCCGTTAGGGGCTCACTGTGAACAAACCTCCAGTGTTGTCCCACTTGCTTTTGCTGAGTCAGATCTCCTCCTTCCCGTCTTGGGTCACTGGCTTTTGCACAGTTTGTCCCCATTCAAATTTGCCTCATTTGATTCCGCTCAGCATTTCAGCTTGGCAAGGCCTTCAGGGATCTTTGCCCCTTTCTTGGCTTGGGATTCTCTGCGTGTTTAATAAGTTTCCTTCTGAAGCCGTCTTTTCAAGGCATAAAGTTGCCGAAGAATGGGGGCCTGCAGCCGGGAGCCCTCTGTTCCATCCACCTGACAGGCCCCAACGTGCTGCCTCCATGCTGGGTGCGCTGAGAGGCACCTCCTGGGAAGCAGCTATCCGCCACATGTCCTAGCAGTACTGGCCATGCGAACATTTCAATCCTGCCTGCCGTGGCCATGTTGAACCTCCGGGTCTGCCTGTTGCTGACGAGGAGCTGCCGGGAGGTAGTTGTCTAGTCTGTGCTCCCACAGATTCAGTTGGCATTTGACTTCCAGGGCCCTCCGGGACGTCGGCAGTGACTCCTCTCCATTGCTCTCCTACACTTCAGACGATGAAAAGGCCATAGCTGACATTATTGAGCGCTTATTGTATACCAGGCACTGTCGTGACAGTCCTAACAAGCCCCCGAGGCAGGTAGTACCCCATCCAGCAGGCGGGGCCACTGAGTCATGGCCATGTCAAGTACCTGGGCTCTCCCATGGGCCCTGGGTCTTTCAACATTTTCCCAGCTGTCAAGGTCAGGGCTTGGTGCCGGCAGTCTAGTCTTGCACTTGCTCTTCTCGCCTCTAGCCTCACCTCTTTTGCTTCAGCCTCTCTCTGCACAGCTGCCAAGAGTGGGGGGGTGTCTTTCTGACACCCCATTGGAGCTAGGCTCTGCCCAGAGGAAGGACTTAGAGTGATATCTCAGGAGAGGACAAGGGCCACAACAAACTCTGCTCTGCATCCCAGAGCTCAGCACAGGCCCCGGCACATGGTAAGTGCTCAATAAATATAGGAATGCATTTTTATTCAACCTTTTTCCTTTTTCTAAAGGAATTGCACCATGAAGCTGGAGAAGCTGCTGTATACCAGCAGTTGAAACAGACAAGATAATAACTGGCTTCTGAGTGTCTGAGGACATGCCCCTGGTTTCTGAGGAAACCAATATCCCTTTGATTAGTCTGGAGGGCCCTGGGGAGGCAGACAGTCCCCACAAGAGGAGGGATATCTGCTTGTCTACCCAGGGCCCTGCCAACCAGGAGCTGGGAAGAGTGGCCTCAGAGGAAAGTCTCCTGAGGTCTTGGCTAGAAGTAGAGACTTTTGGTAATATGAACTTGGTCATCAACCCCAGGGGTCATCCAGGTACCCCTCATGAAAGGCTTAGGGACTAAAAGCCAGGGACAGAGACCGGGAGGGCTTTGTCGGGCTTTGGAGCCTTGCTAACTTCTCTGTGTTGTTGGTTTCTTTCTGCTGTTTACACAGCATTGTTTGGAGGGCAGCAAACAATGTTTGGTGGGGCAGAGCAGGGGGGCGGCATTCAGGCTGGGAGTCAAAGACCAGGAAGGGTGGAATGGAGAGCAGGTGGACACGAAGGCTTGCTGGAGGTGTGTGGTTGGGCTTCCAGCCCCTCAGACTCCAGAAATGACCATGGACTTGGCAGCTTAAGCAATAAACATTGATTTTTCATGGTTCTAGAGGCTGGGAAGTCTAAGGTCAAGGTGCCTGCAGACCTGGTGTCTGGTGAGGACCCTTTCCTGGTGCGCAGATGTCTGCATTCTCGTGTCCTCACATGGTGGAGTGGAGAGAGAGGAAGCAAGCTCTCAGTGATCTTTCTATAAGGCTCCACCCTCATGACCTCATCACCTCCTAGTGCCATCATATTGGGGATTAGGATTTTAACACATGCATTTTGAGGGGGGACACAAACATTTAGTCCATAGCAGACTCCAGAGCCCCAACTTCAGACCCATGTTACTCCCTGACCCCAAACTTTGGTTAATTCCTACTCTTCCTTCAGACTCCGCTTGCGTGTTGCCCCTCAGGGCCCCCAAAGTCTTCATCACTCCTCATCAGACCAGTGCCCACCCTTCAGCTGTAGCACAGGGGAACTAGAAGCACCACTTCCCAGCTTTCTCGCTATGGGCCTGGGGCAGGCCCCCAACCTCTCTGTGCCTCTGTTTCTTCATCTGTCGAGTGGGGATAACGTCCCTCCTCCTGCTGTCGTTGTGAGTGTGAGATGCGGTGATGCATGGAAGACAGAGAAGGCACTGGCTGGCAGAGTAAAGCTTAACACACTTTCTCTTCAACCCATAGATCTTGAAAACCTGCTAGATGCCAGGCACATCACGGGTCCCGCAGGACACAGCAGGGAACAGCCAGACATGTGGGAGCCATTGCTCTCTCTCTGGCTCTGTTTATATTGCCAGGAAATGCCCAAGGCAGCCAGGCTGGAAGTTGATCAGGGGACTGGGGAGCACTGGGGTTAGGGGGGCCCTAGGATCTGACAGGCCTGAATGAGGGTCCCCACTCTTCAGTCAGTGTTGAGCACCATCTCTTACCAGTGCGGGGAGAACAGCAAAGGCTCTGGAGCTGACATTCTGGAGGACAGTGGGCACTTGGAAGATGGTCAATGTGGTGGTGGTCTGTGCTCCGTGCGGAAGGTGGAGGAGGGGACGGGGGCAAGAGCGGAGGGGGCTGTCTGGTATGGAGTGGTCTGGAGGCCTCCTTGACAAGGTGCTGCTTGGGAGCAGACCTGAAAGAAAGCAGGGAATGAGAAGGGGCAAAGCCTTCCAGGTGGAGGGGACAGCCAGTGCAGACGCCCTGGGGTGGGTAGCAGGCTTGGTGTGTTTTTGAAGACCGTCAAGGAGGCCAATGAGATGGAGGGGAATCAGCCACTGTGGGGAGGGGACGGCCGGGCCAGAGAAGCATGGGATGGAGTCTGTAGGCTGAGATGAGGTTTTGGATTTTACATTCAGTGACATGGAAAGGCTACGAGGGTTTCTAGGGAGTAGGAGGAGCTACCCTCATTCAAAGAACTGTCCTGATTTTTAACAACCAGTTCATACGATTATGATTGGCAAGCCCTAGGGCTGCAGGATAGTAGCCTCTGTTAGGTGGCTCAAGTCCACTACCAGCACTTCTGTAGGTGCTTGGTAAATCTTTGTGGAGCAAATACTGGTGCTCTGCCTGGGCCTGTCTGCTTCCCTTGCTCTGAGGCCTCAGGGTAAATTCCAGGCCTCCTTGCTTTCTCCTCTCACTTCCTGTATTTCCATCCACCTTCAGCAGCTCATCTCGGACTTGGTGGATGCTGGTCCCTCCCCGATGCTCTCCTTACTCCTCTCTTGGTAGCTTTTTTTTTTTTTTTGAGACTGAGTCTTGCCTTGTCACCCAGGCTGCAGTGCAGTGGTGCAATCTCAGCTCGCTGCAACCTCTGCCTCCCGGGCTCAAGTGAGTCTCGTGCCTCACCCTCCTGAGTAGCTGGGATTACAGGCGCCCACCACCACGCCTGGCTAATGTTTGTATTTTTAAAAGAGATGGGGTTTCACCGTGTTTGCCAGGCTGGTCTCGAACTCCTGACCTCAAGTGATCTGCCCGCCTCGGCCTCCCAAAGTTCTGGGATTACAGGCATGAGCCACCGTGCCCGGACTCTTGGTAGCTTTTCAACCGTGCCCACTCCATTCACCCCAGGAGCCTGCCCTGCTCCCAGTCTGTGCCTTGTTCCTGCTCTGGGACACTGGGTCTGACTTGGTGCCTCTGTCCCACCCTTGCTGGACCCCACAGCTGAGCGCCGACCTGTGAAACACTGTCTCTCAGATATAATCTGTTCCTGAGTGGAGAATGAGTTGGTCCTCTCCCCAACCCTCAGCTCAACTGAATCAGCATAGACTCTAAAAAAGGAATTTTCATCAGGAATCTCTGTGAACATAGGGAAGGAGACAGAGGGGCTTGGTTTAGGCCCTAGCCTGGGGAGTGGTGTTTAAATCTAGCCCAGTCTTCCACCTGCTGCGTGGAGTTGGCAGTGTGAGGTACCGGGAGGTGGGGCTACTTCACTTGTGGCGTGGGGACAATGACACCTACACTCAGTTTGTCCTAAGGGTCAGAGGACATCTGGTAGGCACTGAGGCCAGTGAATGCCTGGTCATGATTTAATTTTTGTAAAACGAAAACTGTCCCCATTAAACAATAACTCCTGCTTTCCCCTCCCCGCAGTCCTGGCCCCCACCATTCTACTTTCTGTCTCTTAAGACTTAAGGGGGACACCATGCAGATTTCTTCTTTTTTTTTCTGAGACAGGGCCTCGACCTCCTGGGCTCAAGTGATCCTACTGCCTCAGCCTCCTGAGGACTACAGGCAAGCGCCACCATACCCAGCTAATTTTTTGTTTTTATTTTTTGTGGAGATAGGGTCTCATTATATTGCTCAGGCTGATCTTGAACTCCTGGCCTCAAGCGATCCTCCTGCCTTGGCTTCCCAAAGTGCTGGGATTACAGGCGTGCACCACCACGCTGGCCTTTGTTGTTGTTGTTGTTGCCCAGGCTGGAGTGCAGTGGTGCAATCACGGCTCACTGCAGCCTCGGCCTCCCAGGCACAAGTGATCTTCCTGCCTCAGCCTCCTGAGTAGCTAGGACTATAGGCATGTGTCACCACACCTGACTAATTAAAAAAAATTTTTTTTTTTTTGTAGAGATGGGGCCTTACTATGTTGCCCAGGCTGGTCTTGAACTCCTGGGCTCAAGCTATCCTCCTGGTTTGGCCTCCCAAAATGCTGAGATTGTAGCTGTGAGCCACTGCGCCGGCCCCTATGCAGATTTCTGTTGCTCTTTTTTTACGTAGAGTTGCCTCCTTTCTAGAACTCTGTCCTGGAACTATGTTTAGCTTCTTCAGCTTCTCCAACCTGATTTTTATCTCAGGGAGATGCCACTGCTTTGCCTGGGACTGTTTTCTGTCACGTGGCCTGAAATGTGCCTCTAGGCAGAAAGCCAGGATGATCATAGTGTTCCTGTCTCCGGGTCCCAGTCCTGTGCTGCCTGTTGCATCACAGGACAGTTTTACAAAATGTTTGTATAATTTCTGAAAATCATTGTTTCATAACCTTTTTTTTTTTTTTTTTTTTTGAGACAGAGTTTCACTCTGTCACCCAGGCTGGAGTGCAGTGGCGCAATCTCAATCTTGGCTCACTGCAACCTTCGCCTCCCAGGCTCAAGCGATCCTTGTGCCTCAGCCTCCCCAGTAGCTGGGATTACAGGCATGTGCCACCATGCCTGGCTAATTTTTGTATTTTTAGTAGAGACAGGGTTTCACCTTATTGGCCAGGCTGATCTCAAACTCCTGACCTCAAGTGATCCACCCGCCTTGGCCTCCCAAAGTGCTGGAATTACAAGCGTGAGCCACCGTGCCCGGCTGTTTCATAACATTTTTTAGTTGTTTGTAGTGGAGTGTCCATGTAAATCCTGGTTCTGTCTTAGTCCTTTGTGGCCAGAAGTCTCCATATTTATTTTAAAAATCGATTGTCCTGCATTGGTTTGTAGGAATTCTTTTTACATTTTTGATGGAAATCCATTGTCTGTTGCATGTGTTATGAATATCTCTCCCAGTTTTTAACTTGTCTTCTCAATTTAATTAATTTGTTTTTGAGATGGGGTCTAGCTATATTCCCTAGGCAGGTCTCAAGCTCCCGGACTCAAGTGATCCTCCTACCTTGGGCTCCCTTATTTTTTTATTTTTCAATTTTATTTAAGGTATCTTTTGATGAACAGAAATTCTTAATTTGAATAGTGTTGAATGTTTTTGTAATTAGTGCTTTCGTGTGTCTCAAGACAGAAGTTGTAAAGTTTTGCTTTTGAGATTTATATTCTTCATCCAACAATGGTGGATTTTTATTTTGAAGTAGTTACCCAGTTTCATCTTTAAAATGGGTGTGGTTCTATTGTTAGCTTTTCTGTTATATTCCTTTTTTTTTCTTTTGGTCTATTCTTGCATTAATACCACACTGTTTTAATTGTTATTGTTTTATAATATGTCCTGATATCAGGGCTAGTCCCCATCCAGAATCTTCTTCAGAAGAAGTGTCCTGAGTATTTGTGTATTCCTGTTCTTTTACTCTTCTATGTCAATTTTAGAATCAGCTTATTGAATTATGTTGGGATTTTTTTCTTTTCTGGAGATAGGGTCTCACTATATTGCCCAGGCTGTTCTCAAACTCCTGGGCTGAAGCAATCCTCCTACCTCAGCTTGCTGAGTAGCTGATACTGCAGGCATGTACCACTGTGCCTGGCCTATTGTGATTTTTATTGGACTTACATTGAATAAAGATCAATTGGTATGAGATTTACATTTAAAATTAAGATGCCTCTATTTAAAATCTTTTATTATGGAAAATTTCAAACCTATTGAAAAGTAGAGAAAATAGCCTGACGGGCCCACATGTATTCATCACCCAGCTTGTACAATTATCAGCATTTTGTGAATCTTGCTTCATTTATCTCCCTCTTGCCTTTTTTTCCCTAGAGTATTTTAAAGCAAATCCCAGGCACTTTATTGTTTTATGAGTATTTCAGTATCTCCACGGGTAAGAACTTTGATATTTAACATAACAATGACATTATGATGTCTAACAAAATTAACACTGAGAATACACACACACACACACACACACACACACACACACACGTATATATATTTAAAGATGGATCTTGCTGTGTTGTCCAGGCTGGTCTCCAACTCCTAGGCTCAAGCAATCCTCCTGACAAACTGTTGGAATTACAGGCTTGAGCCACTGTGCCCAGACTTTTCTTTTCTTTTCTTTTCTTTTCTCTTTTCTCTTCTCTTCTCTTTTTGAGATGGAGTTTTGCTCTTGTTGCCCAGGCTGGTGTGCAATGGCGTGACCTCTGCTCACTGTTACCTCTACCTCCTGGGTTGAAGTGATTCTCCTGCCTCAGCCTCCCGAGTAGCTGGGATTACAAGAGCGAGCCATCACATCTGGCTAGTTTTGTATTTTTAGTACAGACGGGGTTTCACCATGTTGGCCAGGCCGGTCTTGAACTCCTGACCTCAAGTGGTCCGCCTGCCTCGGCCTCCCAAAGTGCTGGGATTACAGGCGTAAGCCACCACGCCCAGCCTGTATTTTGAATTAAATTTATATTTTAAAAACTAAGGTTCGGCCAGGCACTGTGTCTCACGCCTGTAATCCCAGGTACTTGAGAGGCTGAGGGTCTCTGAGGTAGGAGCGTCGCTGGATTCCAAAGGTCCAGGCTGCATGAGCCGTGACCATGCCTCTGCACTCCAGCCTGGGCAATAGAGTGAGACTCTGTCTAAAAAATAAAAACTAGAGGCCAGGCACGGTGGCTCACGCCTGTAATCCCAGCACTTTGGGAGGCTGAGGCGGGCAGATCACGAGGTCAGGAGATCGAGACCATCCTGGCTAACACGGTGAAACCTCGTCTCTACTAAAAATACAAAAAAATTAGCCAGGCGTGGTGGCAGGCGCCTGTAGTCCCAGCTACTCGAGAGGCTGAGGCAAGAGAATGGTGTGAACCTGGGAGGCAGAGCTTGCAGTGAGCCAAGATCGCGCCACTGCACTCCAGCCTGGGCGACAGAGCGAGACTCCGTCTCAAAAAAAAAAAAAAAAAAAAAAACACACACACAAAGAATTTATTTTTTGTAGAGATGAGGTCTCACCACGTTGCCCAGACTGGTCTCAAACTCCTGGGCTCAAGCGATCCTGTCTTGGCCTGGTATTACAATCATCTGGGATTATAGGTGTGAGCCACCATGACCAGCTGATTTGCTAATGTTTTGCTTTTTTACATATATGTTTATGGAGATATTGGCTTGTAAATTTCCTTCCTTTTAATGAGCTTGTCAGAATTTGGTATCAGTGTTACACTAGGTGTATTAGTTTATTGTTTGTTTTTGAGATGGAGTCCAGTTCTGTCGCCCAGGCTGGAGTGCAGTGGCGTGATCTCGGCTCACTGCAAGCTCCGCCTCCCAGGTTCTAGGTATATTAGTTTATTAGCATTGGTAAAGTCCATAAACAGAATAGCTTAAACAGCAATATTTGTTCTTTACAGTTCTGGAGGCTAAAAGTCTAAGATCAAGGTGTCTGCAGGGCCTTGCTCCCTCAGGTGCTAGGGAAGGATCTCTTCCAGTCCTCTCTCCTTGCTTCTGGTAGTTCCTTCCTTGTGGCAACACACCTCCAATCTCCACATGGCATTTTCCCTGTGTGTGTGTGTCTGTGGTCAAATTTCCCCGTTTTATAAAAGCATCAGCTATGTTGGATTAGGGAGCCACCCCACTGCAGTTGACTTCATCTTAACCAGTTACATCTTCAACAACCTTATTTCCAAATTAGGTCACACTCTGAGGTACTGGGGATTAGGACTTCAGCATATGAATTTGGTGGGGGCACAATTTACCTCACAATGCTGGGCTCGTAAAATGGTTGGGGAGTTTTATGAGATGAGCATAACCTTCTTTTTATGCAAGTCTTGGTAGATTATGGGTCGATGTCTTACCGGTTTTGGAAACATTTCAAGCGTTATGTATTCAGACATTACTTCTTCCCCATTCTTTCTACTCCTTCTGGGACTCTAATTAAGGGTATTTGTGACCCTACTCCCCACATTCTCTTATACTTTGTTCTCTATCCATTCTCTTTATTCTCTTCGTGAGTTTTAGGATATTTTCTATCGACCTGTCTTCCAGTTCACCAATAGTTCACTTCTGACTTCTCTAATTTGCTTAAACCTGTCTCTTGAATTTTTGGTTTCAGTTAACTGTATTTTTCTATTAAAGAAGCTCAATTCGAGCCAGTGCAGTGACTCACACCTATAATCCTAGCACTTTGGGAGACCTCATCTCTATAAAAAATAAAAATTAAAAAAAAAAAAAAGAAGCTCAATTTGAGTCTGGATGCGGTAATCCCAGCACTTCAGGAGGTCGAGGCAAGAGGATTGCTTGAGGCCAGGACTTCGAGACCAACATGGGCAATATAGTGAGACCCCCGTCTCCTCAAAAAATAAAAATAAAAATAAAATATTAAGCTGAGCGTAGTGGCTTATGCTTGTAATCCCAACACTTTGGGAGGCTGAGGTGGGCGGACCACTTGAGCTCAGCAGTTCAACACCAACCTGGGCAACATGGTGAAACCCCATCTTTACAAAAAATACAAAAAATTAGCCAGGGGTGGTGGTGCATGCCTGTGGTCCCAGCTACTTGGGAAGCTGAAGTGGGAGGATCCACTTGTGCCTGGGAAGTGGAGGTTGCAGTGAGCCGAGATTGTGCCACTGCACTCCAGCCTGGGCGACAAAGTGAGACCCCATCTCAAA
This sequence comes from Homo sapiens, assembly GCF_000001405.40. Classification (NCBI taxonomy): domain Eukaryota; kingdom Metazoa; phylum Chordata; class Mammalia; order Primates; family Hominidae; genus Homo; species Homo sapiens. Next base: position 143,999,216 of record NC_000008.11, on the reverse strand, counting down.
AAGAAAAAAAATAGCCAGGTGTGGTAGTGAGCGCCTGTGGTCCTAGCTACTTGGGAGGTTGAGGCGGAAGGATCTTGAGTCCAAGAGATTGAGGCTGCAGTGAGCCATGACTGTGCCGCTGTACTCCAGCATGGTCAACAGAGACCCTGTTGAAAGACAGAAAGAACAAGAAAGAAAGAAGGAAGGAAAGAAAGAAAGAAGGAAGGAAGGAAGGAAGGAAGGAGAAAGAATTAAAGAAAAGCTTGATTTGATTCTTTTTTTTTTTTTTAAACAGGGTCTCACTCTGTCACCCAGGCTAGAGTACAGAGGTGTGATCATGACTCACTGCAGCCTCAAACTCCCTAGCTCAGGTGATCCTCCCGCCTTAGCCTCTTGAGTAGCTGGGACTACAGGCACACACAACCATGCCTGGCTAATTTTTGTATTTTTTGTAGAGATGGGGTTTTGCCATGTTGCCCAAGCTGGTCGCAAACTCCTGGGCTCAAGTGATCCGCCTGCCTTTGCTTCCCAAAGTGTTGGGATTAAGGCCAGCCCTTGATTCTTTTTATAAAATCCAATTGTCTGGGAAAATTCTCCACATTTTCTTCCAGTCTTCTCCATTTCCATGTGTATTTTTCTTAACATCCACCATATTTATTTAAAGTCCTTATTTGCTGTCTTTAATCTTTGAGTCACCTCTGGGTCTGTTTCCTCTTGGTTTTCAGTCATAGTGTCCTTTCTTTTGAAATGCCTAGTAATTTTTAACTGAATGACAAGTGTTGTCTATAAAAAATTGCAGAGGTGGTGGATAATATCTTTTTCCAGAAAGCACTTGCCTTGTCTGATTACCTTCAACCAATAGAGGCAGAGCTGAGCGGAGTCTGGGTTGTAGTTTTGCTAAAGCTCTGTCTGGTTCACATCTGCCCCTGGTCCAAGCCCTCTAGGTTCCTAGCTGAGAGCCTGGGGTCTCGCCAGTGATCCTTCGCTGGGTGGGTCCTGAATGAGAATCCCTGTCTCCTGAGTGCAACTGCTGTGAATCACACAGCTGCAACTCTTTCCTCACAGTTGAGGGGTCTCTCTTTACATTTATTTATTACATTCCTGCTCAGCTACATATATTTAAGTGTTTTAGAATATTTTGTCTTGGCTAGGCACGGTGGCTCATATCTGTAATCCCAGCACTTTGGGAGGCCAAGTTGGGAGGATCGCTTGAACCCAGGAGTTTGAGAACAGCCTGGGCAATATAGCAAGACCCTGTTTCTACAAAAATAAAAATAAAAATAAAATTAGCCAGGCATGGTGGTGGGGCACCTATAGTCCCAGCTACTTGGGGGACTGAGGTAGGAAGATTGCTTGAGCCTGGGAGGTTGAGGTGCAGTGACCCATGATCTGTGTCCCGGTCTGGGTGACAGAGTAAAACCCTGTCTCAAAAAAAAGGAAAAAAAAAAAAGAATTTTGTGTAGCAAATTTTATGTGTTAAGAGTGGGAGTTGGTTGCTTCAGTTACTGCTGGGAAAAAAAAGAGTGGGAGTTGGGATCTCAGGTCCCAACTCCTGGGACTCAGTTCAGTCCACCGTCTTGGCTGGAAGTTCTCCAAAGAGAACTTCAAAGAAGTGAAGGAGTTTAAGCAGGGGAATGACATTATTCGATTGTTCATCAAAAAGATCCCTTTGTGGTGCTGAGGCTAGATTAGGGGTTGCTATAGAGGTGATCATGGCCTTGCCTTCAGGGAAGGGCACAAAGTTGAGAGTGTTCAGAAGATAGAACCAGAAATAGCCAAGGGTCGTGATAGCATTTGGGTTAGAGAGGAAGATTTTGAGCTTGGTACTCGAGTCCTCCCACGAAGCTGTGGATACCAGTGAAAAGCTGGCCAGACTGGGAGGAAGGAGTTGCACGACAGCCTCGGGTTTGGAAGTTGCAGTGAAAGGGCAAGAGATGTGGATGACAGAGTGAAGTGGGTCCAGAGGGTGGAGGGCCTGCAGAGAGAAGAGGTATTATCCAGCAGTGAAGAGATGGGAGTTGAGAAGTTGGGGGTGGTATTTGCATTTTGGGCATTCTGAAAAGTCTTCAGTGTGTCCTACAAGCCTTAGACAAAGTAGACATTTGGGAGACATTTGTAGTGTCTTGATGCCAGCATGAGCCAAGCCATCCTGCTGCCTGGGAAGCAGCATCTGGGCCCTGGCGGAGGAGGGGCCACCTTGAGAGCCTACAAGGCTGGGACCAGGTCCCCCAGGAGTCCCTCCCCTCCCCCTTCCCGCTGCCCCCAAGTCTGGGTCTCCCTGCCTGCACCATCACCATAGTCTTCACTGATCTTCCTGCCTCTACTTAAACCATCTCAAGGATGATCACTGCCTACAATATACAGTTCAGACTTTTGAGCTTTTTACTTATGGCCTCGACTGGCCTCCTCAGCCCGCTGCGAGTCTCCCATGCGTCCTCTCCTTCTTCTACCTGCTTCCCCAAATGTGTCTCCTGCATCCCCTGGGCTTTAATGTTGCTCTCTGCACTCCTCAGATGCTGACGTTGAGCCAAGGTCCAGCAGATTATGGCGTCCTCTGGGCCTGGTGAGGGCAGTGAGCATTCATGCTGATCATGCCGTGAAAAGGTCATTCCTTCCTTTCACGTTTGACGCCTGTGGTGTGCCAGGCCCTGGACTAGGTGCTAGGCTGGATGTTAAAACTCACAGAGCACAGTCTCTGTTCTGAAGGTGCTTCCAATCCAGAGCTGCAGAACAGTGGCCCCAGTTAGCCAGAGGCAGTGGAATGGGGTTCCCGTGCTGGTTTCACCTGAGCTGGGGTCCAGAGCTGGCCCCAACTGTCTGTTAGGGTTTCAGCAGGCACCGTTGATTGACAGCGTTGCTTTGCAGGGTGGGGAATGGGGTGGAGACTTGGACATTTTGTTCCATAGATGTCTGTGTTGTTTAATCTTGAAATCAAGTGTGGGTTTAATATTTGCTTACGTATATAACTTGTTTTTTGATTGAGAAATAAATTCCTTTATTTAAGTCTCTTTTTGGCCTTCATATAGTCAGTGACCTGTGTCAGTGCTCCTTGTGAAGCCCCGGGGACACGCCCATGCTTGAACACGCCCGTGGCTGCTCATCGTGGGGGAGCGTCCACACCCTGGGGCGTCGTGTTAAGAGGGTGCTGGAAAGGACTTCTTACAGGATTTGGCTTGAGTAATCTGGGGGAGGGTTTAGGGAAGCGGGACTCTGCTCTGGATTGGTGCTGTCAGGAAGCAGGCGTCATTCTGCAACTGGGAATCTCAATGCATCGTATTTGGAAGGAGGACAGACTAGAGCCAGGCTAGAGCTGTCAGCTGTGAAGAGGCAGCAGCCACTCAGACTGGCTGGGACAGGGCACTGCTTGCCCTTTTTACAGCTTGGACAGTGCCCATGTTTTGTCTGTGTTCAGAGTGATAACAGAGGGGTCTTGTTTTTGTATTGATCCATCATGGTCAGAGTAGTCTGATGTTGATGTTCTATGCAATTTTAACCAGGAGACACTGAGGGCTCTATCTGTGAGTGCCAGGACAGCTCCTAGCAACACCAAGGCCTCTATCTGTGAGTGCCAGGACAGCTCCTAGCAACACTGAGGCCTACAAGATAGGACCAGATCAGCTCCCAGATGTCAGCGACTGGTCTTCTTTCTACCTGAAGAATCAGTGTGGTGGCCTCACAATTGCTACAGGTGCGTTCAGCCTCATGACTCCATGTGAGCACCCCGTGCCGATTCATCTGCCTGGCCACATCACCACGTACTCGGACTCATTTCACTCCCTGGCTGGGACACAGCAGATAGCAGACCTCTCAGTTGTCAGACACATCCCACTGGCCTTCGGCTGTGCCCAGCCTGGCTTAATTGGCACCTCCCGATGCTTCTGGAGGCGTCTGTGCTCCCAGCTCCTCTCTGGCATGTCTCAATGGCTTCCTTGTGGCCCACTTCACCTGTTCACAGCCCCATGACTTCCCCTGCACCGTCTATTGCCAGACTCATCTTCCTAAACACAAACCCAGCTGTGGCCCCTGCCTGAGTGCCCTTCACCTGCAGGATAGGCCCAAGCCCTCCTGTGTTCAGCCCTGGCCTTCTCTCTGGCAGTGGGGGTCTTTGCTGTGGACCCTCCACCCCCTGGCCCTGTCCCACACCTCTGGAGCTTGCCGTTCCCAGGGAGCCTCACTAAAGCCTCTCCCTCTCAGCCAAGAGTTTGTGTCCGTCTCAAACTCCTCAAGAAAACAATGTCCTGGCACATTTCACTTGGCAGTTACTCCCGAGACCACCCCTGCCCCCGCCCTGACGTTCTCGTTAGCCACATAAACACTTTATTCTCCTCTTTCGTATAAAATCCTGAGGGGTCTGGGAGCTAGAGCTAGGCAGGTTCTTTCTCCTCCTCAGCATGCTGGAGCACAGGCGGGCACCCAGAGGAGGAACTGCACCTGCTCAGGAAATAGCCGGAAGGGGAGGTGGGGGAAGGGGGAGCCGTGTGGCCCACTCGCTGCTCAGCATGTGATTAGCCGCTGCAGAGGGCAAGGTGGACTCCAGGAGGTGCCCTCGTGGCTGGGAAGGCAGTGTGTGTCCCCACACTGGCAGAGGGACTGTCTGTGAACAATGACAGCACTGCAGCAGGGAGCCCACTCGTGACTCAGGTTGTGCAGGGTCAGGGCCCCCGGCTGAGAGGCAAAAGGACAACAGGAGGGCAGCTGGAGCCACCAGTGGGCAGATGGCAGGGCCCGCGTACCAGGCTAAGGAGCGTGGACTTCATCCTGAGGGCACCACCGAGGGTTTTAGGCAGGCGGGTAGTGCAACGGATGTGATTGATGTTTCAGAAACACACCGCTAGGGTCCTGGTGGAGGGCGGGGCAGGCGAGGAGGCCAGGTGAGGCAGGGGAGGTTGGGAGGGAGAGGGAAGCGGGGCAGCCCCTGCTCTGGCCTGGAGATAATGCAGGAGCAGGTTTCAGGAAGGATGAGCTTGGCTCTGGGCACCCCACAACTGCGGTGCCCGCGGACATCAGGGTGGTGCTGGCTTCGTACACAGAGGTGCTAAGGGGACTGACTGGGCAGTGGGGAGGGGCCTTGAGAGATCCTCAGGCCACGCTGCATGCAGAGCCTCGAGGCTGCAGTGGGAATATCCAAGTCCAAAGCTGCCTCTGGGCCTAGAGCCGCGGGGTGTGAGAGCTCAGCAGGGCTCAGACCAGCCAGGTCCCAGGCAATGGAGGGACCCCCTGCAGGAGCAGCAGGCGTCACAGGGCAGGAAACGCACTGCAGGCTGGGGCTGAGGGCTCCAAAGGACCGGGCCTGGGCAGGCCAAGGGGCCCAAATGGCTGAGCCCTCAGTCTCTGTCCAGCTCTTGGACGGGATCTCCAGCCTGTGTTTCTCATGGGGAGGCTGGAGAGAGGCAGGCCTGGGTGGAATATCAGGGTGCCCACACAGATGGACTGCACAGAGCTGGGGAGGCCCAAGGAGCGCCCAAGGAGCATGGCAGGCTGCCCTGGGGCAGGCCAATGACCTGTGCCGCTGGCCCAGGCGACAGAAGAGTGAGGCGGCTATACCGTGCCATCTCCACGGAGCACCTGGTAGACACAGCCAGGCCACTTACCATTGGGGTACCCCAGCACAGGCTTAACTCACTCTGGGCACCCCAGGGTCTCTGTCCATCAGTTGGGAACCCAACACACACCTTATGATGTAGCTGTGTGTGGGCAGAGGCTTGGCACTGTATTAATCTCCACTATTCATTTCTGGTCCTGTGTCTCCATCAGCAGGGAGGGCCTGGAGCCCCTCCCAACTTCATGTTGAAAGTGGCAGGGAGAAGAGTGACCAGGGGAAGGCAGAGAGCAAATCCCATTTATTGGAATTTCACTGACAACAAATTGAGAGGAAGGCTTCCCCCTCCCCTGAAACATGCCATCCTCTCTGCCCTCAGGGCTCAGCACAGGGATAAGACCCCCACTCCGCATGTCCCCAGAGGGCAGCACTCCAGGGGGGTGGGGGGGAGGGGAGGGGTGCTCTACGCCAGGCTGGGGAGCTGGGACAGGAGGGAAGACGTGCACCCTCACCTCTTGGCTCAATCCCTCTCCCCGGGACCTGGTGCTGCCCCCAGTCCCTGGGGTGGGCTGGCAGACAGGGCTCATGCAACAATGAGTAGACAGGAGGTGGCACGGAAACGTGGCCTTGGTGCCCCTTGGCGGGGGCGGGAGGACTAAAGGGGCCATGCTGTGGCCACAGCGGGTCCAAATGGAAGTATCTGCAGTGTACATACAGGAGGGTTGGAGAGAGGCATCCTTTTCCCTAGGCTGTGCCTGGGGACAAGAGAGAGGGGAAGTACAGCTGGCACTGCCGTGCCAGGGGCAGGGTCCAGGCCAGCCGTGCCACCTGAGCGGGCACAGCGAGCTGGAGCTCGGCTACTCCTTGGCGCGGCCAATGATGGTGAGGATGTACAGGAAGATGTTGATGATGTCTGTGTACAGGTTCAGCGCAGCAAACACATACTCTTCTGGGCTCAGGGACAGCTGCTTGTTCCCCAGTAGCAGCTGGGTGTCCACTGCGAGGAACTGGAGGTGACAGCACAGTGGTGTTGAGGGACAAGCCTGCCTGCCCAGCATCCCGCCCCCGGCCAAGGTCACCCCTCACTCACGCAGGTGAAGAGCAGAGCGCCCAGTGAGGCGTACACGATCTCCAGGATGCGGTTCCGGATGAAGATGCAGAGAATGGCGAAGATGAAGAGCACCACCATGCTCACCAGGAGCACGCCCATGCATGAGGTGAAGTCGTAGCGGGTCTGCAGGTGGGAGAGGAACGGGCCATGGGGCTGGGCCTGGGAAAGCTGCTCAGCCCCTGCGGCCACAGCCCAGCCACGGGAGGCCCCTCACCTGCATGGAGAAGATGACGACGGTGAAGCAGACGGCTGTGGTGATGCCCACGGCCATGATGACTGCCTCGGTGTTGTAGAAGCTGGCGATCATCCCCACCATGTACGACAGGCTGGCGGTCAGGACCGACTGCAGTTGGGAGACACAGGCTGACCTTGGGTGTGTGCCCCCATGCCACCCCTGCCGGCCCCTGCCTCATGAGCACAAGGAGAACCACGGTGACCAGGCCCGGAAGAGTGGGCGTGTGGGACTGCATGGCCGGACCCAGGCACAGAGGCTCAGGTTTGGGGGTTACCAGTGCAACAAGGTTCCAGGGGTGCTTTCGCCGGAAGTCCCCACAACAGCTGAGGACGATGAGAGAGATGAAGAAGACAGCATAGGAGACATAGTAGGTCCAGACATTCTCCCGGACAAAGCCCTTCACCTCCGCAACAAAAGTGAACACAGACACCGTGGACAGGGTCACCGACAGCTGCAAGGTCAGCACTAGGAACACCTGGGGAAGGAGCCGCTCAGAGTCATCCGCTGGGAGCCACAGCCCCCACCGCCTTGGAGATGCCCCTACCCACCTTGCGGATGAAGGCCTGTCGGATGCTCTTGTCATCCCAGTTGGTGGCAGGGAAGTCCTGGTTGTCATAGTAGGATGGGGGACCCTCCTCCTGGTAGTTTCCATGCTGGGGTGCTGAGAAGCAGACAGGCTGGGTCAGCGCCACTCACAAGCACCTCCCCCTGCCCTCCCGGCCACCCCACCCCTCCCTTCCTGAGACTCACAGTCAGGGTCTTGTCCTGGGAAGACCTGTGGCTGTCCATAGGGGTTGGGGGGGAAGGGGCTCTGGGGATATGGCCCCTGGGGGTAGCCCCCTTGGGGGTAGGGGCCCTGTGGGTAGCCCTCTTGTGGGTAGGGGCCCTGTGGGTAGCCCCCTTGGGGGTAGGGACCCTGTGGGTAGCCCCCTTGGGGGTAGGGGCTGGGGCCATGGGGGTACCCTGGCTGACCGTAGGGGGAGGGCTGGAAAGGGGGCTGTGGGTAAGGGGCCCCAGGGTAGGGAGGCTGAGCATAGGGGGGCATGGGTGGCTGGGGCCCCCCCGGATATCCAGGGTTGGGGGGAGGATAGTTGTCCCCAGACACCAAAAAACTCTTTTCATGGGACATGGCCTCGGGTTCCGCGGTCCGCCCCTAGAGAAGACAGACAAGGAACAGTGGAACAGTTGGCTTGACGACAGCGTCGGGACCCAGCCCTGCGCAACTCCACCTGCTTCTGGGAACCCAGGGGGAAGCAAGGGAAGACCGTGACCTTTGCCCCGGGCTGTGGGGAGCCCCGGAGCCTGGGCCCGGAGAAGCGCGTGAGGACCGGACGGGCGGCGCCGTGGGGCCTTCCCAGGGCTCTAGGCCGCCTTTAGGGTGGGGGAGGGGCCGGGCGAGGGGACGACCGCCAGCCTCGGGATTTGGGGCTTGGGTCGTTTCTCACAAGCAACCGGAGGCCTGCGCCGCTGCCGGCGTCTCCCGGGTGGGAGCTCAGCGCGGAGGCTGGGGTCTCGGCCGGGGACGTGTGGGGTGTGCCCGGACCCTCCCCTCCGCATCCCGCCCCTTAAGCAGCTTTAAGGGGCCGGAGCCGGCGGCTATTTCTATCCCAGGAAATCCCCGGGCCATCTGTGACCAACAAAGGCCCGAGCCCCCCCACCCCCGCGAGCCCAACAACAGGGCCCAACGGCCCCTGGCTCCGGGGTGGGGGGATCGGGCCTGGATCGGCTGCCGGTGCCTGCCAGTGGGGTACGCCGGGAACAGCGGGGTGCGGGGGTGTGTGGGGGATGGAAGCGACCACGGGGCGTGCGGGGAACAAAGCGGGCGTGGGGCGAGGCGGGTAGGGGCTGCGGCCGTGGCACTGGCACCGAGAGCGGATGGGCCCTCCGCGGGCCGGGGGCGCACAGGGTCACGGGTCCAGCAGTCGCCGCAGCGCGCCGCCCCCTCCCTCCGGCTCCAGGCCGCCGCGGCTCCCCGCCCCCACCACCGCCGCCACCTCTGGCCGCGAGCTGCCGCGCGCCCCGGCCGGACCAACTTACTGACCCGAGGCGGCCACGCTCGGATGCGCAAGATCCGCGTGGGGGCGGGGGCGGGGGCGGCAGGCCGCGCGGCGCAGCGGGTCAGAGGCGCTCCTGGGCTCGGGCCGGGGACTCACCGGTGGCCGGGCGCCGCAGGCCGGTACGCACGGTGTCCGCTGCGCGGCCGCGCGGTGATGGCCGATGCGCCCGCACCCGCACCCGCTCGGCGGCCGCTCAGCTGGGCCTGCGCCTGCGGCTCGGAAGACGCAGCGGGGCCTTGTGACGGGGCGGGGCAGGGGGCGGGGCCGGGCGAGCTTCGGGGTGGGAGGGGCAGGTGGGCGGGGCTTCCGCGGACCCCTCCCGCTGCGCCGCCTTGCGTGTTCCTCTTCGCTCCGGCCAGAGGCCCGCCTCTCACTGTCTGCCGAGGGGTGGGGTCGGGCGGTGGGCGCTGAAGACCCCTGGAGGCAGAAGTCTGGTCTGGCCAATTTGACTGGCCGTTCGGTAGTTAAGAAATTTATTCCTAAATGCGGGATTTGCTGAAGCTGCCCGGGACTGACCGTCCGTTCTCGGCCTTAAAACCCGACGTTCACTTCTTTTCATCCAGATCTCTCCCAAATCAAGAAGCCTAATCCTTTAGTTCCCAAATCGAGGCCTCGTGGTTTAATTGCCCCATTTGCTCTGTCAGCCCAAACTCTGCCAGGCCTGCTACTAGAGACCCTTTTTTATTTTTTTAATTCTTGTGGATACATAGTAGGTGTATATTTACGGGCTACATGGGATGTTTTGATACAGGCATGCCATGGATAATAATCACATCAAGGTAAATGGGGTATCCATCAGCTCAGGCATTTTGTCCTTCGTGTTACAAACAATCCAGTTATACTCTTGGAGTTGTTTTAAAATGTACAATTATTCTTGACCACAGTCACCCTTTGTACTAACAAATACGATGTCTTGTTTTCACACTAGAGACCCTGAACGCTCGCTTGTCTGCCTAACGTCCTCACAAGCTGCGAGGGGCTGAGGCTTGGGGATGCAGCAGGACTGGAGGCCAGGCCACCTCCCTGCTTAGCTCCCAAGTCCTCTTGGGGGAGCAGTGACTGACACAGGCAGGGTACATCCTGCTGCCAGCCTTCCCACCCGGGGCCCAGACCCCACCTGCCCTCCCGCCCTTGGAGGGCCGGCCTCTCCCAGGCCGCTCTGAGTCCTGCACCTATGGTGCGCTGGCGCAGTGTTTAGCAGCCGGACCTAGTGAGGGGAAGCCTGGGGTGCGTGTTTTGCACATGCGCGTGGTGTGAATACTCCACCGGGGCTGGTTTCAAGTTACCCCCAGCTGGACAACCAGTCCACAGAAATTCCCGAAACTGTACCAGTCTGCTTGTGGTGTGAGTGGTGCCTGTGGCAGGCCCTCTGCAGCCAGGGTCGGCGTAATGGATAACCTGTGATGAGTTCCATTAGAGAAAACGTGGAAAAAGCAGGGATGGATTTACCCTTGTAGAAGGTAACTTCTACCTTTGTAGAAGCAGAAGCTCACAAAATTTGAGAGACCTTTAAGAAAAATAAAATGCTTGCTGGGCGCGGTGGCTTACGCCTGTAATCCCAGCACTTTGGGAGGCCGAGGCGGGTGGATCACAAGGTCAGGAGATGGAGACCATCCTGGCTAACACGGTGAAACCCCGTCTCTACTAAAAATACAAAAAAAAATTAGCTGGGCGTGGTGGTGTGCACCTGTAATCCCAGCTATTGGGGGGGCTGAGGCAGGAGAATGGCTTGAACCTGGGAGGCAGAGGTTACAGTGAGCTGAGATCGTGCCACCGCACTCCAGCCTGCGTAACAGAGTGTGACTCTGTCTCAAAAAATAAATAAATAAGTAAATAAAAATAAAATAGCTGGGTATGGTGGCTGGCACCAGTAATCCCAGCACTTTGGGAGGCTGAGGCAGGTGGATCATCTGAGGTCAGGAGTTTGAGACCAGTCTGCCCAATAGGGTGAAACCCTGTCTCTGCTAAAAATACAAAAATTAGCTGGGCATGGTGGTGCGTGCCTGTAATCCCAGCTACTTGGGAGGCTTAGGCAGGAGAATCCCTTGAACCCAGTGGGTGGACGTTGCAGTGAGCCGAGATCACGGCACTTCACTCCAGCCTGGGTGAAAGGGCGAAACTCCGTCTCAGAAAAAAAAAAAAAAAAGGCAGAGTAAGGGAGATCATGCCAGAGGGGTGGCCATGGGGGTTTGTGGGGAAGGTAGGGCCAAGCAGAGGGAAGGGCCAGTCCCAGGCTACTGAGGCAGGAGTGGCCTGTAGCTCTGCAGGAAGAGCTGAGAGCCTGGAGCCCTCTGAGCATCAGGGTGTGCAGGGGGCATGGGGCCAGAGAAGGGACTGAGGTCTGGTCAGGTGCAGCTGGGCAGGGGGCAGGTCCTCAAAAGGACTTTGGGTTTTTGTTTTTTTTTTAGACAGAGTCTCACTCTATCACCTTGGTTGGAGTGCAGTGGCACGATCTCAGCTCACTGCAACCTCCACCTCCCAGGTTCAAGCTATTCTCCTGACTCAGCCTCCTGAGTAGCTGAGATTATAGGCACCTGCCACCATGCCCGGCTAATTTTTATATTTTTAGTAGAGACAGGGTTTTACCATGTTGGCCAGGCTGATCTCAAACTCCTGACCTCGTGATCCACCTGCCTCAGTCTCCCAAAGTGCTGGGATTACAGGCATGAGCCACTGCGCCCGGCCCCCAGGACTTTGGTTTCTACTGTTGCTGATGCTGGGAGCTGTAGCAGCTGCTGGTGTCATTTTACAAGGCTCACCCTGACACCTCTGTTGAGGACCCACCATGGGAGTGGCAGACAGAGACTAGTTAAGAGGTTAGCCTAGCTACCTAGCGAGAGATGCTGGAGGCTGGGACCAGGGTCGGGGCAGCAGAGGTGTGGCATGTGCAGGGCTAGGAGTGCAGGCTGGCCAGGGTCCTCAGCTCCCTGGAGGGAGGAACAGCAGGGGTGGGGCTGGGTTTTGGTGGGCTGAGGGGTGAGTGGGAAGTAGGAGATGGAGAGTGGTAGTGGCCACAGCTCTTTGAAAGGCTGGAAGCAAACGGAGCTTGGGTGATGTGGGAGATCTGTGGCGAGTGGGAGTGTGGACTCTGAAGGCACCGCCCAGGTTTGAGGCCTGGTGCTGCTATGGGCCTGTCTGCACCTCCGTTTCCCTTTCTGTGGTGAGGATTAGCGGCAGCAAGGAATGCAGTGGAGCCATTACCTTGTCACCTTCTGAGGTTACTTGTGACGATGCCAATGATGGTGTGAGATGGGGAGGTGCAGGCAGGACAGAAAGCTGCAGGAATGGGCAGGCAAGACCTGAGGCGGGAGGAAGGCTGTGCTGCAATGCACATTCTTGGAGACCAAGGGTGGGGAACCGCCCATGCTCAGCACCTGGCAGGTGTGAGGGACCAGGAGCAGGGTTGAGAAGGTTGCTGGGGGCGTTGAAGGCCAGCCTTGGCCGGGGGCGGGCCTGGAGACCCAGCACTTTGTGTGCAGAGGGTGTCATGGACACAGAGGCTTGGAGATCCTGAGTGAGGGGCAGTGACTCAGGCCCCTTGGTGGGTTTAGTGGGGCGGGTGATTGGCCATTTTCAGGCCATGGAGGCCAGGGGAGTGGAGGGCCACCAGGGGACACTCCTGTCTACCCTGCCAACCAGGGGCTGGAGTGGGCCAGGTAGGGCCGGTGGGCTGGGCTGGGTTGGCTGGAGGGTCCTGAGGGGTCCAGCCTGGCCAATACCTCCTGGTCAGCTGGGGGTTGAGGCTGCAGCAGGAGAGGAAGCATCTGAGCCCCAGTACCCAGGCCTCAGCGCCCAGGGCCCAGCTGCTCCCTCCCTCCTTCCGTCTTTCAGTTTCACTTTTGTTTTCCTGCTCCCAGCAGGGTTAGGCTTGCTGAGGGGCAGGCACAGGAGTCCTGGCTGAGCTCATGGCCTGAGGCTGCCTAGCGGCCACGGGGAATGTAAGTGCTGTATGTGGGGCCACCCATAATGGGGGAGCATTGAGGACACACCTTGGAGGGGCCTGGGGAGGGGCAGGAGGGGTGGAATGGGCTGTTTCCCTACCCACCTGATGCCCCGTCCCAGGGTTGCAATGGCGGAGGCAGAGGCAGGGGTGGCAGTGGAGGTCCGTGGACTGCCCCCTGCCGTGCCCGACGAGCTGCTCACTCTCTACTTTGAAAACCGCCGACGCTCTGGAGGGGGACCTGTGTTGAGCTGGCAGAGACTGGGCTGTGGGGGCGTCCTCACCTTCAGAGAGCCTGCAGGTGAGAGGGCTGGCTGAAGGGACAGCCTGGGTGCCCTGATATTCTAATGCCTGACATCCTGCCCCGCCCCTGCCCACAGACGCCGAGAGGGTCTTGGCCCAGGCAGATCACGAACTACATGGTGCCCAGCTGAGCCTGCGGCCAGCTCCACCACGAGCCCCTGCACGCCTGCTGCTCCAAGGACTGCCCCCTGGCACCACGCCCCAGCGCTTGGAGCAGCATGTCCAGGCCTTGCTGCGGGCCTCGGGGCTCCCAGTACAGCCTTGCTGTGCCTTGGCCAGCCCCCGGCCAGACCGGGCTCTGGTCCAGTTGCCCAAGCCCCTTTCTGAGGCAGGTGAGAGGCAGGGTTGGGGTTGAGGTGCTGGCTAGGGGGGATTCCCTGAGCTGACCTGCACATACCCCACAGATGTCCGTGTCCTGGAGGAGCAGGCCCAGAATCTGGGCCTGGAGGGGACCTTGGTGTCCCTGGCCCGGGTTCCCCAGGCCCGAGCGGTGCGTGTGGTGGGGGATGGTGCCTCTGTGGACCTGCTGTTGCTGGAGTTGTACCTGGAGAATGAGCGCCGCAGTGGTGGGGGGCCCCTGGAGGACCTGCAACGCCTACCCGGGCCCCTGGGCACTGTTGCCTCCTTCCAGCAGTGGCAAGGTGAGTGGGGCTGGGCAGACCCAGCCGACCGTCCCTCTCCTGCAGAAATCTGACAGGCTTTCTGTCCTTTCCCTTCCTCCAAGTGGCAGAACGAGTGTTGCAGCAGGAGCACCGGTTGCAGGGCTCAGAGCTGAGCCTTGTCCCCCACTACGACATCCTGGAGCCCGAGGAGCTGGCTGAGAACACCAGTGGAGGGGACCACCCGTCCACCCAGGGGCCTAGGGCTACCAAGCATGCTCTCCTGAGGACCGGAGGGTTGGTGACGGCTCTGCAGGGTGCAGGGACTGTGACAATGGGCTCTGGCGAGGAACCAGGGCAGTCAGGGGCCTCTCTGAGGACAGGTCCCATGGTGCAGGGTAGAGGGATTATGACAACAGGCTCTGGCCAGGAACCAGGGCAGTCAGGGACCTCTCTGAGGACAGGTCCCATGGGGTCTCTGGGACAGGCAGAGCAAGTCAGCTCGATGCCCATGGGGTCTCTGGAACATGAGGGGCTGGTAAGCCTGAGGCCTGTGGGGTTGCAGGAACAGGAGGGGCCCATGAGCCTGGGGCCTGTGGGGTCTGCAGGCCCAGTGGAGACCTCTAAGGGGTTGCTGGGGCAGGAGGGCCTGGTGGAAATTGCCATGGACTCACCAGAGCAAGAGGGGCTGGTGGGTCCCATGGAGATCACCATGGGGTCTCTGGAGAAGGCAGGGCCTGTGAGCCCAGGATGTGTGAAGCTGGCAGGGCAGGAGGGCCTGGTGGAGATGGTGCTATTGATGGAGCCAGGGGCGATGCGCTTCCTGCAGCTCTACCATGAGGACCTTCTTGCGGGCCTGGGAGACGTCGCTCTCTTGCCACTTGAAGGACCGGATATGACTGGCTTTCGGGTGAGTGACCCCTCAGGACTCCTCACCTTCAGCCCCCTCCTCCTACTGGGGACTCAAAGTACCTTTCCTGTGCTCTAAACCTGCAAACTCCATCTCTGCAATGGCCCTGCAGCTCTGTGGAGCCCAGGCTTCCTGCCAGGCGGCTGAGGAGTTTCTGCGGAGCCTGCTGGGCAGCATTAGCTGCCATGTGTTGTGCCTGGAGCACCCGGGCAGCGCCAGGTTTCTCCTGGGCCCAGAAGGGCAGCACCTTCTCCAGGGGCTGGAGGCTCAGTTCCAGTGTGTCTTTGGGACAGAGCGCCTGGCCACAGCCACGTTGGACACAGGCCTTGAAGAGGTAGAGATGGAGTCCCACCCCTGCCCTCCCCTTTCTCACGCCTCTGCCCCAGGCCTCCTCTGCCCTTGCCCAGAGGCTAGTGGTCCTGACATCCTCTCCCTACAGGTGGACCCTACCGAGGCCCTCCCAGTGCTCCCTGGCAACGCCCACACCCTGTGGACCCCAGACAGTACAGGTGGTGACCAGGAGGACGTGAGCCTGGGTAGGGCTCCCTGGGAGCCCTCAGCACATCCTGTGGCCCTCACTTGACCTCACCCCCTGCCCTGCTCTGTGCTCCCATCTGTCTACTGACCCATCTTAGGCCCACCCTGTACCCTAAAAACTTGCTCCCCATCTTTCATCCATTCCAACTCCTCCTGGGTCCAGCCCCTGACCCAATGGCCTCTCCCTGCCCCCAGAGGAGGTCCGAGAACTGCTGGCCACCCTGGAGGGCCTAGACCTAGACGGGGAGGACTGGCTGCCTCGGGAGCTGGAGGAGGAAGGGCCTCAGGAGCAGCCAGAGGAGGAGGTGACCCCAGGGCATGAGGAGGAGGAGCCTGTGGCCCCCAGCACTGTGGCACCCAGGTGGCTGGAGGAGGAGGCCGCTCTGCAGCTGGCCCTCCACCGGTCACTGGAGCCTCAAGGTCAGGTGGCTGAGCAGGAGGAGGCTGCTGCCCTGCGGCAAGCCCTAACCCTCTCCCTGCTGGAGCAGCCCCCGTTGGAGGCAGAAGAGCCCCCAGATGGGGGGACTGATGGCAAGGCCCAGCTGGTGGTGCACTCGGCCTTTGAGCAGGATGTGGAGGAGCTGGACCGGGCGCTCAGGGCTGCCTTGGAGGTCCACGTCCAGGAGGAGACGGTGGGGCCCTGGCGCCGCACACTGCCTGCAGAGCTGCGTGCTCGCCTGGAGCGGTGCCATGGTGTGAGTGTTGCCCTGCGTGGTGACTGCACCATCCTCCGTGGCTTCGGGGCCCACCCTGCCCGTGCTGCCCGCCACTTGGTGGCACTTCTGGCTGGCCCCTGGGATCAGAGTTTGGCCTTTCCCTTGGCAGCTTCAGGCCCTACCTGTGAGTCTACCTCCTGGACTGAGGGACGGTGGGGTGGGCTGGTTAGCAGGGGCTAGTGCCCCAGGCATGGCTCTGACCCCCCGCTTTTCCCCATGCATCAGTGGCGGGGCAGACGCTGAAGGGGCCCTGGAACAACCTGGAGCGTCTGGCAGAGAACACCGGGGAGTTCCAGGAGGTGGTGCGGGCCTTCTACGACACCCTGGACGCTGCCCGCAGCAGCATCCGCGTCGTTCGTGTGAGTCCATGCCCTGTCTCTCTGGCCTCATGGCGTCCTGGGCTCTTGCACCATTAGCGCCTTGCCAAGTCTGTGGCCTGTCCCTCTCGCCTACATCAAGGTCAGCTGACCAGGAGCTGACAGGCTCCCAGCCCTGTTCTCTGCCCAGAGGGCGTTCCCAAAGTGGGTAGGGAAACAGGAGGGAACAGAGTGGGGGCCTTGGGATCTGATAGGCCTGAGTGAGGGTCCCCACTCTGCCACTCGTGGCTGGGTCAGCAGGGACTATGGGACCAGCTCCAGGCCTCAGTTTCCTTATTTGGAGCATGGGGCGGTGATGCCATCTTGTGGTCATTTTGAGGATTACTCGCTCCACAGATGCGTCCCTTGTGCTGTTCTGGGCGCTCTTCTGCCTCCACAGAAAGGCCCGGGCTCGCTGCGGTCACTGTGCTGATGACACTGCGCGGGGCACTCTCTTTTTTGAGACGGCATCTCGCTGTGTCTCCTGGGCTGGAGTGCAGTGGCACGATCTCGGCTCACGGCAAGCTCCGCCTCCCGGGTTCACGCCATTCTCCTGCCTCAGCCTCCCAAGTAGCTGGGACTACAGGCGCCTGCCACCACGCCCGGCTAATTTTTTAAAAAATATTTTTAGTGGAGACGGGGTTTCACCATGTTAGCCAGGATGGTCTCGATCTACTGACCTCGTGATCCGCCCGCCTCGGCCTCCCAAAGTGCTGGGATTACAGGCGTGAGCCACCGCGCCCGGCCTTGCACGGGGCACTCTCAACTCTTGATGCCCAAAGTTGTGCGTGGGGCCAGCAGCATCACCCTCCACCAGGAGCTGGTCAGAAATGCAAAAAGAACCTCTGGCTGTCCCCAGACCTCACCACCATCATCACCACCATCACACCATCACCATGACCCTCACCACCATCATCACCACCATCATCACCATCACCCCATCACCATCACCACCACCATCACACCATCACCATGACCCTCACCACTCACTGTCATCACCACCACCATCACCATCACCATCATCACCACCACCTTCACCACTCACTGTCGTCACCACCATCATCACCACCACCTTCACCACTCACTGTCGTCACCACCATCATCACCACCACCTTCACCACTCACTGTCGTCACCACCATCATCACCACCACCTTCACCACTCACTGTCGTCACCACCATCATCACCATCACCTTCACCACTCACTGTCGTCACCACCATCATCACCACCACCTTCACCACTCACTGTCGTCACCACCATCATCACCACCACCTTCACCACTCACTGTCGTCACCACCATCATCACCATCACCTTCACCACTCACTGTCGTCACCACCATCATCACCACCACCTTCACCACTCACTGTCGTCACCACCATCATCACCATCACCTTCACCACTCACTGTCGTCACCACCATCACCACCACCTTCACCACTCACTGTCGTCACCACCATCATCACCACCACCTTCACCACTCACTGTCGTCACCACCATCATCACCACCACCTTCACCACTCACTGTCGTCACCACCATCATCACCATCACCTTCACCACTCACTGTCGTCACCACCATCATCACCATCACCTTCACCACTCACTGTCGTCACCACCATCACCACCACCACTACCACCACCACCGTGGCCACCATCATCACCACCATTAGCATCACCACTGTCACCGTCAGCTTCACCAACACACCGTCACCGCTCACCGCCACCAGGATCACCACCACCCAGACGCACTGACCTCATATCCTGGTGGTTTTGTTAATTATACGTACTTGGTTCTTCCGGTGAGCACCTTGATGACTTTAAATGGTATGCTTGAATTTAGTGAGCACCTTGATGACTTTAAATGGTATGCTTGAATTTTTTTTTTTCACTTGACAGCTTTAGAGATTGTTTCTTGCCTTCCCGCATGGAAGATGAGGAGAATGGGCCTCGCTTCTCTCTCTTTTGCCTCCTCCCTCATCTTCCATCTCAATTTGGTCAGTTACATTATTTTTATTATGTCGTAAAGGTTTCTGTAACTATCACAAAGCCTCCATGCGTGGGCCATAGGTTGGTAGACATACTATAATAATGAAAAAACATTTACCACTGAGCCATAGAAAGAGAAGTGAAATCCTAGTTATTAAAATTCTGTTCTGTAAAAAAGATGTTCTAGGATTCAAGGCTAATGGCTTTTCTTTTTTTGACTTTCTTCATTTTTTCCAGGCCATTCTTGACCACCGGGTTACTCAGTACCCCGCTTGTCACCTTTTGGCACAGACTCTTTTGTTTAGTGGGAGTATCTCCTTGAGTGGGTGCTAAACATATTTGACTTTTAAATTTACGTATATGTGAACATATATGTTTAAACATATACATTTATATATTAATATATACATTTATATATATAATTTTTTTGAGACAGTGTCTCTCTCTGTTGCCCAGGCTAGAGTGCAGTGGCATGATCTCGGCTCACTGCAACCTCCACCTCTTGGGTTCAAGTGATTCTGCCTCAGCCTCCCAAGTAGCTGGGATTACAGGCACACACCACCACACCCAGCTACTTTTTGTATTTTTAGTAGAGATGGTTTTTTTTTTTTTTTTTTTTTTTTTTTTTTTTGAGACGGAATCTCACTCAGTAGCCCAGGCTGGAGTGCAGTGGTGCAATCTCAGCTCACTGCAAGCTCTGCCTCCCGGGTTCACGCCATTCTCCTGCCTCAGCCTCCTGAGTAGCTGGGACTACAGGCGCCTGCCACCACGCCCAGCTTATTTTTGTATTTTTATTAGAGACGGGGTTTCACCATGTTAGCCAGGATGGTCTCAATCTCCTGACCTCATGATCTGCCCACCTCGGCCTCCCAAAGTGCTGGGATTACAGGCGTGAGCCACCGCGCCCGGCTGAGACGGGTTTTTTTTTTTTTTTTTTTTGAGACGGAGTCTCGCTCTGTCACTCAGGCTGGAGTGCAGTGGCACGATGTCGGCTCACTGCAAGCTCCGCCTCCTGCGTTCACGCCATTCTCCTGCCTCAGCCTCCTGAGTAGCTGTGACTACAGGCGCCCGCCACCGCGCCCGGCTAAATTTTGTATTTTTAATAGAGACGGGGTTTCACCATGGTCTCGATCTCCCGACCTCGTGATCCGCCCACCTCGGCCTCCCAAAGTGCTGGGATTACAGGCGTGAGCCACCATGCCCAGCGAGACGGGGTTTTGCCATGTTGGTCAGGCTGGTCTCGAACTCCTGACCTCAAGTGATCCACCCACCTTGGCCTCCCAAAGTGCCAGGATTACAGGCGTGAGCCACTGCACCCGGCCGACTTTTAAATTTATATTGCCCTTTACAATTAGAGGTATTTTGCAACTGTAATTTGATGTTGGTATGAACTTCCATGTTCTCGTGTGTCCTAATATGCCCTTATTTGTCCTCATTCTTCATTACTAGTTTGGCTGGATATAGTGTTCAGGTTCAAAATATGTTTTTCCTCAGATATTTGAAGACATTGCTGTTTTTCTTCATTCTTAAAAGAATATTTTTCTTGGAAAGTTAAAAAATATCCCCCCATGGTTTCTTAGCATCTGGTGTCGGTAATGAGAGACCCAATGTGAGAAGGTGAGACTTCTTCCGGTTTGCATATTGACCTTGTTGTGTGTGTGTGTAAACTTGCAGGGTTGGCCAGCTGCGGTGGCTCACGCCTGTAATCCCAGCACTTTGGGAGGCTGAGGCGGGCGGATCACGAGGTCAGGAGATCGAGACCATCCTGGCTAACACAGTGAAACCCCTTCTCTACTAAAAATACAAAAAAGATAGCCGGGCGCGGTGGCAGGTGCCTGTAGTCCCAGCTATTCGGGAGGCTGAGGCAGGAGAATGGCGTGAACCCGGGAGGCGGAGCTTGCAGTGAGCCGAGATCGTGCCACTGCACTCCAGCCTGGGCGACACAGCCAGACTCCCTCTCAAAGAAAAAAAAAAAAAAAAACTTGCAGGGTTTTCTTTCACTCTGAAGGTTGAGGTTTCCTGGCACGT
This sequence comes from Homo sapiens, assembly GCF_000001405.40. NCBI lineage: Eukaryota > Metazoa > Chordata > Mammalia > Primates > Hominidae > Homo > Homo sapiens. The sequence goes on along the minus strand of NC_000008.11, from coordinate 143,978,922 downwards.
GGGTGCCAGGGGCGTTGTCTTTCCTCATTGTCCTTCTTGGCATTTCACGGATCTTGTGTATCTGAAGATGTTCCTTCAGCTCAGGGAAGCGTCTTCCCTGTGTGTGCTGGAGCTCCGGCCGGTGGAGCTCCTGCTATGCCGGCTCAGACCTCAGGCCCCCTCACCTGCTCCCTCGGAGTTCCTTTCTCTTCCGTTAGCTTCTCACTCTGCATCAGTTCCTGAACTCCATCTAGAACGCTAGCTGGGTCTTCAGTTTGAACCACTTCCTCATTTGGCTCACCCCCTCTAGATTTAGCTCAGCGTCCCTTTCTGAATGCAGGAGCACTCTGGTTTTCAGACTAGTTCCTTTTCATAGCAGCTAGTTTTGTTTAATAGACATGGTGTTCTTTTGCAACTCTCTGAAGAAACTATTTAAAATTTCTTTAAAAGTGTTTCCCAGGGCTGTCAGGTTGGTCACCTGAGGCCTTCTCTCCCACCTGGGTCTTTCAGCACTGAGAGGTCTGTGGCATCTCCTCGTGTTGGAGTCAAGTCCTGTAGGCAGCATAGGGCCCTGGCTCAGCTTTTCTCTGCAGAGGCCTCGCTTGAGTGGGTGGGGTTTGCCCGCCCGCAGACCTCCACGGGAGGGGGAGGGGTCAGGCCTCCCCAGCGGCCCTCTGAAGTCACTTGCTTCACGGAGGTGTTACTGTCTGCTGCTGGACAGAGCATGATGGGGGCTGCAAGGGCTCCCTCAAACCCTGGACTCCTCCAACAGAGGGCTCCTGGTTGCCAGGCTCAGCTCTGCCCTGCGTCGGCCCCAGGGCGTAGGGAGGGTGTTTAATCCTGGCCCGGGCCTTCCCCGCAGGTGGAGCGCGTGTCGCACCCGCTGCTGCAGCAGCAGTATGAGCTGTACCGGGAGCGCCTGCTGCAGCGATGCGAGCGGCGCCCGGTGGAGCAGGTGCTGTACCACGGCACGACGGCACCGGCAGTGCCTGACATCTGCGCCCACGGCTTCAACCGCAGCTTCTGCGGCCGCAACGGTGAGGCCTGAGCCGGGCAGGGGCGGGGGCTCTGCGCACCCCGACCACCCTGACCTTGCCCCGTCTCGCCCTGCAGCCACGGTCTACGGGAAGGGCGTGTATTTCGCCAGGCGCGCCTCCCTGTCGGTGCAGGACCGCTACTCGCCCCCCAACGCCGATGGCCATAAGGCGGTGTTCGTGGCACGGGTGCTGACTGGCGACTACGGGCAGGGCCGCCGCGGTCTGCGGGCGCCCCCTCTGCGGGGTCCTGGCCACGTGCTCCTGCGCTACGACAGCGCCGTGGACTGCATCTGCCAGCCCAGCATCTTCGTCATCTTCCACGACACCCAGGCGCTGCCCACCCACCTCATCACCTGCGAGCACGTGCCCCGCGCTTCCCCCGACGACCCCTCTGGGCTCCCGGGCCGCTCCCCAGACACTTAACCGAAGGGGCCACCCTCTGGCCTCCTGCTTCCCAGGCTCCCAGCTCCGCACAGGCTGATGCTCCCCGCCCCCAACTGTGGCCGCCTGAGCTGTCCCCGGGGACGCCCCTGCCTCCCTCTGCGGGCTCCAGAAGGCGGTGTGGGGGATGGCGGTCAGCAGCGGCCGAGGGGGGCCGGGCTAGGTCCCAGCCTGGGCCGACCCCACCACCAGGGGTCAGCAGAGCCCAGGAGGCGACACCGCCCGCCCGCCGCTCCCAGACCTCGCCCGAGTCGGCTCTGTTGTTTGAATAAACGTGAACGTGAACCCAGGCGGAAGGGACCCGGGAACTCTGACTGCGACCTCTGTTTGGGGAGTGGGGATCTCCGCGGCCCAGGGGCGGGATCTGCTGCTTCCGAGGAGGCGTCGGGGTGCGGGGCGGGGCCCGGAGCTCACCGGGGCGAGCGCACGACGTTCCCGTGTCGCGCACGCCGGCGCAGACAGCGTCTCCTTGACTACCGGCCCGCCCCGTGCGCCGGGGGCTCAGGTGTGCGCCGCTGCCCTGGCCGAATCGCCCGCCCGGGCCCCAGCCCCGCCGCTCCCGAGATCTCGGCGGCCCCGCGCAGACACGGGCGCCCGATCTCGCTGGCAGCGTTCGCTCGCTCTCGGCCGGGCCCGCGCGGCGCAGCTCTGGGTGGGGGCCGGGGCGGGGCTCGGGGCTCGCCCCGCCTGCGCCGCCTCCGCCGCTCTCCCGGCCCGAGCAGTCTGGCTGCGGCGGCAGAGCTGAAGTGAGCGGAGCCACCAGGCATGTATGACCGCGGCCAGGATGGAGAGGCGCGCCGCGTGCGGGCGCTGCGGGGTGGGGGTCGGGGGGCGGTCTCCGGCCGCAGGCCACACGGAACTAGGGGCTGCGCCGCGCCCCCTCCTGCCCTCGCTCGAGAGGACAGCACCTCCCTGCACGCCCGAGACTGCGGAACTGGACGGGCGGTGCCCGGGGTGTGGGCAGGAAAGGCCGCTGGGGAGGCGCGGCTGACCGCAGGGCTCCGGGCGGGGGGCTGCAACCGGGGCGGCCCGTGGAGAAGCCAGTGGGGGCGGGGCGCGGCGGCCCCCTCCTCGGTGTCCGCTGCCTCCTCCTTAGCCCTTGGCCTGAGGGCGGAGGCACAGAGCCCACATTGTGCCCCCGCGCCAGCCCACCCCCTCCGAGACAGAGCCCCATTCACCTCCCGCACGCCAGTGCTCTTGGGGACGGGGGCTGGGGAGTGTGCGCGCGTGGGTATGCGTGCGTCCTGGTTGCGTCCGCGGTGCCGGTGTACGCGCCCCCACTGTGGGCCGCTGGAGCTGCGGCCCGGGCTCCCTCCCGGCCTCGCTGCAGCAGAGCTCCCGCGGCCCACGCCGCTGCGGCTGCAGCTATTTATAGGCCTTCGCTGCGGAGATCGAGGTGGGACTGCGGGCTGAGGTGGGGTGGCGTGATGGGGAGTCCTAGAGGTCGAGAGAGCTTGGAGGTGGACTGCCGGTGTCCAGGGGAAGGGCTTGGGTGTCCTTCCCTGATGACCCGGTGAGTGGAGGGGGCGGTGGTCAGCTTTCCTTGATGGCCTCGCCTGCCTGCGATTAGAGGGTTAGAGGCGGGTCCAGTTTGGGATGGAGGCAGTGGAGGCCGGCATCTGAGTGAAGGTAGTCACCCCTTCCCCTTCCATTTGACAGAGTGGAAGGTGGTCTGTCGTGTGCCGGTTGAGCCCCTGGGTGACAGAGTAGGTGGGTGGGGTGTGGGTGACTAAGAGAGGAGAGTGGCAGTCAGTGTGTGGGAGTGGGGGTGGCCAGGGTGGTCAGTGTCCTGGTGATGGACTGGAGGGTAAGGCCAGTGGCTGGGGGGTCACTGTGTAGGTATCTGAGGAGTGCGCGGGAGGGGGCAAGGCAGTCATGGATGGAGAGAGGGTAAGTCAGTGCCTGGGGCCAGAGCATGGGGGTCAATATGTGGGTACAGCAGAGTGCAGGAGGGGTGTGGGTGCCAGTGTCCAGGCGAGAGGCTGGGTGGGGAGAGTTCAGTGTCTAGGTTAAGAAGGTGGTGGGTGGGTCGGCGTGCAGAGTCCACTCCTGAACAGGCAGAGATGTGACCCCTCCTGCTCCCCTTCCAGGAGGCCATGTCGGGTGAGGACGCTGAGGTCCGGGCAGTCTCTGAAGATGTCTCCAATGGAAGCAGTGGCTCGCCCAGCCCTGGGGACACACTGCCCTGGAACCTTGGGAAAACGCAGCGGAGCCGGCGCAGCGGGGGTGGCGCTGGGAGCAACGGGAGTGTCCTGGACCCAGCTGAGCGGGCGGTCATTCGCATCGCAGGTAACTGCGCAGGGCCTTGCCTGTGCACCTCCTTGGCACGCGAGGTTGACTGAGTTCCCGCTGCGTGCTAGGCGCTGGAGCGGGGACTGGGTGGGGGAGGCCTAGGGGGATCTGCGGGTCACGGAGGGCCTCGCGCGTCCCAGGTGAGTGCAGGCGGCACAGCGCCACCTGCCGGCCGCGCCCAGGCGGTTCATGAGGCCTGGGGTTGGGCTTCTTGCCGCGGCGTCCATCCTTGATTTTAACACGGTCCAGTGCCCAGATGCAACAAGGATAATTTTTTGGGTTCCCCACCAGGCCCTCGGTCTTGGCTGCCACAATGGCGGCCAGGTGGGAATGTACAGGAGCAGTGTATAGGGAGGGGGTACCTGGTTGTCTGGAGCCCCAGCCTCTTCCTGAGCCAGGATCTGGCCTTGCTTTCCAGTAGCTCCCCATCCAGGGAGAACGATGGGAAGCATCCAGCGAGATGCTTGGGGAAGGGGGAGGGCAGGAGGGAAGTGGGTGACCTAGAGCTGTGCTAGGAGAGGGAGGAGCAGTAGCTCTCTAGGCTTTGGCTTGAGAGTCCTGACCTGTTCCAGCCGGAGGGCAGGGAGGCCCCTGCGGGAGGCCAGGAGAGGGCTGCAAGGCCAGGTGCTGAGCCCTGGGGGGATGTTGCAGACGACGGGAAGCGGGGCTGGTAGGAGCAGGAAAGAGGGAAGGAGAGGGTCACTGCTGTGCACCCAGCTCCAGCCCCAGGGTCTGGTTCCATCTGCATGACCTTCAGGGCTTTTCACAGCACACACGGACTTTAAAGAAAGAAGTCACTTTCTTCCCACTTGAAAGGGAATCACTTGTGTCGTTCCCACGCCTGGGCTTTCTTCAGCATCACCTTTACAGTTGTGGAGGAGTGTGGGGGGTCCCGAGGCCCCGGCTGACCGTGGTTGCCTTCGGTACTCACTGCAAAGGCTTTGCCCCCAGCCAGCACCTTCCGCGCCGGGGCTCTGCGTCCTCTGACGGTTTCCTTAGGACCGATTCCTGGAAGCGGGACTTGCAGTTACAGGACATATGGCATTAAGCTTGGAGAAAACACGGCCAGGGGCATCCCAGACAGGGTGGCCGACATTGGTGAAGGCGGGGAGAGCGGGGGCTTTGCCAATCTGATGGGTGGAAAGAGTTGTTTTAATTATCACCAAGCATTTTTTCCTTCTGTGAATGGGCTATTCCAGTCCTCGTATGTGTACTTAATTTTTCTTGTGTGTAGTGTTTTAAGGGTTCTTTATACCGACTCAGTCGTCTCCAATGTTGCAATGGGAAAGTTCTCAGCTGCACGCAGGAAGCAAGGTGGGGGGCGGGCAGGGGAGCGTCTCGGAGGCAGGTCGCCGGCCCGGCGGGGAACAGACAGGTCGCGGCCGCCCCTGGGCGGGGGCCACCCGAGGACCCCCGGGCGACCGCGGTGTCGGCGGCCGCGACCCGGGCGAGAACGGGAAAGGGCGTGCGTGCGGGACTCGGAGCCCGCGGAACCGGCCCGCCGGGAGGGGCCCAGACGCGGCTCCCTCTGCCCGGCCGCGGCGGCCCCGGCCCCGCCCCGCCCGTGGGGCATCCTGGGTGCGGGGGCGGGGCGGGGGCGGGGCGGGGGCGGCCTCTTTAAGCGGCGCGCGCGGCCGCGGGGACAGAGTGGCCGCCGGGTGCTGGAGGCTCCGCTGCACCCCGCGCCCCGCGCCCGCCGGCATGGCCGGCCCGCTGCCCGACGAGCAGGACTTCATCCAGGCCTACGAGGAGGTGCGCGAGAAGTACAAAGGTACGGCCCCCCGTCCCGCTGCCTGTCGGGCCGCTCCTGACAGCCCAGCCGCCGAGCACCTTGTCGTCCACGGTGGCGGTCCCGATCGCCGGCCCGAGCGCGGCCACTCCGCCGGCCTCGTCCGCCTGGATCGCCCCCAACGGCTGCCAGTGCCTAGGGAAGGGGAGGACTCGCTCCGCTGAGCCCCCGAGGCCATGCCCTTAATAGGGCATCGCGCGGCTCGGGTGGGTGGGGTGGGCCGCGGGCGGGTGGGGGCGCTCAGGGCTTGTCGGGGTCGGCTGTCTGAGCCAGGATCCGGTGTCTGTGGCCAGCAGACACATGGGTCAAGGCTGAGCCATCCCCTGCCCCACCTCTGGGGCGCGTCTGCATGGAACAGGGGCAGCTCCGCCGCCTGGCAATGGGTCACATAGTTGCCGCCTCTCCTCACCTCCCTAAACTGGCGAGGGCCTGGGCTGCCACCCTTCCTTGGCAGGGCACCCCCCCCACACCCCTTCTCTGTTCACTAGGGGACAGCTGTGGGCTAGGGGTCAGGGTGGCCCCTCCTTCCTCTCTAGGGGAGCATCAGAGTGGCCTGCCCACCTGCTTGATGCCTCGGCAGACCCCCTTGCCCTAGTCCACGCCCACGGGGAGCCCCTGGACCCTCCCAGGTCCTGGTCCCACCGGCCATTCTTGCAGCCCAGCTGCCTGGCTCAGCCTGGGTCGCCCGGCTCCAGGCGGTTGTGGACACAGCATTGGCTGCCGGCCTGCAGAGGCTTAGGAGCAAGGGACTGAGCTGCTGGGGAGGGTCGCGGTGGGGGCCCCCAGGCAGAGCCGATCAGAGCAGACTCCAGCTCCACGTGGCTGGTTTTGCTGGCTCTGCCCCCAAGGGCAGCTCAGGGAGAGAGGTCCTGCTGGGGCCCCGTGGTGCCGCTCTCCACCACAACCTTGCCCAGCTGGGTAGGTTTCATGGTGCCCCGAACTCATCTCCTTCAGGCGTCCTCCAGCGACGGCTCTGGGGCAGGGTGGATGTACTGCTGTGGCTCTCTTTGACAGTGCTGTGCCCAGCCGCTTTGCCTGTGTGACTAGTTCATTCGGGCCAGGGGAGACACTCCTGCACCCTTGGGGAGGCCTGGAGCGGGCAGCCTGTTGCTCATGCTCTACATGGCCGGCCCTGCCTTAGAGGGAGCACCCGGAGGGGTGCTGGGGTATAGGGCAGGGAAGCAGCCGCCCACCTGGGCTCCAGCCCTCCTGGCAAGCCCCAGGACAGAGCTGTTTCTGAGCTGACCACTCTGTTCAAAGTGCGGGAACTGTGCAGGATCGTTTCCTCCTGGAGTTCTTCATCTGGTCAGGTTGCTGGGCTGCCTGGGGTGCCCCAGCCTGTTCTGGGCATTGTGCTGAGGCTTTCCTGGCCCCAGGGCTGTCTTTCCTCTACCTCCTGGGGTGGGAACTACTTCTGATTCATCCAGGGGTGAGCCAGACAGATCCCTGGAGGTTGCTGGGACCCTCTGTCAGGGTCCTCCCTCCCAAGCGCAGCTCCTCTGGAGGCCAGGATTGGTGTTGGGCACACTCGCAGTCTTGGCCCATTGTCTGCCTTCTGGGCTTGGTGGTGGAGGCTGGTGAGGGGGCAGGGGGGCCGGGGGGCTTGCCTGAAGTGGAGTTGTCACGTGATGGTGCAGCTGCCCGCATGTGTGTGGCACTGGCCTGAGAGTGGCTAAACAGCAAGGCAGGTGCTGAGGCTCCGTGAGCACACCAGGTACCCCAAGTCTCCTTAGCTCCTGGCTTGAGACAAGGGGACGGGAGGGGCTGGGCTGGTACCTGTGTCTGGGAGCCACGGACCAAGGCTGAGGAGGGCCTGCAGGAGGTCAGAGGTGGCCCCTGTGCCCTACACCTTTCCAGGCCTGACCTCTGTGAGCCCCTTGGACCTGCTAGAGGGCTGGAGCCCCGGCCCTTCCTGTCCCTGGGGTGGAGGGACTGTGGGAGGGCATGGCACCCCTTGCCAGCCAGCCAGTGACGGCAAGGCAGCCCCAAATCCCTCCATGGTAAGCAGCTGCGGGCCCCTGTCCTGGGCCCAGCTCAGCATTTGGTGGTTCTGAGGAGGGCAGGGAGGCCAGGCCTGTGCCCCCTGCCCAGCTGATCCCTGCACTGAGGAGGTGCTCTGGCTTAGGCCTCCTGGCCTCCTCCCCTCTGTGGCATTGCCTCGGTTCCACCTCACTGTGCCCTCTCACAGACAACTCCCTGTCTGACCCTCACTCCGGTGACCTTCACCCCCCACCCCACAACGTCTCAGACCCTCCCCTGGACACGTCATTCCCTGGCTCTCCCCTGGAAATCCCCGGTCTTCCCTGTACAGTCAGGCGGCCACTGCTCCGCTTGGAACATCGCCAACTTCCTGTCTGCCTGAGCCCCTCAGCCCCCCCATTCTCCCTGTCCCCCATCCAGGGCAGATTCCTCTGGGGCTGAGGCTACTGCAGCCTGTGGCGGGAGAGCTCTGGGCACCCTGTGGGAGAGGCCTCCGTGCTGAGGGCTGTGGGCTGGTGACTTAGACAGTCGGCCCAGCTGCCAAGAGGTGTCCAGTCGCCCAGCGCCCCAAGCCTGGCCTGTGACAGCTCATAGAGGCTGGGCCGTTCTGCCGCACCATGGGAGCCTGGAGAGAGACCTGGGGTGGGTGTGGCAGGGCGGGGACAGTTCTAGGAGAGAGTTGTGGCAATGCAGGTGAGTGGAGGTGAGGCGGCCAGTCCATAACTGAAAAGAGAGCGGTGTTGCCAGGGGCTGGGTGAGAAAATATCCTGGAATTGACAGCTACACAACTCCGAATCTACTGAAACCACTGAATTGGACGCTTTGAATGGGTGAATGGTGTGGCATGTGAATTACCTCTCAATAAAGCTATTAAAAAATACTAATAATCAGCATGAGGTCAACCTAATTGGTACTGACATGAAAAGCCAGTGGCTCCAGAGGAAATCTCAGTCTGAGCTCCCTGTAAAGGGGCGGCCAAATCCGTGTGCTCTCTCCCGCCCTCTCTCATGCACAGCGATCGCCCCAGCCGGGAGCCTGAACCCAGAGGTGTGACTCTCCCCGTTTTTCTTTGTATACTTCCACCCTGCTTGATTTTTTTTTTTTTTGGAGCGTTTTACTTTTGACAGTAAACACCGACCAAAATTCCTCTCCAGTGAGCCCCAAATAACCTCCAGCCTGCCCTCTGCCAGCTGAGCACCAACCACTGCAGATGACGCCCTACGCCATCACCCACTCACCCGTGCAAACACCCTGCAGTGCTGGCTGAGGGCCTGGGGCCAGTGCCAGGGACACAGATAACCAAGCTCAGAGTCCAGGACAGGGGAGAGTAGGGGACACATGAGGAGGGGGCCAGGCACAGTGGCACTGGGCAGGCCCAGGGCTGGCAAGGGGTCCTGAAGAGAGTGCAGGCCACAGGCTGGGCACACGCCCTGTGGAGACCCAACACACCCAGCCCCTCTCCAGGCCCGCTTTTCCCCCAGACCAATGCAGGCCTCCCACCCCTGGCCCCTGCCCCACACCAACGCCACCCACTCACCAACGGTACTCACCCCGGCCTCATTCTCACCCCTGCTGCCCTCTCCAGGACCACCTCACAGCACCCCTAAGCCCCACTCCCATCCCTAACATGACAACCTAAAGTCTCTATCCCCAGCTGCCCAGGCCCCCGGCTGGCCCCACTCCCCACTCCCCGGCCTGCACTCATGCCCTGACCCCCAGGACAGGCCCCTGCCCACAACGCTGGACTGCTGCTGGGCCGCTCTTTCTTTCTTCACTGACCGCCTCACCTCCACTCACCTGCATTGCCACAACTCTCTCCTAGAACTGTCCCCGCCCTGCCACACCCACCCCAGGTCTCTCTCCAGGCTCCCATGGTGTGGCAGGACGGCCCAGCCTCTATGAGCTGTCACAGGCCAGGCTTGGGGGGCTGGGCGACTGGACACCTCTTGGCAGCTGGGCCGACTGTCTAAGTCACCAGCCCACAGCCCTCAGCACGGAGGCCTCTCCCATAGGGTGCCCAGAGCTCTCCTGCCACAGGCTGCAGTAGCCTCAGCCCCAGAGGAATCTGCCCTGGATGGGGGACAGGGAGAATGGGGGGGCTGAGGGGCTCAGGCAGACAGGAATGGTTATGGATTGGCCTGTACTGGCCCTGGGTCTGGCCTCTTCGACTTGCCGGGACGCTGTCAGGGCTGCTCACATCGCCGCGCCATCAGCACCTCACCCTCCCCCCGCTGGAGTCGGTTCCGTGGTGTGGAAGTGCCCACTTTTGCTTATGCGTTTATCAGTTGACGGATAGTGGGTTGTTTCCACCTTTTGGCTGTTATGAGTGAGGCTGCTATGGACGTTTGCATACACGTTTTTGTGTGGTCGTATGTTTTTTATTTCTGCTGGGTAGATACCTAGGAGTGGAATTGCTCAGCTGTGTGGTAATTCTATATTTAACCATTTTGAAGAACTGCCAGATTGCTTCCTAAAGCGGGCGTGCCATTCTGCATGCCCAGTAACAGCCGGGTGCGAGGTTTCCAATTTCCTCACATCCTCACCAACACTTGTTATTATCTGACTCTTTGATTGCAGACATCCAATCCTAGTGGGTGTCGAGTGGAATCTCATTGTGGTTTGATTTGCATTTCCTGATGGCTAATGACGTTGAACACTTTGGTGTGATTGTTGGCCATTTTTTATATCTTTTGAGAAATGTGTATTTCAATCCTTTGTCCATTTTAGAATTTACCTTTTGGTATTTTTGAGTTGTAAGTGTTCTTTATATATTCTAGATGCCAGTCCTTTATCAGAAATATGATTTGCAAACATTTTCTGTTTCTGTGGTCTGCCTTTTTATTTGCTTGCTGGTGTCTTTTTTTTTTTTTTTTTTGAGATGGAGTTTTGCTCTGTCACCCAGGCTGGAGCAGGTTCAAGTGACTCTTGTACCTCAGGCTCCCGAGTAGCTGGGACTACAGGCGTCTGCCACCACACCTGGCTAATTTTTGTATTTTTAGTAGAGATGGGGCTTCGCCATATTGGCCAGGCTGGTCTCAAACTCCTGGCCTCAGCCTCCACAGTGCTGGGATTACAGCGTGAGCCACCTCACCTGGCCGGTGGTGTCCTTTGAAGCACGTACATTTTAATTTTAATTATTATGACTCCAGTTTATCTATCTTTTTCCTTGGTTGCTTGTGCTTTTGGTGCCATATTTAAGAAGCCATTGTCTAATCCAAGTCATGAAGCTTTACACCAATGTTTTCTTTTCTTCCTTTTTTTTTTTTTGAGACGAAGTCTCGCTCTGTCTCGCTCTGTCACCCAGGCTGGAGTGCAGTGGCATGATCTCAGCTCATTGCAACCTCTGCCTCCTGGGTTCAAGCAATTCTCCTGCCTCTGTCCGCCGAGTAGCTGGGATTACATGTGTGCGCCACCACACCTGGCTAATTTTTGTATTTTTAGTAGAGATAGGGTTTCCCCATGTTGGCCAGGCTGGTCTTGAACTCCTGACCTCAAGTAAGCCACCTGCCTCAGCCTCAGTGCTGGGGTTACAGGTGTGAGCCACCGCGCCTGGCCTGAATTCTTTGATTATTAATTAAGCTGAGCACATCTCCTAGAGTTGTTGACTATTTGCACCTTTTCTTTTGTGAACTGCCTATTCACAAGCATTGTTGGCCAGGCTGGTCTTAAACTCCTGTGCTCACATGGAAATGGAATCAAGGGATCCTCCTGCCTTGGCCTCCCAAAGTACTGGGATTACAGGTGTGAGCTGCTGCCATGCCTGGCTACTACACCTTTTTACATCAGGGACTTGAGCATCTGTGGATTCTGGTATCCATGGGGAGTCCAGAACCCATCTCCCGCTGATACCGAGGGACACTTGTATTCGGCGTAAACTTCGAAGTTGCCTGTGGGCAGCACCAGCTCACGGAACAGAACTTTTCAGCTCCTGGAAAGTTCCTGCTGAGTCCCCACTGGGCACACCATGGATGGGTCTCACACCACGCATCTATTTTTGTTTAATTCTGTCTGTTTCTTTTTTTTTTTTTTTTTTTTTTTTTTTGAGATGGAGTCTCGCTCTGTTGCCCAGGCTGGAATGCAGTGGCGCGATCTCGGCTCACTGCAACCTCCGCCTCCCGGGTTCAAGCCATTCTCCTGCCTCAGGCTCCCGAGTAGCTGGGACTACAGGCGCCCGCCACCATGCCCAGCTAATTTTTTGTATTTTTAGTAGAGACGGGGTTTCACCGTGTTAGCCAGGACAGTCTCGATCTCCTGACCTCGTGATCTGCCCACCTCGGCCTCCCAAAGTGCTGGGATTACAGGCGTGAGCCACCGCGCCTGGCCTAATTCTGTCTGTGGTTTCTTTAGCCATATCAATTTTTAACACTCACCAGTCTTTTATGATTTCTGGATTTTATGCTATGCTTAAAATGGCCTTCTTTTAGAAAAACATCTGCTGAGAGTTGCTTCCAGCACTGCTGCATTTTTTTAAACATCTCTGTCGTTAATCTTTGTGGAATTTGCTTGGGGCTGAGGTCGAGATGTTCAAGGAGGCTCGATGTCATGCTTGGTGTCACGCTCATAGGGTCTGGCCGTGGGCTTGTGGGTTACAGGGATGATTGTAAACATCTCCCCTTCCACCAATCCGGCTTCCTGACGCAGGGGCTGTGTATTGCTTCACTTCTGTGCCCCCGAGCCGAGCCCTGCCCTGTCCTGTGGCAGAATCCAGCTTCCTGACGCGGGGACTATGTGTTGCTTCACTTTTGTACCCCCCCAGCCGAGCCCCGCCCTGTCCTGTGGCAGGTGTGGCTTGAAACAAGCGTTGGGTGGGAGGGATAGGTGGACTTGGAGCTGGCTGGACCCCTGCAAGATCCTGGCCTGGTGCCTCCCAAGGAGCGGCTGAGGAGTCCCCCGTGGTGGCTGTGGAGGTAGAGAGCAGCCTGGGGTGGAGAGGATGTGCCTGCGGCAGAGAGGGCGGAAGAGCCAGCGCTTAGCCTTGGGTGCATAAAATCAGAGATGCCTGTGAGATAGGTATGCGTGTGCAGACACTGAGGTGCAGGAAATGCTGGGCTGAGGTGGGGAGGCCAGGCTGGGAGGCCATCACTAGGGCAGGCCTCGGGCCAGAGCTCTGAGCCTGGGGTCCTCCAGAGCTTAGGTGCCTATGAGAAGAGGCAGCCGGGAAGCAGAGCAGTGGGCAGCTGTGCAGCCATGGGGGCCTGTTGGGTCTGCGAAGGAGGAAGGGGCGTGAGGAAGCAGGGCCACGTTGGGAGCAGGGTGAGGCCTGGATGGTGCTGGGACCAGGTGATGAGGGGTGTTGGGACCTCAGCGGGACTGCTTGGGGTGTCGTCGGATTGGAGGTGCCAGGGGGCATGTGGGAAGTGCTCAGGAGGCCCTGCTGGTGCCAGGCTATGGTGGGTCCAGCAGGGTGGCAGGGAGGGAGAACCCTCTCCAGGACAGAGCGGTGACATGGAGGCTAGGCCGCAGCAGGTCACAGCCTCAGCTGGATGCTGGCCCGAGTTCCCTGGGGAAGGAGTTCCCTGGGCCTTGGCCTGAGGGACCTGCATGGTCACAGGGGGCATGGGCATCACCTGGCCCAGGGTGAGTACTGAGTGGTCGCTCACATTTACCCAGCCACACATCATCAGTGGCCAGTCCAGACTGCTGCTCACCACTGAGGGCCCTGGAGATTTTCCCAGGGTTGGGCTGTTGGGAGGGTGTGGGCAGTGGTGCCCTGTGGCCTCAGTTTCCCCAGTGAGGCCCAAGAGGAGCTGGCAGCAGAGGGGCCAGGGGCCAGGTACCTCAAGAAGGGACTGGAGGAGGCTGGGAAGGGCGATGCTAGTGGGACCAGGTGCCCAGATCTCCCACCGCTGGGGTCATGGGTGATGCCCACAGACCCACAGTGGGTAGGGAGATGCGGGGCTGGGAGAGCAGGGGCCGTGGGTCATGAGGTCAGGGACCCAAAATGGGGCATGGGCCGGGTCATCTGTAGGCCCAGTGGAAGGGGAGTTGGGAACACGCGTTCAGACGGTGGAAGGAGGGTGCCAGCTGGGAAGACAGGATCCTGTAGGACTTGGGACATCAGCCTGTGGGGCCTGCTCTCCAGGATTTGGGTCCTGGTTAGCTGCAGAAGAGTCCTCCCAGCTGGTGGTCAGCTCTTGGCAGGACTGTTGCTGCTTCTTCCTGGAGGCAGAGGAGACCCAGGACCAGGAATGGGATGGGGATCACTTTGTGTCCCTGTGTGGCTCCAGGAGTAGCGGCAGACCCAGGGCCAGTGCTGCAGGAAAGGAAGGCCCCAGGACGGCATCAGGGTGGCTGGTGTGAGTCTGGGTGCTCTTGGGCAGGCTGGTGTGTCAGGTGGGCTGGGGCCAAGTGGGACGGTGAGGGTGGGGAAGGCCATCCACAGGGGCACACCAGGGTGGGCGGGGGGGTGGGGGTTGGTTGGGGGAGTGGGGCTGGTCAGGGCTGGAAGTGTGGGTCTGCAGGAGCAGAAGGAGGTAGCTGCAGTAAAGGTCTCTGGTTGTGGCTTTTATGATTTTTATTCTGCTCTGTTTTTCAAATGAATGTGTCTTTTGACCTTTTGAAAGTGCATCTCTTTCTCTTCTTTCTTGCTAAACGAGTGGCTACCTGGGAAGCTAACAGAGCAGGCACAGGATAGGCCTAAGAGACACAGCTGGACGCCACTGTCATGACTGCCACAAGAATGCATGGTTGTTTACAGAATACAGATACCCCCAGAGAATGTGCCCTGTTTTAGGTTCCTGTGGCTGCTGTCACACGTACCCACAAACTGGGTGGCCTTAAACAACAGAAATGTATTCTCTTACGGTTCTGGAGGCCACATGTCCAAAATCAAGATGTTGACAGGGCCACGCTCCTTCGGAGGCTCCAGGGCGGACTCTGTTCCTGGCCTCTCCAGCTCCTGGTGGCCATCGGTGCCTGGGCTCGTGGCCGCATCACTCCAGTGTCGGCCTCCATCCTCCCGTGGCCCTCTCCCCTGTGGCTTCTCTTCCATCTCTTGTAAGACACTTGGCATTGGTTCTAGGCCCCCTACTGGGTAATCTAGGATGATCTCATCTCAAGATCCTTGTGTTAATTACACCTGCAAAGACCCTTTTTCCAAATAAGATACCAATTATGGGTTCCAGGGAATTGTTCATAGACATATCTTTTGGGGACCTCCATTCAACCCACTACAGTCTGTCCTCTGGTCCCTCAAAACTTACATCTGCCCCACTTCCAAAATAAATGTTTCTTATGCCAACATGCCCCAAAGTCTCAACCTATTGTAGCATCAGCTCTAAGTCTAAAATTCCATCCGCTTAGCCAGGCACAGTGGCTCACGCCTGTAATCCCAGCACTTTGGGAGGCCTGTGGGTGGATCACCTGAGATCAGGAGACCAGCCTGGCCAACATGGTGAAGCCTTGTCTCTACTAAAAATACAAAAATCAGCCAGTCATGGTAGTACACACCAATAATCCCAGCTACTCAGGTGTATGAGGCACGAGACTTGCTTGAACCCGAGAGGCAGAGGTTTCAGTGGGCCGAGACTGCACCAATGCACTCCAGCCTGGGTGACAGAGCAAGACTCCATCTCAAAAAAAAAAAAAAAAAAAAATTAGCCAGGTGTGGTGGCACATGGCTGTAGTCCCAGCTGCTCAGGAGGTGGAGGTAGGAGGATTGCTTAACCCTGGAGGCTGAACCCAGGTGACAGAATGAGACCCCATCTTGAAAAAAACAAGAACAACATTTAATCAGCTCAGAAGTCCCAAATCTGATCATCGAAGTTGTGTCTAAATCAGGTGTTGGTGAGGCTCTGGGTAGGATCCAGATGGGGGCAAAATTTTTCTCCATCTTTTTACTTGTAAAACTAGAAAGCAAGTTTTATGCCTCCAAACTGCAATGTTGGGCTAGGCATAGACTAGACATCACCATTCCCAAAGGGAGAAATATAAAGGAATAAAGGGGTTGCCAGTCCCAAGCAAGTCTGAAATCCAGCAGGGCAAATTCCGTGGGGTTTCAAGGCCCGTGAATGCTCTTCTGTGGCTCAGTGCCCCACCCTCTGCACCTGCACCTCTGCCAGCCTCTGCCTCTAGGCCTAAGGCCCTGACCTTGGAGTCATTCTTCCTTTTTCTCAAAGGGTAGCACATGTTTGCAGCTGCCTGGGTCTGTCATCCTGTTTCTTGCCTGTAGACTCTCAGAAGCCCAATACCTTCCTTCATTTCATCCTGTCTCTGTTCCCATCAATCCAAGCAGGCAGTGTTTCTGCTGGTAAAACATTCTCATAAACCTTCTGGGTCTCCCCTGTATGTCACAGGGAGCCAGGCCATTAGAGAGAAGGGTTCACTCGGATCCTCCCTGGATAATCTTGTCTCTATTCCTGGCTTCTGTTGAGATGAGTGAATGGACCCATGAGTCACATACCTCATCTCTGCAGAGATGGCTTTCTCTGCAGAACACACTTTCCTAACAGTGAACCTCCCAACATGAGCATCTTTTGCAATCTAAATAGGCTGCAGATATCCCAAATCACCCATGCTGTTTCCTTTTTGCTTAATAGTTCCTTCCTCAATTTATCTCTTTCTTCCTGTACTTTACCATAAGCAGCAAGAAGCAGCCAAGCCACACCTTCCACACTTTGCTTGGAAATCTTTTCAGCTAAATATCCAAGTTCATTGCTTACAAGTTCTGTTGAGCACCCGACAGTGAACACAGTTCGGCGAAGTTTCGCTTCAATGTGAGAAGCACCTTTCCTCCACTTTCCTCGTTGCCTTCTAAGGCTTCACCACAAGCACCTTTAATACCCATATTTCTACCAACCGTCTGGTCAGACAGGCTAGGCTTTTTCTACTGTGTGCCTCAAGATGTCCCAGCTTCTGTTTATTACCCAATTGCAAAGCCACATCCACATTTTCAGATATTCGTCACAGAGGCACCCTGCTCCTGCTCGCTGTCTGTATTGATTTCCTTTGATTCCCACAGGGAAGAGCCACAGGCAGGGCGCCCTAAAACAATAGAAATTTATCTTTTGATTGTTCCGGAGGCCAGAAGTTAAAAATCCGGTGTCGGCAGGTCCACGCTTTCTCCGAAGGCACCCGGGAAGAGCCTAGGAATAGCCGCCTGCCTCTTCCAACTCCACTGCCCCTTGGCTTGTGGCTGCATCATGCCAATCCCTGCCTCTGTGTCTCTCCTCGTCTAAGGACACTTGCTTTTGGATCTAGGGCCCATCCAGGTAATCCAAGATGATCTCATCTCAAGATCCTTTATTTAATTATATCTGCAGAGACCCTGTTTACAAATAAGGCCACATTTATGAGCTCCAGGGACATGGACATAGATTTTTTTGTGGCCACCATTGGACCTACCCAGCCATCCTGCAGTAGTTGGTTAATGTAGAACTTACACATTTTTGTTCCATAGTCATTGTTTTAAAAAGCGTGCACAGTGGGCTGGGCACGTGATTACAGGTGGCACATGCCTGTAATCCCAGCACTTTGGGAGCCTGAGGTGGGAGGATCTCTTGAGCCCAGAATGTCAACACTGCAGTGAACCTGGGCTACAAGAGCAAGACCCTGTCTCAAAAAGAATAAAAAAATAAAAAAGCATGCACAGTGTTCTTTAGTGTGTGTTAATTTATCTGTAATTTCATGATTTAATGTTATGAAGTATTTTAGACATAAGTAACTTCTTTTACTTAGTGATACAGCTTGGGCATCTCTCTGTGACATTAATTTACAATACAGCATTCCCCTGTATGGAAACCATATCATATTTAACCAATCAATCCTTTCTCCTAGGACACGGAGTTTAATTTTGGATTTTTGTATTAGAAATGACTGCAGTGAACAGTGTTGTAGCTGGGTCATTGTGCATCTCTATGACTGTTGTTAAAAAGGGAATTTCTGGCCAGGTGCGGTGGCTCACGCCTGTAATCCCAACACTTTGGGGGGCCGAGTTGGGCAGATCACGAGGTCAGGAGTACGAGACCAGCCTAACCAACATGGTGAAACGCTGTCTCTACTAAAAATACAAAAATTAGCAGGGTGTGGTGGTGCACGCCTGTAATCCCCGCTACGCAGGAGGCTGAGGCAGGAGAATCACTTGAACCTGGGAGGCGGAGGTTGCAGTGAGCTGAGATCGCGCCATTGCACTCCAGCCTGGGCGACAGGGCAAGACTCTGTCTCAAAAAAAAAAAAAGGAATTTCTGGGTCAAGTGGTTTTCAAAATTTAAGCTTTAATTTACATCAAGATACTGTTTTTTACCTATCGTATTGGCAAAAATCAAAAATCTGGATTTCTAGGTTCTGTTGCTGAAGCTGTGGGAACCAGGCCAGAGAAAGCGTCTGTCAGAGCCACAAACGCGCAGTGTGTGTCCGAGCAGACGATGGTCACTGGCCTGAGTGCGCTCAGAGGCTGGGCCCACACGTGCCGCTCTGCATGGCCAGACGTGGGTCACGGTCCCCGTGCAGAGCGGGAGGCCTCCAGCTGTGGGGTGGGTGGGAAAGCAGGGGCAGAATGGTGCCCGGAAGATTTCACCGTTTGTGTTAAAAGGAAGAAAACCAAGAATCACATGGTATTTGCTTGATTTTCTGTAAAGAAATTCTGGAGAAACAAACAGGAAGCCACTAACAGTGATTTTCACACTGTGTGTGTGGGTGGGGGGAGACAGGGAGAAGGGAGGGGAGCAAGACTTCTCTGTCTACTCTCAGTGTTTGAGTCACGTGAATATTTTCTATTCCAACACGATTTTGATTTTTAAAGTTTAGTGAAGGGAAGAATGTAAACTGTTATAAGTTCTTTTTTTTTTTCTTGAGACAGAGTCTTGCTTTATCACCCAGGCTGGAGTGCAGAGATGCAGTCTCAGCTCACTGCAACCTCCGCCTCCCGGGTTAGAGGGATTCTCCTGCCTCAGCCTCCTGAGTAGCTGGGATTACAGGCACCCGCCACCACACCCGGCTAATTTTTGTATTTTTAGTAGAGACGGGGTTTCACCTTGTTGGCCAGGCTGGTCTCGAACTTCTGACCTCAGGTGATCCGCCCGCCTTGACCTCCCAAAGTGCTGAATTACAGGCATGAGCCACTGGGCTTGGCCTAAGTTTTTATTTTATTTTATTGTTTATTTTATTATTATTATTATTATTATTTGAGACGGAGTTTCGCTCTTGTTGCCCAGGCTGGAGTACAATGGCATGATCTCGGCTCACTGCAACCTCCGCCCTCCGAGTTCAAGCGATTCTTCTGCTTCAGCCTCACAAGTAGCTGGGATTACAGGCATGCACCACCATGCCCAGCTAATTTTGTATTTTTAGTAGAGACAGGGTTTCTCCATGTTGGTCAGGCTGGTCTCGAACTCCCAACTTCAGGTGATCTGCCTGCCTCGGCCTCCCAAAGTGCTGGGATTACAGGCGTGAGCCACCGCGTGCCTGGCCAGTTCTTTTTTATTTTTTTTGAGACGGAGTCTCACTCTGTCGCCCAAGCTGGAGTGTAGTGGCATGATCTCAGCTCAATGCAACCTCCACTTCTCCTGCCTCAGCCTCCTGAGTAGCTGGGACTACAGGCGCCCGCCACCACACCCGGCTAATATTTTGTATTTTTAGTAGAGATGGGGTTTCACTGTGTTAGCCAGGATGGTCTCAATCTCCTGACCTCGTGATCTGCCCGCCTTGGCCTCCCACAGTGCTGGGATTACAGGCGTGAGCCACCACACCAGGTTTCAGACACAATTTTTAAACAATTTCTAAGTTGCTGGCTAGGTACTGCAGTCGTCGTCCCTCCAGCAGTGCCCAAGTGGGCCGACTCCTCCCACCTGCCCAGCACCCGGTGTTGGAGCTTCAGACAAGTCACATGGCCTCGCTGTCTGACGGGAACTTGTGTAAGGAGTCTCCTGGCAGAGCCAGCGGGAGGGTGAGCAGAACTGCGGCCGCGTCAGGTTAGCGCGGCATCTGCCACCTGGGCCTCTGCATCCCGGACCCCGAGCCTGGTCCTGGAGCCATCCTGGAGCCGGGGCGTTCCCTGCATCAGCTCTGACCGATCGTCAGTTATCTTATTCCAGCACGTTTTGTGCTGATGAAGAGTTTTTCCTGCTGTATTTTCCTAACTTGTTATTACTGGCCTAAAGAAATCTCTCGGGTCTTTTAACTGCGTTTGAAGCCAGCCTCTCAATGAACTTTCTCTGAGCTCCAGTAAATGGTGAGTTGAGTTGTTTCAGGTGCCAAGAGGAGCAGTGCTGACTTGGGTAAATGCTGTCCCATGTCCTGGCGCTGGACCGAGAGCTGCGCCTGCACCGTCCGCATTCACCCTCACACGCCCTCCCCTCAGCAGCCTCGCCTCACACTGGGAGGGTGCCCCGCTGTGCTACAAGGGTCATTTATTTGCATGTTAACGATGTAAGCTCATTCCTTGTTATAAATACTGGTTTTTATCAAATGAGCTGTCGAGATTTTCTAGATCAATATACCGGTTTTCTCCTTTAATCTGCTAGTGAAGTCAACGATATTAACAGAGTTCTGGGAAAGTGCATTATCCCTGAACTCCAGGAATTCATTTCTTCTCTTGCTCCATGTTTCCTGTGGTGACACCTTCGTGTCTGGTGCTGGGTGAGGCAGCCGCCCCAGGGGCCCACAGGTGTCTCGGTGTTGGAGGGCTGAGAGGGAGGGAAGGGGGAGCCACCATGGATCAGGTGAGAAGCCTCTCCACAGAGGCCTGGCGAGGTCCACCCTGCTGCAGCAGAGCAGGTGCCTGCGTGAGGAGGGCCTCCAGAGGGCAGCGGCAGGGCTGTGGTGGGACCTGCTTGTGCTCGGAGAGCACTGGCTGCTGTTGTCCAGTGCTTGGAGGTGAGGGGCAACGAGGGAGGCTACCACTGTCTTTGAGGTGAAAGGGTGGTGGCCAGGCCAGGGTGTGGTGGAGACAGTGGGCACAGGACAGGTTTGAGAGATATTTGGGAACGATGGGCCCCCTAATGGATGGTCATGTGGGTGGGACCCAGGACCTTCCCCGCAAATTGGTCTCTAGCAGACACCTGGTATTGAGATACTCTTGTACTGGGCTGCAGGGGAGAGAGGAGAAGGATGTGGCTCGGAGAGATGACCTCTGTGCCTCCTGGGCCCTCACTGGGACTCCCAGCAGCCCTGGTGGGCATCCAGTCCCGCAGTGGTGGCCCTCCACCCCAGAAATCCTGCAGGCTGGCTGGCCCGACTGAGCTCGCACTGAGCCCCACCCTGCGCAGGGGTGGCCTCCAGAGCATGGAAGGCTCTCCTCCCACCTGTCCCGCAGCATCCGCAGAGGCCGGGCTGTTGTTGGGCCAAGGCTGCGAGGCAGAAGCCTGGGGCAGGTGAGGTGGCTCCTGTGGACCTGCCGCAGGCTCAGGCGGGGAGCAGAGCAGGGGTCTGTGCCTCCGGAGGGCTGAGTGTGTGCTGGATGTATCTGGCAGGATTTCACTGGGCCTGGTCTCCCTGGGGCTATTGTCGGGGGCCCCAGGTGGAGGTATCTGCCAGCAGGGTGTCTGCCTGTCGCAGGTCGCCTCTGCATGGGGTCACTGGGTCACAGCCCACTGGCCTGCTCCACCACCACCAGAGAGCCCCAGCAGGGCAGGCTGCCAGGGGGTTAGGGGCTGGGTGGGTGGGTGGGCGTGAAGATGGGGCAGGGAGCAAAGCTGAGGGCAGGCAGGGTGGTGGTGGGCAGGGCCTCAGGGGAGGGCCCATCCCATTCGCAGGTGTGGTGTGGGGGACAGGGTTGGAGCCCCTTCTTTGGCCTGGGCCTGTGGCCAGGGCAGCCAGGGCCTGGGGACTGGTGAAGAGGAGGTTGCTCTGTGCCCAGACAGAGGGGTTGGGAAGGAGGGAGGGCTTATCTGTGGTGCCTGGGCTCAACCTTGGTTCTGGGGTCCCCAGTGGTGTGGGGAATTTGCAGAGAGCTTCATGAGGATTTGGCTTTGCCCAGGGTGTGAGACCTGGCCAGGAGACCTGATGGCACCCCAGCTGGGCATGGGGGCCATGCTGGGTTCGACCAGCAAAGCAGAAGCTAGAGGTAGGGGTTTTCCGGAGGCACTGGTGCTGGTGAGCCCGACTGCAGCCTGGGGGTCCCTGCAGTTCACTGGCCTGGACACACAGACCCGCGTGCTTCTTCGGCAAGACTCCTTTGTGATCCATGAATTGGGGCCAGAGCGATGAGATCTCCTGGGCAGTGGCCGGGGCTTTGCTTCCCACGCTCCAGAGCTGCGTCACCAGGGCGCCCAGCTTCCTCTACCCCAGCTCCCTTTCCTCCCCGCTGCCTAAATCTCTTGCTCGTGGGCCCTTCGCTGCCAGCCTGGGACCTGCCTGTCCTGTTGAAATCCCCGGCTGTAGCCCCGTCTCCAGGCGCCCCCCTCCCGGCTGCAGCCACCTCCACCTTCTTGGGGGTTGCCTGGACTTGTTTCCTCTACGGCAAGGCCTTGGTGCCTGTGGCCTCTCTTCCTGTGCTGGCTGCCTGCGGCCCGTCCCCACATAGCTGTCCCTTCCTTTGGGAAGCCTGTGCCGGGAAGGAACCACAGAGCTGACTGACGTGCAGCTGGCTGAGCCCTTCCCAGGGTCATCGTGGCCGCCCCCACTTCCAAGGCTGCACCATGTGGCCACCGTTCCAGGCAGGCTGGGCTGGGCAGTCTCAGGCTCCTTCATGGGAACTTGCTGCTGCTGCAGCTTGTCGATAAGCCTCTGGCTGCGGGAGACCACAGGTGACCATGGTGGCCACTCACAGGCGGGCAGCTTGACTTCAGGGGGGAAGTTAAAGGCGGAGTCGGTGCATGAAAAGCTGTGTGTTCCTTCTCTGAACAGCTGTGTGCCCTCACCTTCTCATTAGCTTGAAACCATGATCCTATCTTTTTGTTTGTTTTCGAGTCAGTCTTGCTCTCTCCCAGACAGGAATGCAGTGGCGCAATCACGGCTCACTGCAGCCTTGGGTGGGCTGGTTCAAGCCGTCCTTCTGCCTCAGCATCCCAAAGAGCTGGGACCACAGGCCCAGGCCACCGTGTCAGGATAGTTTTTTAGTTTTTTGCAGAGACGGTGTCTTGCTTTGTTGCCCAGACTGGTCCTGAATTCCCAGGATCAAGTGATCCTCCTGTCTCAGCCTCGGAAAGTGCTCAGCCACCACGCCTGGCCAATCTTATAACATTCCATTTTATGCGTTTTAATCCTTTAAAAAAATCTCCCTGGCCGGGCGTGGTGGCTTATGCCTGTAATCCTAGCACTTTGGGAGCCCAAGACGGGTGGATCACCTGAGGTCAGGAGTTCGAGATCAGCCTGACCAACATGGTGAAACCCCATCTCAACTGAAAATACAAAAATTAGCCCGGTGCGGTGGCACACATCCGTAGTCCCAGCTGCAGAGGCTGAGATAGGAGAATTGCTTGAACCCAGGAGGCAGAGGTTGCAGTGAGCCAAGATCACACCATTGCACTCCAGCCTGGGTGACAGAGCGAGATTCTGCCTCAGTTAAAAAAAAAAAAAAAAAAAAGTCTCCCTAGGCTGAGGAAAATTTTTATGCATTAAATTAAAAAAATTGATCTGGACCAGGCAGTGTGGCTCACACTTGTAATTCCAGCACTGGGAGGTGGGAGGATTGCTTGAGCCCAGGAGTTTGAGACCAGCCTGGGCAACACAGAGACAGACTGTCTGTATAAAAAATTAAAAGATGAACTGGGAGTGGTGGTGCACGCCTGTAGTCCCAACTACTCAGAAAGCTGAGGTGGGGGCATCGCTTGAGCCCAGGAGGTCGAGGCTGCTGTGAGCCGTGATTGAGCCACTGCACTCTAGCCTGGGTGACAGAGTGAGACCTTGTCTCAAAAAAACAAAACAAAAAAAAAACAGCATTTTTTAAAAATGTATGAACTTTTTAGATCTCTTTATAAATATCTGTCACTTTCACTTGAGGTTTACTAAGGAAGTATGATTCACTTGCAGGCCAAATTTAGGTTTATCCAGATACAGCTCAGTAAAACCTAGCTGGGAATTCAGCAGTGGCGCGATCTCGGCTCACTGCAACCTCAGCCTCCTGGATTCCAGTGATTCTCGTGCCTCAGCCTCCTGAGTAGCTGGGGCTACAGGCGTGTGACACCATGCCTGGCTGATTTTTTTGTGTATTTTTAGTGGAGATGGGGTTTTGCCATGTTGGCCAGGCTGGTCTCAAACTCCTGACCTCAAGTGGTCCACCTGCCTCGGCCTCCCAAAGTGCTGGGATTCCAGGTATGAGTCCCCGTGCCCGGCCTGAAATTCTGTTTTAATTCCTCACTTCACCATTTTCCTTAAGTTTGGCAACTGGTGTTTCTTGAGACTCCCCACACCCCAACTGGCTGAGTCCCAGGGAGGGCAGGGACGGGCAGGGGGACGAGAGACTCCAGAACTGCTGGGTCTACGGTGGAGGTGGGGCTGGCTTCTGGCCCTTTGCCTGTTAGCTCGTACCCGTGGGAGCTGCCGGCCTCGCTCCTGGATCATGGTCACGTCCTCCATGCCAGCCCCAGCCTGGCGCACAGTGGGTCTGTTTACAGGAGGGGAAGGACTTGCGGGTGAAGGCAGAGGAAAGGCCTTGCTGGAGACTGAGGCAGGCTAGTCACTTCTATCTTGTGGAGGCTGTCCTGCCCCACACTACCAGCACGGACTGGGGTGGAGCACAGTCCCGGGGCCAGTGTTGAAGGGGTGCCCTGGTGTGGGCAGGGCCCAGCATTCCTCCGTGCCCCCTGCAGCGCAGTGAGTGAGGCAGAGCTGACCTCACCCTGCCAGTGCTACCTGCTCCCCCAGGCGTGCGCAGTGACACACAGCTACTCCTGCGGGCTGAGGAGGCTGACCCCATTAGCCATAGGGGTGGTTGGATCAGAGCAGCTGCGAAGGGTCCCTGGTGGTCGTGGGGGGTGGGTGAGGGATGGAGCTGCAGTGTCATCTGGCGGCAGTGGAGATGCTGGCGAGTGGGCAGACTGGGGGGCGCAGCCAGGAGGACCTGTGGGGCTGCCTGTGGGGCATCCTGAGGCTGGGTGGGAGAGGCAGAGACCAGGGTGCAGGTCGGACCTGTCATCTTTGGAGCCAGTGTACAAGGTGCCTGACCCAGGGCTGCGCAGAGGCGAGACGCCCGGGGAAGGGGCACACTGCTGGGGCCGGGGAGGTGGGAGGTGGCCGACCAGGGTCTGGGGGCTTGATCTCAGCAGCCTGCCAGCCCAGGCCCTGGAGTTGGGCCGGCTGAGGAAGTTACTGGGAGATCTGGATGGGTGGGTATCTCCTGCAGGGCGCGGGTAACGGCTTCAAGGCCCTCGCACGTGTGTCCCACAGGCTGTTCTAAGCATGGCTCGTTGCAGTGGACTCGGGGGGCTGTGGGGTGGGCCGGGGGCTGCGGAGCTGGGGAGTGGGCCGTCCGAGCGCTCCTGGATCCGGCCTGGTGACCTGGCAGTCTGGCTGGGGTTAGCGGGGTCGCGTGCCCCAGAACCACAGGCTGGGGGGGAGGGGTGCGCGGTGCGGCCGGGAGCATGCGCCCGGGGCGGCCCTGTCCGGCGCATTGATCAGCTGAAGCCCCGCCCCTGGCCGGCAAGCCCTGCCCCGGACCTCCGGGCTCCTCCCCCGGCTGCGGCGCTGGCCTGGGCAGTGCGGTGCGGGGCTGGACTCTGCCTGGTGGTGGCACAGCCGCCCTCAGCCCCGGCGCAGACATGGACCCCTCGCGAGCCATCCAGAACGAGATCAGCTCCCTCAAAGGTGCGGTCCTGGGGCCGGGCCCGAGCCGGGGGGCGCGGACCACACAGTGACCTCTGGCTGGGTGCAGTCCACGCAGGGTGGCGGGCAGGGTCTGCCATCCCTGGGGTGACACTGTGGGTCGCTGAGCCAGAGCCGCAGGAGACCCCAGACTCGTCCCCCTCCGGGCTCCACCTGGTTCGGGGTCCTACTGGGCTGGCTTCAGCGGCTCCGCAGCCCTGCAGGAGCGTCGGGGGCGGGGTGGCTGCTGCAGCGGCGGCGGCGGCGGCGGCGGCGGCGGGGCGGGGACAGGGACACAGTGGGAGCTCAGCCTTCACAGCAGGGTCAGCCCCTTCCACCCGGCCCGAGTTTGCCGCCCACAACCTGGCGTCCAAGGGGCAGGGCAGGGCTGGGGGACCACTGTGCAGAGGCGCCGGGCCGGCTGGCCCTGAGCAAGTCCACACTGCGGCTCTTTGTCTTGGGGTGGGGTGGGGGGGCTGGGGGCTGCCCAGGAGCCCTGACTGGTTGCTCTGGAAACCCAAAGGGGTCTGGAGTGGGGGGAGAAGGGGCCGCCCAGTCGCACACCCTGGCCCTCCCAGTGCTGAATCAGCTCCCGCTTCGGTTCCCACAGGGTGGGGGCAGGGGGCGGTAGCTTCCGCCCGGGGGTCTTGGGGGACGCCTGGACCCTGGCGCAGGGGTGTGTGTGCTTCGGGGGGGGTGTGTGCTGCAGGAGGTGTGTGCTGCGAGGCGGGGGGGGGTGGCGCATGCCGCAGGGGGGCGTGTGCGGAGCTGGCAGGGTGGGCCAGGAACATTCTGCTCCGGGCTCCTCCCTGCGGCTTCCCTTCCCGCCTGCAGGCCCCTGGCTGGTGGGAGGGAGGGGACTCCCGCCGAGCCCCGCCCCATCTCTGCTGGAGGAAGCTACCGCCCTTTCCTGCCCGGAGCCGGCTTGGGGGAGGCGGGGCTGGTTGGGTGGCGGCCCAGCGGGGGTCAGTCCTGGCACCCCTGCAGGCCTGTGTAGGAGAGAACCTAGGTCCACGTGCTTTTAAGAGGCCTTGGGATCATTTTGGGACAGTGTGGGTATCGTGGGTTAGTTTGGTGGGGCCCTTGGAGATCTGGGGGGGATTAGGTTAGGGAATCAGGCCAGGAAGATGCGGTCGGCCTGCCGGGAGTGCAGGAGGTCAGTGTGGGGGGGTGCGCTGAGGGACTGGCCAAGAGGGTAGGGCCTTCTTTGGGCACAGGGCTGGGCAGGCTTGGACCCAGCTGGTGTTGTTCCCAAAGCCACAACCCTGGTGGGTGGAGGGTCCGCAGGTGCTGGTGGTCCGAGGGGCGTGGCCACTGTGGTCCCTACATCTTCCTGGAGCCTCACCTCCTGAGGCTGGCCTTTTCCTGCCTGGGGCTGGCTTCAGAGGGAGGGAGAGCCATGCCGCAGCGAGCTGGCCCTGCCAGAGGGCTGTGGGAACCGTGGCTATGCCTTCGGAGTTTCCCCGCCACCACACCTCTGTGTACGCAGGCGTGCGCGTGCGCGTGCGTGTGTGCGCGCGTGTGTGTGTGTGTGTGTGTGTGTGTGTTTGGAGCCTGCACCGTGGCGCCATGGCGACGGCCCCATAAACCCGCCCCCACAAGCTGCTTGT
The DNA here is from genome assembly GCF_000001405.40 of Homo sapiens. Classification (NCBI taxonomy): domain Eukaryota; kingdom Metazoa; phylum Chordata; class Mammalia; order Primates; family Hominidae; genus Homo; species Homo sapiens. The sequence continues at coordinate 143,952,118 of NC_000008.11, read as the reverse complement.
TGGCCGCCTGCCGGCTGCTGGCCAGCGCCTCCCACCTCGGGATCCCCCCTCTCTCCCACTCCCCCCCACCGCCCTATTTATAATCAGTTCCCGGGTTTGCCGGGCTTGGTGGGAAGGGGTGTGTCGGCTTGGGGCGAGCAGCGATACGGGTGGGGGTCCATGGAGCACAGCGTGGGACAGTGGGAGTGTTGGGTGCGGTTCTCATGCCTGGACCCTCAGTGGGGGCGGCAGCAGCGGGGCGGGGAGGGGGGGGTGGATGATGGGTGTGGCTGGGCCAGGCCTGCAGGGCCTCACAGGGCAGTTTCCTCTTCCCTTCCCTTGGGCCCTGGCCGTCTTCTGGCCTGGCATTCTTCCACCCTGCAGCCATCCATCTGGCCTGCAGACGGGCACTTGGGCTGCCCAGGGTGGGCATCTGTGGGCGGTAGGGACTCGGTGACTTTCTCTGTGGCAGCGGCTGGGAATCTCTGGCCTCCAACAGCTGGGTTGGAGGTGGGGGTGAATTGAGGCCCCTCTGAGCCCCCTAGCCGGTGCTCTGCTCAGAGGGCTGTGGGCTTGGAGAGGCCACTCCTAATCTGGCCTGGAATGGGAAGTGTTAACTTGAGTGGCCACTGCCTCTAAGCCTGGTGTGTGGAGGTGGGGGCTCTGTCCGTTTGCCCGCCTGATGGACAGCAGCAGCGGTGCCTGCAGCCCTCCTCATGTGCTGTGGCAGCTGCCCCCAGCCGCTCCCCTCGGACTTCCTCCCGCAAGACCCCAGCTTCTTCCCCAGGCCCTAGTCCTCTCCGCTCAAGCCTCGCATCCCTCATCCCTCCAGGCCTGGCAGCCCAGCACCCCCCTTCAGATCCTTGTGAAGCCGGGACACCAGAGCCCACATCCCTGCCGAGTACCCCTCCTGCCCTCAGCCCCCCTGCCTGCCCTGCCACCCTCTTCTTTAGACTCTTGGTCTATATCCGCCCCCACTTGCCCCAGCACAGTCTTAGGGACCTTGAAGGATGTGTTTAGAAACTGATGTCATTTCTGACGTTGGAGCCGTGGGGCCTGGTGGGGGGAAAGGGGCAGCTGTGGGGGTGGCCGCTGCCTCTTGAGGTGCCCCCCACTCTACAAGGGCCCCGTCGGCTGTGGGTGGGAGGGGCCGCCCATGCTGCTGAGTCAGAGGGGGCCGGCCCGGCGTCCTGGAGGAAGGCGGGCAGCCGGCAGTGCCGGCAGGGATTGCACGGAGCCAGGCGCCACGAGCCACACAGCCGGGAGCCCGCGCCCTCACGCTCAGCACCCCAGCCTGCCTGCCCGCCCGCCTGCCCTGCCGCTGCCCGCTGTCACACCCTGTAGCGCGGGAGCTTCTCGCAGCGCCCCGGGCCTTCTCGTGGTACCCTGCCTGCTGCCTTTGCCCCCGCACTGACTGCCCGGCTCCAGCAGCCATGGTGGCCGGCATGCTCATGCCACGGGACCAGCTGCGGGCCATCTATGAGGTGCTCTTCCGCGAGGGCGTGATGGTGGCCAAGAAGGACCGGCGGCCCCGCAGCTTGCACCCCCATGTGCCCGGCGTCACCAACCTGCAGGTCATGCGTGCCATGGCGTCCCTGCGGGCACGGGGCCTGGTCCGCGAGACCTTTGCCTGGTGCCACTTTTACTGGTACCTCACCAATGAAGGCATCGCCCACCTCCGCCAGTACCTGCACCTGCCGCCAGAGATCGTGCCCGCCTCTCTGCAGCGCGTGCGCCGCCCCGTCGCCATGGTGATGCCCGCACGCCGCACCCCCCACGTGCAGGCTGTGCAGGGTCCCCTGGGCTCCCCACCCAAGCGGGGGCCGCTGCCGACGGAGGAGCAGCGGGTCTACCGTCGGAAGGAGCTTGAGGAGGTGTCACCTGAGACCCCTGTGGTGCCTGCTACCACCCAGCGGACCCTGGCCAGGCCAGGCCCGGAGCCTGCCCCAGCCACAGGTCAGCTGCACCCTGACCCCAAGTCATGATGGGTGGCAAGTAGGGGTCTGGTTGTCGGGTCTTGGGCCTGGGCCTGGGCTGGAGTGGTTGGAGTGGTCAGCCGGCTTGCGGAGCGTCGCTCACACCAGCAGGTGGCCCCCCCTAGCCGAGGGTCAGGGGGTGCGCTTGCTGATGGGCCCATGTGGCCCCTCCTCCTCGGCTGGGGACCTTCGGGTGTGTAGGCCAAGGAGGAGCCTGTGGCCCAGGCACACCCCGGGGCGCCCCCTCCCCTCTCTCCAACACTGCCCTTGCCTTCGCCCCCTCCGCCTCCTCTCCTGTCCCAGTGACCTGTCTTCCCCGAGGCTCCTCGGCACTGAGGTGGGGGTGTGCGAGGAGGTGCTGGCGCCGGTTGGGTGTGGCCCTCCTCCAGCACATGGCCTGGCCGCCTCCCTTGCCGCGGGGGTTGATGGGTGAGGCTTGGTGCCGCACAGAGTGCCCGGTGTGACCGGTAACTGAGTGCTTGGCCAGCTTGGACTTGGTGGTGGCTGGGGACGGCCCTGGGCGGGATGGGGAGAAGCGCAGGGTCCAGGCAGGAGGCTCCTCCGGCAGGGCAGAGGCCAGGCTGTGGTGTGGTGTCTGCTGGCCCAGCCTGGGGCCTAGATAGGCCTTTCCCGGTACGAACCAGGTCGCACAGGACAGGACGGGTCCTGTCATCCCAGAGGCTTCCAGAGACCCTTTGCTCTGCCCCTTCTCTGTGGCCTCCCTCTGTCCACAAGCACCTGTACCAGCAGGACCCAGGTGGGCAGATGTGTCCCCTGCAGCCCGAGGCTCACACACACACTGTGGAGCACTCTGCCCTCCGTGCTGGCTCCGGATGGCCCGGTCCCCCAGCACCTGGCCCCACCTCCCTCTTTGGGGCTGGCACCTGGGAGCAGCTTGCTCTCTCAGGCTGAAGAAGGGGGCCTGGGGTGGGGCTCTCAGGGTGGGCAGGATTTGCCAGGGTGTGGGGGAGGGGGCCCAGGGGAGGCCCAAGTTTAGGGCGCAGCTGCCCGTGTGGGATGCTGGGCGGAGCCCTGGTGCTGGCTGGCCTGGGGTGAGTTGGACTTGTTAGGGGCTTGCCTTGGGCCCATCTGGGAGGATCAGTGAGGCTGTGGGGTGGAGGCTGGCCTCCCCTCCTGGCTCTCTCTGCGGCTTTGGACAGGTTTAGTGGCCTCTCCAGCTCCTCTCTAAATGGACGACATGTCTCCCGACAGGAGGCATGAGACAAAGACTGCTTGGCCAGGCATGTAGTCCAGGCCCCGGCCCATGTGGCCTTCCTGCTGTCCTCTCCCACCCGGCACCCCTGCCCACCCACTCCCCGGTCATTTGGCAGCCCAGCTTCCCCATGCTCAACTCCTAGCTGTGGTGACTGGGAGTCCCTCCCCTCCTTTTTCTCCTTCCTTGTCCGTGGCTGGGCTGGGCCTGCAGGGCGGGCAGCTGGCGGCAGGGCCAAGAGTGGGGTGTGCTGGGTGTGGCTGCAGCAGGCAGAGCGGAGGGCACCCCTCCCCGATGGAGGTGACTCAGTCCCCCCAAAGCCACAGCCGCCAGCAGCAGCTCAGAGTTTCCAACAGGAAGCGAGCCACAGCTCCGGGATGAGTCAGGGCCAGCAGGCTCAAACCCCTCTCTGCCCTGGACCTCACGGGCTGAGCTTGGGATGGGAAGCTAGGGGAAGGAGGCGGCTCGGATGTGGGGTGTGGCAGAGGGCCAGGGCTGGGCCTCAGGCAGTGACAGGGGTCCGGATGGCCCTGCATACAGCCCGGGGCAGTTCTGATGATACCTGAGACCAGGCACTTCTTGGAGTTTTTAAGTGACCAAGCAGTGAGCTGCCCTGCCCTTCCCCACTGCACAGCCGCTCCGTGGGTTGGCAGAAGGGCAAGGTCAGAGCTCGTGGGCCAACTGTGCTGGTCCAGGATGGCCCTGTTGGATGGGCTGCCCCTCTCCACCCAGCCCTGGCTAGGGAGCACCAGCTGTACCCCTGCAGTGAGGCCCCTGCCCTCCCTGTGCCCTGGTGGTCTGCTTGTCCCTGGGTGGGGCCCATGGGGGCCTGCCAGCAACACATCTGTGTGGGAAGCCATCCGTCCACCTGCTTGTTTAGCCATGCACAGGCCAGGGCCAGACCCAGATGGAGCCCCTGCCCCAGGGGGCTCCAGATATGTGGGGTGAACTGGGTGAGGAGAGCGTGATGGGAAGGTGGCTTCAGAAGCAATCAGGGAGGGCTCTGAGGAGGTGCCTACCCTGCCAGGAGCAGCCCAGAGAGAGGGACAGAGGGAGGCCGGAAGGCCAGAGGGAGAGGACCCATGGGAAGGCCCTGGGCCTGTGGCAGAGTTTCAGTTGCTTGGTGTGGTGGGAAGCTGTAGGAATGTGTTTTTATATGTGAGTTTCATTTACGTTTCATTTTTATTTTACTTATTGTTTTGAGATGGAGTCCCGCTCTGTTGCCCAGGCTGGAGTGCAATAGCACAGTCTTGGCTCACTGCAACCTCCGCCTCCCGGGTTGAAGCGATTCTCCTGTCTCAGCCTCCTGAGTAGCTGGGATTACAGGCATGAGCCACCATGCCTGGCTAATTTTTGTTTTTTTTTTTTAGTAGAGACGGGGTTTCGCCATGTTGGCCAGGCTGGTCTTGAAGTCCTGACCTCAGGTGATCCGCCTGCCTCAGCCTCCCAAAGTGCTGGGATTATAGCTACCGCCCAGCCCTAATTTACATTGCAAATGGCGATGCTTTGCCTGGCTCAAAATTCTGAAGGAACCGAGGATTGTGTGGAGGAGACGCCAGCTGAGCGCTGTCCATGCACCAGCAACGGGCAGGGGCCAGGTAGCCGCCACCACGGTGAGCGCTGTACACGCACAGCACCTAGAGCTGCTTCCCACAGCAAAGGGCAGGGGTTGGGTAGCCACCATGACTTCCCCTCTACACGGAGGACACGCCTGTGCCTTGACCTCCCCCCTTGACCCTCTGTGGCCCTGCGTCAAGGAGGAAGCCTGGAGGTGGCCTGGCTGCCTTGCCCTTCTTCCCAGCCACAGGGTGCTCTAGGTGGAGGGACTATGGCCCGGCCAGCTTTCCACAGGGATCACTGGCTTGGCCGAGTCACCCGTTTGCGGGATTTCTGTAGATCGCCGGCAGGCTTCTAAGGGGTAGTTACGATGGGATTTGATTTGCACTTCACTGGTCAGCAAGCACCTGGGTGGAGAGGTATGGAGAGGGGAGGCAGGTGTCACCATTGCCCCTGGACAGATGCCTGGGGCTGTGCTGGTTGGGGAGGACTCAGGTGGAGGAAGAGACCACCTTTGGGGCTGAGGAATGTGAGTCTCAAGGAGTGGGGTGTGGTGGGCAGTTTGGGGCTCTGCTCCCGCCTGGCTCCTGAAATACCGCTGGGCACATGGATGCCTGGAATGTGGGTGGGAGGGTGGGAGGGCAGGGCTGGGCTGGTGGGGCCTGCAGCGGGAAGGGGAGGCTACAGGGTGGGGTCTGCTGGGCGGGGGGTCTGCTGGGCGGGGCAGGAACAGTAGGGAAGACCCGTGGGCTGGGGCCGGAGGGCTCTCTGGGATTGCAGGCAGGCCAGTCCCCTGCACCCCCAGGCAGGTCTGCTGGGCTGGTCTGACCCGTCAGTCGGCTGGGCTTCATCTCTGCTTACTGACTAAGGGGTGGCTGCGAGGAGGAGCCGCTGCTACCAGGGCATGAGTGGGCCCTCCCTCTGCCTCCCACCCCTTCCCTCCTTCCTGCCTCGCCTTCCTCCCTGCCGGCTCTCGGAGCAGCCTGGCCTGTGTGGCAGCCATGGACAGGTACAGCATGGAGGAGCTGATTCAGCTGGGCCAAGGTAGGGCAGGCAGAGCTGGGGGCTGTGGGAGGCAGAGGAGAGGGCCGGGGCCGCCTCTGGCAGACCTGTCTCTTCCCGTTGTCCACCGTTCTGTGCCGTCAGACCTGGGATGCAGGGATAGGCACAGCCCCCTCTCGGAGCTGCCCCAGGGGTGTGTGTGATGTGTGTCCCGGAAGCACAGGCCTGTCCGGACCTCCGTGGAGTGGTAGAAGAACTGCCCGCTGCCAGCCTGGGGCACTCCTCCCGCCAGGAGCTGGTTCTCACCCAGGCCATTGAGTCAGGCTCCTCTGAGGCTTCCCCAGCACGTGGCAGGGAGTGGGCTGAAACGTCCGGCCTGTCGGCCCCTGCCCACTGCTGGCCAGATGCTGTCCTGGGCTCAGCTGGGAGTTGGGCCCTTTCTGGCATGCCTGGGTATCCCTGACCCTCAGGGCTGCCTGGGCCCGCCCGACCCCTGGCCGCCCAGAGTGGGCCACTGCAGGCATTTCCCTCGGCCGCACGTTTTTGAGGTGTGGGGCTGGAGAGCAGGAGGCTGGGGTGGGCCCGGCCCTCTTGTTGTCCGCGGGCTTCCCAGCATGGACCTGGGTGGCCTGCCCAGTGGCCCGGGGCCAGGCTGGTTCACTGTGCCTTGCTGTGGGCTGAGGTAACTACACTGGAGGCCACCTGGGCTCAGATGGCAGCGTGCGGGACAGCAGGCGGCGCCTCAGGCTCCTGGTCTGTATGAGGCCTTCATGGTATAGGACTTCATGGGGTTTGCTGAGGGTTCCATGTGGTGCCAGGAGCGACGCTGTGGAATGGGGTATACCGTCAACGTGCATTCTCCTGGGCCTGAGGGGTGCGCCCAGCAGACAGGGGTCCCAGGAAGAGGAGCAGGACTGTGCGTGTCCCACGTCCTGTTTCCCCGGCTGCATTGGGATCTGATCTGCATAGGATATGCTGTGGGCCTGCCTGTGGCCCGGCTCTCTGACCCAGGCCTTCCACAGAGCAGGGCTTCGGGACTCCTGGGTGGAGCCAGGCCAGTCTCCTGCCGTGGCCCAGGAGAGGCGTCTCCATCCCAGATCCCTGGGACCCCAGGAGAGGCTGTGCTGTGGGGCAGGCGCAGGCCTGAGCCCTGGTTTCGGGCTGCCTGGGTCTCTGGCCTGCGCGTGACTTTGGGGTGGCTGTCCCGGCCACCGGTGGGGCCAGGTGCTGTGTTGAGTGACCTGCGCAGGGCCCTCTGGGAGAATGGGCGGCCTCTTCTCTTGGCCCCTGTGGCCTTTCCAAGAGCACCCCCTGGCTTGGCAGGGCAGGTGGGTGGGGACTGCACCGCCTCCTGCAGGGACGTGAGCCCGCACCTCCCGCGCCCTGCTCTATTATATTAGAACCCCCTGTGGGAGCTGGGGGACCGAGGTGTCGGGTGGCACCGTCCAGCCAGACCTGACTGCAGCGGGGCCTGGGTGCCCTGGCGCCGTGCGTCATGTTCCAAGTCTGGGTGGTGACGGTCCTTGCGCGCCCTCCTCGGATATTTATATCCCCTGGGCCCCTGCCCACTGCTCCCCTCCCCCACAAGCTGCTGCTGACAGCAGCACGGCCGTGCCCTCCTCCCACCCGACGCTGCCGCCAGTGGCTTGTGCCTCCTCCGAGGGGCCTGTGACCTCCCACACCCCTGGCCCGCTCCGTCTGCCCCGTGGGCTCCTGCCACCGTCCCCGATGAAGATCGTGCCCGGTAGGTGGGCAGCCCTTGAAAGCCTTGTGAAATCCTGGCCCCTTGCTGGGGACAGGGGCCAGAGGGCTGGGGCTGAGGCTGGAGGCCAGGGGCGCTGTCCCTCGCCCTGCACACAGCCTGCCTCATGTGCCCTCACCCAGACCCCCTCAGCCCTGGTCTGCAGTCTCACTTTTGGGGTGTTGGGGCTGGTGAGGAGGGCGAAGTTGAAGGAGTGCAGTGGGTTCAGCTGCAGGCTTGAGGTGGGGGCTCTGGCATCCCTCCATGCCTGCCAGCTGTCCCCAGAGGGCAGCCTTGGAGGCAGAGTGGGCTGCTCGGGCCCCTCTTCTGGTGGGGACAGCAGGGGGAGGCTGGGAGGGAGGGAGGGTGTGTGCCGAGGCCGCGGGCAGTGCTGGGGGGCTGCGGCTTGGCCAGGCGTGCGGCTGGCCCCTCCTCCCGGCGGGTGTGGCCGCGGGGACGCAGGGGTTAAGGCCAACTAACCTTGAGCGTCAGTAGCCCTGCGCAGGGACAGCTGAGCCGGCCGGGTGGGGAGCGAGGGTGGGGAGGCGCCGAGGGCCGGACCCGCGGAGGGAGGAGGAGAGGAGGCGGGCGGGAGCTGTTGTGGGGCTGCCGCCGCGTATGGGGCGGTCCTGCGGGCAGGGCAGGCTCCGGTCCCGGCGCTCCCCCTCGCTCGCCCTGCACGCAGGGAGGGGGCTGTCTAGCCTGGAGCAGCCGGTTCCCAGCGCAGGAAGGGCAGCCCTGGCGGCTCCGCGTGGCGGCTATGGAGCCCTCGGGCAGCCTGTTTCCCTCCCTGGTGGTTGTGGGTCACGTTGTCACCCTGGCCGCTGTGTGGCACTGGCGCAGGGGACGTCGGTGGGCGCAGGACGAGCAAGGTAAGCCCCGCTGGTGGCTGCCAGGGACTCGAGGCGGGGCAGAGGGGCCGCCTGCCTCCCGCCCCTTCATTCCCTGCGCCCTCCCCTTCCTGTTTCCAAGCTGAATGTCAGTGAAAGCAGTGTTGCCCCTCCACCCCACCCTGCAGTGTAGACCCTGACCCTGCTGCAGTCCCAGGGCGGGGCGGGCTCTGCAGTGGCCCTCAGCCTGCAGCCTGTGCGGGACAGGTGGGTGGAAGCGGAGGCCGGCAGGGCAGGAGCGTCCCCCACACGAAGGGAGGCCTGTGGCAGCCGCCGTGGCAGGGACAAGTGGGCAGGTGCCTGTCCGGCCAGCACTGAGGTGGAGGTGGCTCCCTGCACACACAGCAGGGGGTGGAGCCACACGCAGGTGAGGCAGGTGCCCTCATGCCCTCGGGCCGCACAGGGGGCGGGGGCAGCCAGGCTGTGCCCTGCCCTCCCTGCTCAAAGTCACCAGCTCCTGGGCTGTGGTCCCAGGTGGCAACCGTGCCCAGCACAGGATGGGGCGGGGCCCTGGGGATTGGGCAGCCTCAATTATGGGCTTCTGGCCAGAGGGACTGCCTATCGGGGACCTGGCTGGCCAGACCTCTCCTGCAGTGAGGGCGCTGCCTGGCTCAGCTCCTCTGCTGGATCCCCGGACTTGAGATGAGTCAAGATGGGGCTTCTAGGCGTGGCGCTGGGGACGCCCGGAGCTGCCGGGGACTCAGCTGCCAGGATGGGACTTGGGCTGAGGGCTTCTTCCCCATCCATGTTTTTGGCTGGGGACCAGACACTGTCCCTGCCTCCCCACCTCAGCCCACAATTGCCCCCTTCGGCCACGGTCCTGGCTCACAGGATGCCTCTACTCCCTGGTGGTGCCAGACGCGGCTCAGCTCCTCGGTTCTGCCTCCAGCGTTGTCTGCCCACCACCTGGCCCCATGCCCTGCCTTCCTCCCTGGGCCCTGCAGTCCCCACCGCACATCCTGCTGGGAGGCCCCCTCCCATGCCGCTTCAGTCCCAGGGCAGCCTCCCAGCCCGGCCCGTGGGTTGGGGCGCGGCTTCCTGGCTGCGCTGGGCGGGGCTGCGCGCCAGGGGCAGGTTCTTTGGGTCTGGGCCTCGCTCCCGCAGTGGGCGGATTGTGGGGGGGAGGTGGAAGAGGTGGAGAGCGAAGCCGGCAGCCTCGCAGCGTGGGCTGGAAGCAGAGGCGCCGCCGCGGTCCAGCTCCCCGCACTGTCCGTGGGCCGAACCAGGGCTCCGGCCGTGGCCGGCATGTCGGGGGCGGGGGGCGCCTTTGCCTCGCCGAGGGAGGTCTTGCTGGAGCGGCCGTGCTGGCTGGACGGGGGCTGCGAGCCGGCCCGCAGGGGCTACCTCTACCAGCAGCTGTGCTGCGTAGGTGGGTGCAGTGGCGTGGCCGGTGGCACAGAAGGGGCCACCATCGCTCTCACCTAGTGGGGCTGGGTCTCTGCTGGGAACCGCCGCCTGGGCTGGGATGGGGGTGGCGCCTTGGCCCGGTGCAGCCTTGCCCCCGAGCTCCGGAAACACCTGGGGAGGAAGGCGGGGTGATGTTCCCCTACCCCCATTTGTTTGTCTCTAGAGAAGGGGCTGGAGGGGGCGGGGCTGGAGGGGGCGGGGCTGGCCCACCCCCGGCTGTTCCACGTCAGCCTGGGCTTTGGCCTGGGTTTCCAGGACACGGGGGAGGGAGGAGGTGCTGAAGGCGGGGCTCCAGGCCTTCTGTGGACTTGCTGCAGTCCTGGGCCAGTGGGATTCCCTTCCCAGTCTTGGGGTTTCCATCCTAGGACCGTCTCCACTAGCTGCGGGACCTCAGCCATAGGGTCCACACCTGTAAAACGGGGGCGATACTCCTCAGAGGGCCACGGCAGTGCCTGTCGTGAGGGACCCTGGGCTGGCGGCCGAGGGTCAGCAGCCCTGGACAGCACAGGTGTCAGGCAGGTGTGCAGAGGCACCTGAGCTGGGGGTGTTCTGGGTGCGTCCCAGGTGGGAGAGCCAGCTGAGCTGCAGCTGTAGAGGGTGGGTGTAGCCTGGCTGGGTGGGGCGGGTGTGTCTGTTGGTTTTAGGGTCAGAATAGGATTGGATGGGGCGGGGCAGGCTGGGCTGGGAGGGAGGGGAGGTGATGAGGAGGGAAGAGCTCAGAGCAAAGAGGCACCCAGAGGCAGGAAGTAGGGAAGGGGAGCTTGAGCCAGGCTTGGGAGGTGGAGGCCCCTGACCGAGCCCCCAGCCCACCTGGTCCCAGCCCTGCCCCGCCCCAGCCCTTCTCCTCACCCGGTCCCAGCCTTGCCCGAGTCCGTGTCTGGAGTCCCCACCGTGCCCCTTCCCTTCCCTGAGCCCCTGCCCCATTCCTGACCCTGGCCCGGCCCAGGGCGGCATCTTTGGAGGCCTGTTAGTGGCAGGGAGAAGGCTGGAACAGGGGCCTGGCTGGGGTGGGCTCCACGTGGGTCCTGGACCTTGGCCCCGGCTCCCAGTTTCCAGCTGTCGTGGACTCCCTGTGCCCACCTCCCTGGCTGTTCCGGGATCTCACACTGTGCCTCAGCAGAGTGGCAGCCCCGTTCCTGCAGGCAGGAGCCACCTGGTCACGGCCGGGCCCCCAGAGCCCATACCCAGCAGGCGCGGGGCTTGGCCTCAGGGTAGCTGCTGGCCCAGGGCTTCTGAAGAGGCGACAGTGTTTCCAGAGGCTTTGGACCCAGGGAGGGGCGGCAGAGGTGTGGGGTCCGGGGTGCCCTTGGGCACAAGACTGGAGGTGCTGACCAGTGCGGGGTCAGATTTTGATTTGGGGGCTTCTGGTGACTCCTGAGGTTCTGGAGGCTGCTGGGCCGGACAGGCAGAGCAAGAGGGTCACCCTGAATCTCATGCCAGGCTCAGAGACCATGCATGGAGACCAAGGGGTGTCTTCGTTGGGCGGCGTGTACGATGTGGCAGAGCCCTAGGGGCTGGCTGTGCCCCTTGGCGTGGAGTGGGGGCTTCCCCACCTCTGAGGGGTTTGGGCACCCCCCATTGTGAGGGTTCTGGTGCCCCCTCACGGCCTCAGGGGCAGTAGGAATGAGGTGGGGTGAGCTCTTCCCAGAACTGAGGCCGAGTGCAGCTCCCAGCTGGACCGAATCTGCCTGATGTGCGGCTGGAACATTCTTGTGGTTGGGGCAGCGCATTCTTTCCTATGGTGGTCGGGTGGGCTGGGCAGGCCCAGAAGCTGGCCAGAGGCAGCTCCGCCCCGGACCCCAGGGAGCCGGAGGCCCCAGCCAGCGCAGGCCCTTTGCCCTTTGCCCTTTACAGCATGAGACTGCTTCCCTTGAGCCCCACCCAGCTGCAAACAGCACCCCCCACCCCTGGGGTCGCCCAGGTCCTGCCTCAGGTGTGGCTTCCCCTCTGTGAGTCACAGGCTTGGGCCCCCTCCCCATCCCTGACTCACTGGCGAGGCCCCTCCTGGGGCTTCCCGATGCTCCATTCCCCCATGAGGCCCGGCCTCCGTGAGTCAGCCCTCAGCTACGCGCCTCCGACGTGAGGTGTCTGCCTGGGGCAGGGTGGGCTCCGCAGGTGGGCACTGCTCCAGGATGTGCCAGGTGGGCAGCTTGGGAGGGGCCAGGCCTGGGGTGGGACCCCACTGGCCCCAGGGCCAGGGCAGGCACCATGGGGCAGGGTGTGCTCCCCGCTTCATGCAGGTCTGTGAAGAGGTGTGATTGGGGGGCTGCAAGAGCTGACAGGCAGCAGGTCCCCTCCCCTCGCCAGGTATCAGCGGCTTCTTGAGTCCGCCCTGGCAGGGTGGGTGGGCAGAGGCTGAAGCAGGGCCTGGCCCAGGCCTGGAGGGAGCTCCAAAGAGAGGCGTGGCCTCAGAGCCCCTCCCGTCGGGGGAGCCCTTCAGTCTGTTGGGGGGTCCTTCTGGGTGGCTGTGGGGACGGCCTGTGTTCCTCTGCGGTCCTGGCACCATTTGGTGTGCAGTGAAGTGCCAGCTCCCCGTGTCCCCAGGTCCCCCTAGGGGGCTGCAGTGGTCGGGGTGGGTGAGGAAACCCCGGTTTCCTGTTTCTGGCGGGCCGAGGGCGTGTCTGTGGGGGAGGGGGCTGCTTGCTCCTTCCCGCCGGGACACTCCCCTCCCTGGCGGCGGCCTGGGCAGGGTGGGGCCTCGGGGGCGGGCCGGCCTCGCCGGGGAGTACAGCAGGCAGGGAGTGGCCGCACCGACTGGGGCTCTGAGCTGAGCCTGTGCCGAGTGAGCGTCTCGTGGGGCCGCCAGCCTTCAGCTGCCTGTGTGCCACACGGGGCTGCCCAGAGCACCGTGCCTGAGGCCGAGGGTCCGGGCGACGAAGGTGTGGGGGCAGCATGTCTCAGCACCAGCTCCGCGTGCCGCAGCCCGAGGGCCTGGGCCGAAAGAGAACCAGCTCGGAGGACAACCTGTACCTGGCTGTGCTCAGGGCCTCTGAGGGCAAGAAAGGTAGCAGGGCTCCCCTCGGGCACCCCCGCCAGGCAGGGCGGGCCCCTGCGGGAGGAAGGCCCACTTCCTGTGGCAGGAAAGCCTTGGCACCGCTGGGGGGCTGGTCTTGGAGATGGGGGTCGGGGGCCAGCCATCCCCACCCAACACGGAGTGGGCCGACAGGCGCCCGCGAGGCTGACGGGGGCCTCCGAGCGTCAGATGTCGGGCCTGGAAGGGCGAGGAACTCTGCGCTCTGGGGAAGGTTCGCTGCCCTGTCAGCAGCACACGCGGCTTCCCTTCCAACACCCCAGCGGGCCCGGGCCCTGGCTCTGCCACACCCCTGCTTGGGTCTCAGTCTGTAGAGGCCGGGGGGGACTGCAGGACGGGACTTGTGTGCCCTGGGCTCAGGGTGCGCCCAGGACCCTCCCATTTCCTCGGGGGAAGAGTCCGGGGTGGGGTGGCTGCACCTGGTGGCGCCTGGGCCCCTGGCACCTGGGTCTCTGCTGTGTGGCTGGGCTGCGGGTGAGGGCGCCTGGGTCTCAGTGTGTGATCTGAGGGAGGCTTTGGGGCTCCCCAGGCAGGACCTGGCCAGCCAGGCTGCTGTGTCTGCACGGTGGTCACCTGAGGGCCCCCGGGGCTTCTCCCAGGCCCCAGGTAAGCTGGTCTTGTCTCCCCCAGATGAGCGGGATCGTGTGCAGAAGAAAACCTTCACCAAGTGGGTCAACAAGCACCTCATCAAGGTTGGTGGCGCATGCTGGTGCGTGTCACAGGGGCTGAGGCTGTGGGAGGCGCTGAGGGAGGGTGGCCCCTGCCGCCCAAGGCTGTCCCCATGCTGCCTGTGTGCTCACCTTTCATCTCTGAAACCTGTTATTTTCTGTCCTCTTTCTTCCCTACGCCTGCTCCTGCCTCTCTCTTCCTCCTCTTCCTTCTGGTCTTTCCTGGTCTCTCCTTGCAGCACTGGCGGGCAGAGGTAGGTGCCTCCGTGGGGCAGGGTGTGTTCCGTGGGCTCCCGGGAGACTCAGCCCCCGCCTCCTTCCCTCTGGGACCAGCACCCACTCTGTAGATCAGCCACTCAGGGCCTATTGGTGGCTCTGGGGGACTGGCCACCTCAGCCGCTGCTGTCCCCACAGGCCCAGAGGCACATCAGTGACCTGTATGAAGACCTCCGCGATGGCCACAACCTCATCTCCCTGCTGGAGGTCCTCTCGGGGGACAGCCTGGTACGTGTGCCCCTGCCCCCTCCGGGCCCCGCCTGCCCCACCTGGAGACCTCTGCCTGCCTTCCCTCCTTGGGGCCTCTCCGGCCGCCCACTCTACTTGGAATCCAGCTCAACCCCTCCTGCCTTCTCCCTGGGGGCAGGCTGGCCTCGTCCCTGGCAGCACCTCCCGCCCAGGCTGCTGGGCATCACAGCCGAGGGCCTGGCCTGGGAGTGGCCGCAACCCTCGGACCTCGGCTGCTCTGGGCCTTGCCGCCCTCCGCGTCGGGACACAGTAACCTCATGCTCCGCTTTGCTTTGGTTTCTCTGCTGCTTGGACTCTGAACCTTGACCTCTGCCCTTTACCCTTTGCCCTGCTCTGGCCGGGCAGCCGAGGGAGCGGGACGTAAGCAGGAGCTCACGCCTGGTGAGTGGCTGTGCCTGCCGGCTGCAGCGGCACGGGAGCTCCCCAAGACCGTGGAGCCCGGCTTTCTGGGGGCTGGTGGCCCGTCGGCCAACCCCTGCCTGGCTCTTGGGCGGGTAGGTGGTTGGGTGTCAAGCTGCCCGTCCACCGTGCTGCCCAGAGCTGGCCTGGGACCCACCGGTGGCTGCTGTGGCTGCCACCGCCAGGCAGGAGGACCCCCCCTTTAGTGCCACTGCCCTCCACACGAGGCTTCCTGGCTATTGTCTCCTCCCACCCCTTCCTTCCTTCCCTCAGCCTGGGTCGCTGGACTTCCCGAGCCCTGATGGGCCTGGCCTGGCCCCTGGGCCGGTGGCCTCCCTTTCCCTGCGGGGGAGGGTGAACCTGGGATGAGGGGCTGCTGCCCCCTGGGGAAGACCCTTGGCTCGGTTGCTGCGGCGCTTTGGGGCATGCTGAGGGTGGGGCCCGGGAGCTGCAGCTGCACTGTGGGTGCTGACTGTGCCTCCCCACAGCCCCGGGAGAAGGGGAGGATGCGTTTCCACAAGCTGCAGAATGTCCAGATTGCCCTGGACTACCTCCGGCACCGCCAGGTAAGGCTGCCCGGCAGGCCCTGGGCCCCACCCAGACCCCTCACCAAGCCAGCCCCGCCCTGTGGGCCGTGACCGAGAGCCCCTCGCTCACAGGTGAAGCTGGTGAACATCAGGAATGATGACATCGCTGACGGCAACCCCAAGCTGACCCTTGGCCTCATCTGGACAATCATTCTGCACTTCCAGGTAGAACGGCTGCCCCCAGGACCCCCACCCCCTGCAGGAGTTTCCAGGGTAGCCTGGGCTCCTTGGCTGGCGGGTTGATCCGCTTTCTGGCTAGGGCGTGGCCTGGGAGGTGACTGGCGCCGTAGGTATGGTGGCACCTGGGTGCCTTCCTGCCAGCCGCAACCCTGGACTGGATCTGTGGCCTGAGGGTACAGGCCTCTCTCTGAGGCCACCTATCCGTGCCCTCTGGCCCTGGCTGGGCAGGGCCCAGAGCCTCCCTGTGGAGGAATGCAGGCCCCGGTGCCTGCCCTGGGGAGGCTTCTGCGCAGCACAGGCTGACTCACCCGCTGCTTGTCCTGGCTGCACAGGAAACCACAAATCTGAGAGCTGAGCAGGCAGAGCCTGGTGCTGGCACGGCAGCTGAGTCACACAGGCTGGCAGGACGACAGGCAGCTAGGGGTGGGTGGGCAGAACCTGGCCTGAGCATGCCACTGAGTGTAAAGCCAGGCTGCCAGAGGCCCCACCTGCCAGCCTGCAACCATCGATGGAGCTCGACCCCCAGCCTTTTCCAGGCCTGGGGGTTCTGGGCCAGGTTTAGTGGTACACTTGTGGGTTCCTCTTATGCCCACTGCCCTTCCACTCTGCTCCATCCCAGCTCCGGGAGGTGCAGGGTGCAGCCTAGCCCTCCCCAGCTAGGGGAGTGGGCACCTGCTGTGTGGTGGCAGTGAGGGTTGGGGGTTCTGAGCTGCGTGGTGGCAGCTGCCACCGGCTGGAGTGGCTGGACTTGTGGCCCCGAGGCATGGCCAGTCCCAGCAGCTTCCCAACAGGGAAGGGCCCTGGAGCCCGGTGCTGCCCTGGCTGGTTTGGTGGCCCCATGCACTCCCCCTGGGTGCTGAGCTACCCCTGCCCCTGTGCATGTGGCTGTGGGCACAGAGCAGGCCTGGTGGCTGTGGCTGAGCTGTGGCCTCCTCTCTGCTGTGAGCAGATCTCAGATATCCAGGTGAGTGGGCAGTCGGAGGACATGACGGCCAAGGAGAAGCTGCTGCTGTGGTCGCAGCGAATGGTGGAGGGGTACCAGGGCCTGCGATGCGACAACTTCACCTCCAGCTGGAGAGACGGCCGCCTCTTCAATGCCATCATCCACCGGCACAAGTACATGGCCCCGGGGGCAGGGGGCTGTGGGCTGGGGGCACCCCCACAGCGCCTCCACTAGGCAACTTCAGACACGTTGGGGCAGGGAGGAGGGCAGGAGGAACAGGGATGAGTGCCAGCTGGCCGCCTCGGGGTGGTGGAGTTCAGGGCCCAGCCCCACCCTGGTGTCCTTCAGAAGCACCACCACTTGATCTCAAGACTGGAGGGCCCGCGGGCTGCTGGTCCTCACAGCCAGGTGCATGTGCCCTCTGTGGACGCCTCCGGAGGGGCCTGGTGGGGAGGGTGGCTGCAGGGAACCCCAGCTGCCTGGCACCCTCAGCTCTGCGCAGTCCTCTGTGCTGTGCCCCTGGGCTTCTGGGTGTGGGGGTGGCAGGGTGCTCTCAGCTCTGCCCATGTGACAGTGTATTTTTCAGGGTGAGTGTTGGGGGGGTCCATGGTTGCTGGGATGTGTGAGGAGCCGGCCTGTGCACCCGCCTGTGTGGTGTGGCCGCTGGTCTTGTCCCACCCACCTGACCAGCCACCTGCTTGTCCCAGGCCCCTGCTCATCGACATGAACAAGGTGTACCGGCAGACCAACCTGGAGAACCTGGACCAGGCCTTCTCTGTGGCGGAGCGGGACCTGGGAGTGACGCGGCTCCTGGACCCTGAGGGTACGTCTGCGTGGCCTTCCTCCCTGTCCCTTCCCCTGCTGCCTGCCCCAGAGCCACCGCTGAGCTGCCCTTCCCTGCAGACGTGGATGTCCCTCAGCCCGACGAGAAGTCCATCATCACCTACGTCTCGTCGCTGTATGACGCCATGCCCCGCGTGCCGGACGTGCAGGATGGGGTGAGGGCCAACGTGAGTGGGGGGCCCGGAGGGCAGGGGGCTTGGGCCTGGACGCCCCGACGACCCCTGACAGCCGCCCGTGCCTGCCCGCAGGAGCTGCAGCTGCGCTGGCAGGAGTACCGGGAGCTGGTGCTGCTGCTGCTTCAGTGGATGCGACACCACACGGCCGCCTTTGAGGAACGCAGGTTCCCCTCCAGCTTCGAGGAGATTGAGGTGGGCCTGCCGTGGGGGGCGGGGTCCTGGGCCTGCCCTGAGAGCCCGGCGTGGTTGCCGACAGCCTCGTCCCTGGCAGATCCTGTGGTCTCAGTTCCTGAAGTTTAAGGAGATGGAGCTACCAGCCAAGGAGGCCGACAAGAACAGGTCCAAGGGCATCTACCAATCCCTGGAGGTGAGTGGGACCGCTGGAGGGGTGGGTGGTGTCCTGGAACGCCCCAGGCCTGAAAGGTTCTTCCGGAGCCGACCTGGCCCTGCCTTTGGGACCAGGGCTGTCCCAGGTCTGGTGGGCTGGGGTCTGAAGGCCCAGCGCCCCACCCCCTGCCCCCTGCCTATAGGGCCTGAGTGTGGCCCCTGTCTACAGGGAGCGGTGCAAGCAGGCCAGCTCAAGGTGCCCCCTGGCTACCACCCGCTGGATGTGGAGAAGGAGTGGGGCAAGCTGCACGTGGCCATCCTGGAGCGGGAGAAGCAGCTCCGCAGCGAGTTTGAGAGGTGGGTGGGGCCCTGTGGTGGCAGGGGAACCACCCGAGGGTGTGTCACTGCCTGGGAAGGAAACCCCCCTCCCCGCCCCGCCCCCGGCGGGGGAACCCAAGCTCCCACTCGCCTTAGGACAGTGGGCCACAGCCAGGGAGACCGGAGCGGGAGGCGAGCTGCAGTCTGTGGCCAGGGCTGTGCCGGACCCGGCCAACGCGGCCCCTTCCCTGTGCTGCTGCTGCAGGCTGGAGTGTCTTCAGCGCATCGTGACCAAGCTGCAGATGGAGGCGGGGCTGTGTGAGGAGCAGCTGAACCAGGCCGACGCCCTGCTGCAGTCGGTGAGGGGGTGTGGGGCAGGCAGTGGGCGGGAGGGAGGCCGGAGGAGCCTGCCCCGCCCTGCAGCCCTAAAGCCAGGAGGGGGCTGTCCCCCTGGGCTCCTGGGGCAGGGGCAGGGGCAGGGGCGGGGCATGTGGTGGGGAATCCAGGCCTGAGCTCCTCCCTCCTCGTGTGCAGCTAACTCTCACTGCCTGCTTTGGGCAGAGTTGGTTTCTGGCCACGGGGCAGAACCCACGCTGGGCTGCCTTGCCCCCGCCAGGCCCCCTCCCCGACAGCGGCTTACTGTTAGGGGAGGGGTTGGGGGAGGGCCCAACCCACTGCTGATTGCCCAGGAGGACAGGGCCCACGTGGCATTACAGGAGGAGTTACCCAGGGTGGGTGATGGAGGATGAGGCCCAGGACCCCACAGACATGGTCATGGGGGTCTCGGTTCTTGGACTGGGCTAAGTACTCTGGACTTGGTCCCAATCCCCCAGAAGGCCAGTAGGAAGATGTGTGAGGTGGGCAGGGAGGGAAGGGGAAGGACAGGGATGGAGGCAGTGGCCCACTGAGGCTGAGGAAGCGGCTGAGGGTGGCCGTCTTGGCCGGGGCCCCTGTGAGGTCAGAGGGGGATCAGCTGTGCTCCGAGTCATGGCAACGACCTTGCAGGATGTCCGGCTGCTGGCTGCAGGCAAAGTGCCACAGCGGGCGGGGGAGGTGGAACGGGACTTGGACAAGGCGGATAGCATGATCCGGCTGCTCTTCAACGACGTGCAGACCCTCAAGGATGGACGGCACCCGCAGGGCGAGCAGATGTACCGCAGGTGGGCCCCGCCCTGCCCTCCCTGAAGCCCAGGTACACACGGCCCCAGGCCCGCCAACACCTACCTGAGTCCTCTGCTGCCCCAGGGTGTACCGTCTGCACGAGCGCCTGGTAGCCATCCGCACCGAGTACAACCTACGGCTGAAGGCAGGCGTGGCGGCCCCTGCAACCCAGGTGGCCCAGGTGACTCTGCAGAGTGTGCAGAGGCGCCCCGAGCTGGAGGACTCCACTCTGCGCTACCTGCAGGACCTGCTGGCCTGGGTGGAGGAGAACCAGCACCGTGTGGATGGCGCTGAGTGGGGTGTGGACCTGCCCAGCGTGGAGGCGCAGCTGGGCAGCCACCGAGGCCTGCACCAGTCCATCGAAGAATTCCGGGCCAAGATCGAGCGGGCACGGAGTGACGAGGTGGGTGGCGCTGAGCGATGGGCAGTGCGGGGGTGGGCCGGGCCCAGCCACTGCAGACCTCACCGTCTCATCTGTTGCAGGGCCAGCTCTCCCCCGCCACCCGGGGTGCCTACCGTGACTGCCTGGGTCGGCTGGACCTGCAGTACGCCAAGCTGCTGGTGAGTGGGGGCAGGGCCAGCCGGGGGAGGTGGGTAGCCCGCGGCCTGCTGACACGCACCCTCCTGCCCACAGAACTCCTCCAAGGCCCGCCTCAGGTCCCTGGAGAGCTTGCACAGCTTTGTGGCAGCCGCCACTAAGGAGCTAATGTGGCTGAATGAGAAGGAGGAGGAGGAGGTGGGCTTCGACTGGAGCGACCGCAACACCAACATGACCGCCAAGAAGGAGAGCTACTCGGTGAGCGGTGGCCCAGCTGCCCTGAACCCCACAGCCCCCTCCCCAGCTGTGCCCTGGCCGTCCCCTATGGTCAGAGACCAGTGGGGGCCCTGGGTCGAGTTTGCTGGGAGCGTGGCAGAGCCGGGTGTGGCCGGCCGTCCCTGAGACCCTTTGCTCTGGTGCCAGGCGCTGATGCGGGAGCTGGAGCTGAAGGAGAAGAAGATCAAGGAGCTCCAAAATGCTGGGGACCGGCTGCTGCGGGAGGACCACCCGGCCCGGCCCACGGTGGAGGTGGGGCTCCCTGGGTAGGGGCGGGGCTGCGGGGGGGGCCGTGCCGGGTCCCCAGGCGGGGCGGGGCGGGGCCTGACCGGGACCTGCTGTCCCGCAGTCCTTCCAGGCGGCCCTGCAGACGCAGTGGAGCTGGATGCTACAGCTGTGCTGCTGTATCGAGGCACACCTGAAGGAGAACGCTGCCTACTTTCAGGTGAGAACCGGAGCCCCCTCCGCACTGTGGCTCAGCGGCAGCCTTGCAGGAGCCCCTGGACCCCCTCGGCAGCTCCAATCAGGAGCCCTCCTGTCTGCAGACGTTGCCAGCTGCTGCCTGCAGCCTGACCGGGGCCTTGGACAGGGGTGCTCCCCAGGCCTCCTGGGGGCTTTGCCACTCCTTCCTCAGTGCCCCCGTCTTGGGCCTGCCCTGGGACAACTGTGGGCTGGGGCTCTGGTCCCAGGTAGCCTGGCGTGACCCCCTCCCGCTGCCCCAGTTCTTCTCAGATGTGCGGGAGGCCGAGGGGCAGTTGCAGAAGCTGCAGGAGGCACTGCGTAGGAAATACAGTTGTGATCGCTCCGCCACCGTCACCCGGCTGGAGGACCTGCTGCAGGATGCCCAGGTGAGGGAGGGGGTGTGCAGGGGCGTGTCAGGAGGGGCTGGCCTGGAGTCTGGGCTGCACGGGTACTCTGGAGACTAGGGGGCAACTGGAGGGGCCAGCAGGAGTTGGGAGGCACCATGGGAGGTGTAGAGGTCAGCCGAAGCGGGAATGAGGCAGGATGTTCTGGGCTGCATGGGTACTCTGGAGACTAGGGGGCAACTGGAGGGGCCAGCAGGAGTTGGGAGGCACCATGGGAGGTGTAGAGGTCAGCCAAGGGGGGAATGAGGCAGGATGTGGGGAGCCGAGAGGCAGCCGGTCCAAGCCGGGCCGCCCCCATCTCCATAGCCACAGAGTGAGTGGAAGCCTGAAGTCAGCAGCTGCCGCCAGCCCTTGTGCTGTAGAAGGGGCACCGCCAGCCCTTGTGCTATAGAAGGAGCACTGCCAGCCCTTGTACTATAGAAGGGGCACCAGCTGTTTGGCCTGAGATCTGGAGCGGGCAGAGTGGAACTGGGCTTTGTGCTCTGGGAGCAGGGGTGGGATCACCCAGGAGGGCGGGTGCACAGTGGGGAGTGACAGGGAAGAGGGACTGGAGACTGAAATGGCCTCTGAGGTCGGCAGGGCTGGGCCGGGGGGAGAGCCGGCAGCTCCCAGGTGTGTGCCGTCCTGCGGCCTGGCCCCCGCAGAGGGGTGGGATGGGAGGAGGCAGTACCTTCTGCAGCCCGCAGGGGAGGGGCAAGGGGCGAGGGCATTGTAGGGACCAGAGCGTAGCTGGGAGGACATGGTGGGTGAGCTGGGGTGAGAGGAGGGTGCCCTGTCTGGGTTGGGAAGGAGCGAGGGTGCATGGGTCTGCTTGGGGCCAACCCCCGGGGCCTGTCCCAGCTATACCTCCTGCTTCCAAGTGCTGCCACCCCGGGAGCATCAGGAGGGCCCCACAGGCCTGGTCCCGGGGTCTGGGGGTGCCTGGGGCAGGCCTGTGGGTCTCCATGGCCCTCGTCTGGATGCTGCCCCTCCCCCACAGGACGAGAAGGAACAGCTGAACGAGTACAAGGGCCACCTCTCAGGCCTGGCCAAGCGGGCCAAGGCCGTCGTGCAGCTGAAGCCCCGCCACCCAGCCCACCCCATGCGGGGCCGCCTGCCCCTGCTGGCCGTGTGCGACTATAAGCAGGTGGAGGTGAGCGCAGGCCGGGGGTCCACTGGGGGGCGTGGCCAGGCAGGGCAGGGTGTGGCCATGTCCTCACCGACTCTGCCCGTCCCAGGTGACTGTGCACAAGGGTGACGAGTGCCAGCTGGTGGGCCCTGCACAGCCGTCCCACTGGAAGGTGCTCAGCAGCTCCGGCAGCGAGGCCGCCGTGCCCTCCGTGTGCTTCCTGGTGCCCCCGCCCAACCAGGAGGCCCAGGAGGCCGTCACCAGGTGGGTGGCGGGGGCTCAGCAGGTGGGGGCTGGAAGGCGGGTGGGGCGCTGGTGACGCTGACTGTAGCCCTGACCTGCCAGGCTGGAGGCCCAGCACCAGGCCCTGGTCACGCTGTGGCACCAGTTGCACGTGGACATGAAGAGCCTTCTGGCCTGGCAGAGCCTTCGCCGCGACGTGCAGCTCATCCGCTCCTGGTCCCTGGCCACGGTACGCCTGCCCCCGAGCCGGGGGCTCTCTGGGTGGGAGGAGGGGAGAGGCGTTGTGCAGGGCACGGCCGCCTCGCCCGGCACTCAGCCCCACGTGCTTCCCCCAGTTCCGCACCCTGAAGCCAGAGGAGCAGCGCCAAGCCCTGCACAGCCTGGAGCTGCACTACCAGGCCTTCCTGCGGGACAGCCAGGACGCGGGCGGCTTCGGACCCGAGGACCGGCTGATGGCTGAGCGCGAGTACGGCTCCTGCAGCCACCACTACCAGCAGCTGCTGCAGAGCCTGGAACAGGGTAGGGCACGGCAGGGCTGGGGCGGTTGGGCTGGTGCGAGGTGGGCGGTGGAGTGACCCACATGTGTTCCCCAGGTGCACAGGAAGAGTCTCGCTGCCAGCGCTGCATCTCCGAGCTCAAAGACATCCGGCTGCAGCTGGAGGCCTGTGAGACGCGCACCGTGCACCGCCTGCGGCTGCCGCTGGACAAAGAGCCGGCACGGGAGTGTGCCCAGCGCATCGCCGAGCAGCAGGCAGGGGCCGTCCCCCCCCATCCAGTCCCATCCCTCTCCCCATCCCTCCTCCCACCCTCCCTCCTTTGGCCTTCAAGGGGCGCTGTGTGCTGCGCTCGGTGATGAGTGCGTTCCCACTCCCTGTCTTTGCAGAAGGCACAGGCAGAGGTGGAGGGGCTGGGCAAGGGGGTCGCCCGGCTCTCTGCCGAGGCCGAGAAGGTCTTGGCCCTACCAGAGCCATCGCCTGCGGCCCCCACGCTGCGCTCGGAGCTGGAGCTGACGCTGGGCAAGCTGGAGCAGGTCCGCAGCCTGTCTGCCATCTACCTGGAGAAGTGAGTGCACCTGGCCACAGGCGAGGGGCTGGGGTCGGCTGGGGGGTGCTGGGGTGAGGGCTGTGACCTTGCAGGAGGGTGCAGGAGGGAACGAGTTGGGGGCTGTTCAGAGATCTGGCCAGGAGGCGGGAGGCCCAGCTGGGGTGGTGGCCGCAGAGGTGGTGAGAAGAGTTCAGGGCTGGATACGCTTCGACAGTGGCGGCCGGGGGACTTCCTGGTGATGAGATTCGGGTGTGGGGAAGAGACAGTGGAGCTGGGCAGCGGCTGCTGAGTGAGGTGGGGAAGCTGTGGATCCACTTTCAGTGGCACAGTAAGGAATCCTGCACCCTGCCTCTCGTCTGTCCTGTTCCTGGCCTGGACTTAAGGGCCTCTGGCATTTATTTCCAATGTGTTATGTCATAGTCTCTTCCTGTGTTGCAAACCACAGGTCCACCCGCTGTCTACTCCTCACAGAACCAGCACAGTGATAGGGCCGCCGCCTCTTCCTGTGTTGCAAACCACAGGTCCACCCGCTGTCTACTCCTCACAGAACCAGCACAGTGATAGGGCCGCCACCTCTTCCTGTGTTGCAAACCACAGGTCCACCCGCTGTCTACTCCTCACAGAACCAGCACAGTGATAGGGCCGCCGCCTCTTCCTGTGTTGCAAACCACAGGTCCACCCGCTGTCTACTCCTCACAGAACCAGCACAGTGATAGGGCCGCCGCTGGCTACCACAGGGTGCCATTTCCACCCCGGTGTCCCCTTCGCCCAGTCTTGGGCTGCAAGGGCTGAGAACTACGCTTCCAGGCCCTGTGGGCACCAGGATGCCGCTGTCATCCAGCCAGTGGGCTCGTCCTGTCTCGGGGCCTTGGGGTCTGCCGTTCCTGGCTGGCGCACCCCCTCTCCAGGCTGGGTCCTGAGTGTCCTTGTGTTACAGAGGCTCCCAACCTCCTTCTCCCCAAGGCTGTTCTTCTCCTGAAGCAAGCCTCTGACCACAGGGTCAGCTGACCCCCAGGGTTGGGTCTGGGCTTGGCAGGCAGCACCCTGGGTCGCTGTGGCTTGGGTTCCATTCCCTTGGGCTATTGCTCGAGCCCCATGTCATGGCCCTGAGCCCCGCTTTCCCGCCAGGCTCAAGACCATCAGCCTGGTGATCCGCGGCACGCAGGGGGCCGAGGAGGTGCTCAGGGCCCACGAGGAGCAGCTCAAGGAGGCCCAGGCCGTGCCGGCCACCCTCCCGGAGCTCGAGGCCACCAAGGCCTCTCTGAAGGTATCGTTTCGAGGCTTGGGCTTCATGGCGGGGTGGGGGTACAGCGGGCCCAGCTGAAGCCGCACATGTCCCTCCTGTCCCCAACAGAAGCTGCGGGCCCAGGCCGAGGCACAGCAGCCCACGTTCGACGCCCTGCGGGATGAGCTGCGGGGGGCACAGGAGGTGGGGGAGCGACTGCAGCAGCGGCACGGGGAGCGGGACGTGGAGGTGGAGCGCTGGCGGGAGCGGGTCGCCCAGTTGCTTGAGCGCTGGCAGGCTGTGCTGGCCCAGACCGACGTGCGGCAGCGCGAGCTCGAGCAACTGGGCCGCCAGCTGCGTTACTACCGCGAGAGTGCAGACCCCTTGGGCGCCTGGCTGCAGGACGCCAGGCGGCGGCAGGAGCAGATCCAGGCCATGCCGCTGGCCGACAGCCAGGCTGTGCGGGAGCAGCTGCGGCAGGAGCAGGTGGGCTTGGGTCGGTGGGGACGGGGCGGCTGGGCGTGCCCTGCGGCCACGGCTCTGACCACACCATCACCCAGGCCCTGCTGGAGGAGATCGAGCGCCACGGCGAGAAGGTCGAGGAGTGCCAGAGGTTTGCGAAACAGTACATCAACGCCATCAAGGTGAGGCCCAGCCGCCTGCACCAGGCCCCAAGTCCGGGACCGTTGCCAGGATGATGGCGGGCTTTCCCTGAGCCTGGGCCATGCCAGGGAAAGCCCATGTGAGGGTTTAGGGGCTGGGCAGGGGCCATCGGAGGGCAGAGCTGGTGGCTGACCGCAGTGCATTGCCACAGGACTATGAACTCCAGCTGGTGACGTACAAGGCGCAGCTTGAGCCGGTGGCCTCCCCGGCCAAGAAGCCCAAGGTCCAGTCGGGATCAGAGAGTGTCATCCAGGAGGTAGGGTGGGGCCGAACCTAACTGGGTGAGGGGCTGGCAGGCCTCTGGCTGGAGCTGCAGCTCTCGCAGGGCTAACCCTGGCTCTACTCCACAGTACGTGGACCTGCGTACGCACTACAGCGAGCTGACCACACTGACGAGCCAGTACATCAAGTTCATCAGCGAGACTCTGCGGCGCATGGAGGAGGAGGAGGTACAGCCCGTTGGGCGGAGGCTGGGCAGAGGGTTCCATCTCACCACCTGTTGTGTCCCACACACAGCCACAGGAGCTGCCTGAGGCCACCTCTCGTGGCCCTCCCCACTCTCCCCACTGGCGCTGCCAGCACCCCCTGCCCCCAGCTCAGCCTGCCCCAGGCTGCCCCACCTGTGGCCTGCCCCCCTGGCCTGGTGTGGCTACACTGCTCCCCCACAGTGGCTGGTGCCGCCTCTCCTCCCTCGTGAGCGTCCCCCCTGCAGCCTAGCGGCCGTCCTGTGGGCTCTTCCTTGGCGTTCTGCGTTGGCCTTTCCGCTCAACCCTTTGCTGCCAGAAGTCGGGGGTGCTGAGTTGTGGGGCTAGGGAGGGTCTTCCAAGGCACCCATCTGTTGGCTTCTCCCTACCTTCTGCGTGGCCCTGAATCCTCTTCCGAGTTGGCTCGGGTCTGCACTGCTGTCTCCACGCTGGCCGCCTCGCCTCACCCCGCCCCACCCAGGCTTCCCACCCTGGTCGGGGAGAGGGGTCCAGTGGTGGGAGCCAGGCCCACTGGTGTCCAGCAGAGCTCAGGCAGGGCTGTGTGCTGGGTGTGGCTCGCAGGTTCCGAGCTCCTGCTTTGCTCTCTCTCTCCCCGTCCGTCTGTCTCCGTCGCCTGTCTGCGGGAAGCAGGGAGGACGCCTGGGCCTCCTTCCCCAGGCTGGTGAGCACAGTGGGGCCGGCTGCGATCGCTGCCCGAGCGCCCTGGGCGGGTGCACGCTGTCTCCTCCGCCGGGCTGGGGCCTCTGTCTTCCCCGACCCCTGCTCCGCGCTGTCTGAGTGAACTGTGCCGGTGCGTGCCCCGTCAGCGCCTGCCCGTGTTCACACTCTCTCTGCTTCTCTTCTTCTCTCTGCTGTGGCCACAGAGGCTGGCTGAGCAGCAGCGGGCAGAGGAGCGCGAGCGGCTGGCCGAGGTGGAGGCCGCGCTGGAGAAGCAGCGGCAGCTGGCCGAGGCGCACGCCCAGGCAAAGGCACAGGCGGAGCGGGAGGCGAAGGAGCTGCAGCAGCGCATGCAGGAGGAGGTGGTGCGGCGGGAGGAGGCGGCGGTGGACGCGCAGCAGCAGAAGCGCAGCATTCAGGAGGAGCTGCAGCAGCTGCGGCAGAGCTCGGAGGCGGAGATCCAGGCCAAGGCCCGGCAGGCAGAGGCGGCTGAGCGCAGCCGGCTGCGCATCGAGGAGGAGATCCGCGTGGTGCGCCTGCAGTTGGAGGCCACCGAGCGCCAGCGTGGCGGGGCTGAGGGGGAGCTGCAGGCACTGCGTGCACGGGCGGAGGAGGCTGAGGCACAAAAGCGACAGGCGCAGGAGGAGGCCGAGCGCTTGCGGAGGCAGGTGCAGGACGAGAGCCAGCGTAAGCGGCAGGCGGAGGTGGAGCTGGCCTCGCGCGTGAAGGCCGAGGCCGAGGCGGCGCGCGAGAAGCAGCGGGCCCTGCAGGCCCTGGAGGAGCTGCGGCTGCAGGCGGAGGAGGCGGAGCGGCGCCTGCGGCAGGCCGAGGTGGAGCGAGCGCGGCAGGTACAGGTGGCCCTGGAGACGGCGCAGCGCAGTGCAGAGGCGGAGCTGCAGAGCAAACGCGCCTCCTTCGCCGAGAAGACGGCACAGCTGGAGCGCTCCCTGCAGGAGGAACACGTGGCTGTGGCACAGCTGCGGGAGGAGGCTGAGCGGCGGGCACAGCAGCAGGCCGAGGCCGAGCGGGCGCGCGAGGAGGCAGAGCGGGAGCTGGAGCGCTGGCAGCTCAAGGCCAACGAGGCGCTACGGCTGCGGCTGCAGGCGGAGGAGGTGGCGCAGCAGAAGAGCCTGGCGCAGGCCGAGGCTGAGAAGCAGAAGGAGGAGGCGGAGCGCGAGGCGCGGCGGCGCGGCAAGGCGGAGGAGCAGGCCGTCCGGCAGCGGGAGCTGGCTGAACAAGAGCTGGAGAAGCAGCGGCAGCTGGCGGAAGGCACCGCGCAGCAGCGCCTGGCCGCGGAGCAGGAGTTGATCCGGCTGCGGGCCGAGACGGAGCAGGGGGAGCAGCAGCGGCAGCTGCTGGAGGAGGAGCTGGCCCGGCTGCAGCGTGAGGCGGCTGCAGCCACGCAGAAACGGCAGGAGCTGGAAGCCGAGCTGGCCAAGGTGCGGGCCGAGATGGAGGTGCTGCTGGCCAGCAAGGCGAGGGCTGAGGAGGAGTCGCGCTCCACCAGCGAGAAGTCCAAGCAGAGGCTGGAGGCCGAGGCCGGCCGGTTCCGCGAGCTGGCCGAGGAGGCCGCCCGCCTGCGTGCCCTGGCGGAAGAGGCCAAGCGGCAGCGGCAGCTGGCCGAGGAAGACGCGGCGCGGCAGCGGGCCGAGGCGGAGCGGGTGCTTGCGGAGAAGCTGGCCGCCATCGGCGAGGCCACGCGGCTCAAGACGGAGGCGGAGATCGCGCTCAAGGAGAAGGAGGCGGAGAACGAGCGCCTGCGGCGGCTGGCGGAGGACGAGGCCTTCCAGCGGCGGCGGCTGGAGGAGCAGGCCGCGCAACACAAGGCTGACATCGAGGAGCGCCTGGCCCAGCTGCGCAAGGCATCGGACAGCGAGCTGGAGCGGCAGAAGGGGCTGGTGGAGGACACGCTGAGGC
Source organism: Homo sapiens (assembly GCF_000001405.40). Taxonomy (NCBI): domain Eukaryota; kingdom Metazoa; phylum Chordata; class Mammalia; order Primates; family Hominidae; genus Homo; species Homo sapiens. The sequence continues at coordinate 143,924,173 of NC_000008.11, read as the reverse complement.
AGCGGCGGCAGGTGGAGGAGGAGATCCTGGCGCTGAAGGCGAGCTTCGAGAAGGCGGCCGCTGGCAAGGCGGAGCTGGAGCTGGAGCTGGGACGCATCCGCAGCAACGCGGAGGACACGCTGCGCAGCAAGGAGCAGGCCGAGCTGGAGGCTGCGAGGCAGCGGCAGCTGGCGGCGGAGGAGGAGCGGCGGCGCCGTGAGGCTGAGGAGCGCGTGCAGAAGAGCCTGGCGGCCGAGGAGGAGGCCGCACGGCAGCGGAAGGCGGCGCTGGAGGAAGTCGAGCGGCTGAAAGCCAAGGTGGAGGAGGCGCGGCGCCTGCGGGAGCGAGCGGAGCAGGAGTCGGCGCGGCAGCTGCAGCTGGCCCAGGAGGCCGCCCAGAAGCGGCTGCAGGCGGAAGAGAAGGCACACGCCTTCGCGGTGCAGCAGAAGGAGCAGGAGCTACAGCAGACGCTGCAGCAGGAGCAGAGCGTGCTGGACCAGCTGCGCGGCGAGGCGGAGGCGGCCCGGCGGGCGGCTGAGGAGGCGGAGGAGGCCCGGGTGCAGGCGGAGCGTGAGGCGGCGCAGTCCCGGCGGCAGGTGGAAGAGGCCGAGCGGCTGAAGCAGTCGGCAGAGGAGCAGGCACAGGCCCGGGCTCAGGCACAGGCGGCTGCAGAGAAGCTGCGCAAGGAGGCCGAGCAAGAGGCGGCGCGGCGGGCACAGGCGGAGCAGGCGGCCCTGCGGCAGAAGCAGGCAGCTGACGCGGAGATGGAGAAGCATAAGAAATTCGCCGAGCAGACGCTGCGGCAGAAGGCGCAGGTGGAGCAGGAGCTGACAACACTGCGGCTGCAGCTGGAGGAGACCGACCACCAGAAGAACCTGCTGGACGAGGAGCTGCAGCGGCTGAAGGCGGAGGCCACGGAGGCCGCACGCCAGCGCAGCCAGGTGGAGGAGGAGCTCTTCTCGGTGCGCGTGCAGATGGAGGAGCTGAGCAAGCTCAAGGCACGCATCGAGGCTGAGAACCGCGCACTCATCTTGCGTGACAAGGACAATACGCAGCGCTTCCTGCAGGAGGAGGCTGAGAAGATGAAGCAGGTGGCGGAGGAGGCCGCGCGGCTGAGTGTGGCGGCCCAAGAGGCTGCGCGACTGCGGCAGCTGGCAGAGGAGGACCTGGCACAGCAGCGGGCCTTGGCAGAGAAGATGCTCAAGGAGAAGATGCAGGCGGTGCAGGAGGCCACGCGACTCAAGGCTGAGGCGGAACTGCTGCAGCAGCAGAAGGAGCTTGCGCAGGAGCAGGCGCGGCGGCTGCAGGAGGACAAGGAGCAGATGGCGCAGCAGCTGGCGGAGGAGACGCAGGGCTTCCAGCGGACGCTGGAGGCCGAGCGGCAGCGGCAGCTGGAGATGAGCGCTGAGGCTGAGCGCCTCAAGCTGCGTGTGGCCGAGATGAGCCGAGCCCAGGCCCGCGCTGAGGAGGACGCCCAGCGCTTCCGGAAGCAGGCGGAGGAGATCGGTGAGAAGCTGCACCGCACGGAGCTCGCCACCCAGGAGAAGGTGACCCTGGTGCAGACACTGGAGATCCAGCGACAGCAGAGTGACCATGATGCCGAGCGCCTGCGGGAGGCCATCGCTGAGCTGGAGCGTGAGAAGGAGAAGCTCCAACAGGAGGCCAAACTGCTGCAGCTCAAGTCTGAGGAGGTACCGCCCCCTCTACGTGCGACGGGCGGGTGGGCCCGGGGATCTGCTTTGGTGGGTGATGGGTGCTCCTGGGCTGGCGGTCCCTGATCACACCCTCTTCTTCTGCAGATGCAGACGGTGCAGCAGGAGCAGCTGCTGCAGGAGACGCAGGCCCTGCAGCAAAGCTTCCTCTCTGAAAAGGACAGCCTGCTACAGCGGGAGCGCTTCATCGAGCAGGAGAAGGCCAAGCTGGAGCAGCTCTTCCAGGACGAGGTGGCCAAGGCACAGCAGCTGCGTGAGGAGCAGCAGCGGCAGCAGCAGCAGATGGAGCAGGAACGGCAGCGGCTGGTGGCCAGCATGGAGGAGGCGCGGCGGCGGCAGCATGAGGCCGAGGAGGGCGTGCGGCGCAAGCAGGAGGAGCTGCAGCAGCTGGAGCAGCAGCGGCGGCAGCAGGAGGAGCTGCTGGCTGAGGAGAACCAGAGGCTGCGTGAGCAGCTGCAGCTCCTGGAGGAGCAGCACCGGGCCGCGCTGGCGCACTCAGAGGAGGTCACTGCCTCGCAGGTGGCTGCCACAAAGACCCTGCCCAATGGCCGGGATGCACTTGATGGCCCCGCGGCAGAGGCAGAGCCGGAGCACAGCTTCGATGGCCTGCGGCGGAAGGTGTCAGCTCAGAGGCTGCAGGAGGCCGGCATCCTGAGTGCGGAGGAGCTGCAGCGGTTGGCGCAGGGCCACACCACGGTGGACGAGCTCGCACGGCGGGAAGACGTGCGCCACTACCTGCAGGGCCGCAGCAGTATCGCAGGGCTGTTGCTGAAGGCCACCAATGAGAAGCTGAGTGTTTACGCCGCCCTGCAGAGGCAGCTGCTGAGTCCCGGCACGGCCCTCATCCTGCTGGAGGCGCAGGCGGCCTCAGGCTTCCTGCTGGACCCTGTGCGGAACCGGCGGCTGACCGTCAACGAGGCTGTGAAGGAGGGTGTGGTGGGCCCCGAGCTGCACCACAAGCTGCTGTCGGCCGAGCGCGCCGTCACTGGCTACAAGGACCCCTACACTGGCCAGCAGATCTCTCTCTTCCAAGCCATGCAGAAGGGCCTCATCGTCCGGGAGCACGGCATCCGCCTGCTGGAGGCCCAGATCGCCACGGGCGGCGTTATCGACCCCGTGCACAGCCACCGCGTGCCCGTGGACGTGGCCTACCGGCGCGGCTACTTCGACGAGGAGATGAACCGCGTCCTGGCGGACCCCAGCGACGACACCAAGGGCTTCTTTGACCCCAACACGCACGAGAACCTCACGTACCTGCAGCTACTGGAGCGCTGCGTGGAGGACCCCGAGACGGGCCTGTGCCTTCTGCCACTCACGGATAAGGCTGCCAAGGGCGGGGAGCTGGTCTACACTGACTCCGAGGCCCGGGACGTCTTTGAGAAGGCCACCGTGTCTGCGCCGTTCGGCAAGTTCCAGGGCAAGACGGTGACCATTTGGGAGATCATCAACTCGGAATACTTCACGGCAGAGCAGCGGCGGGACCTGCTGCGGCAGTTCCGCACGGGCCGGATCACAGTGGAGAAGATCATCAAGATCATCATCACGGTGGTGGAGGAGCAGGAGCAGAAGGGCCGGCTTTGCTTTGAGGGCCTGCGCAGCCTGGTGCCAGCCGCCGAGCTGCTGGAGAGCAGGGTCATCGACCGCGAGCTCTACCAGCAGCTGCAGCGAGGTGAGCGCTCTGTGCGAGACGTAGCCGAGGTGGACACTGTGCGGCGGGCTCTCCGGGGTGCCAACGTCATCGCGGGTGTATGGCTGGAGGAGGCGGGGCAGAAGCTGAGTATCTACAATGCCCTGAAGAAAGACCTGCTGCCATCCGACATGGCCGTGGCCCTGTTGGAAGCCCAGGCCGGCACCGGGCACATCATCGACCCCGCCACCAGCGCCCGGCTGACCGTGGACGAGGCAGTGCGTGCTGGCCTGGTGGGCCCCGAGTTTCATGAGAAGCTGCTATCAGCCGAGAAGGCTGTGACAGGGTACAGGGACCCCTACACAGGGCAGAGCGTCTCCCTGTTCCAGGCCCTGAAGAAGGGCCTCATTCCCCGGGAGCAGGGCCTGCGCCTGTTGGACGCCCAGCTGTCCACGGGCGGCATCGTGGACCCCAGCAAGAGCCACCGCGTGCCCCTGGATGTCGCCTGCGCCCGAGGCTGCCTGGATGAGGAGACCAGCAGGGCCCTGTCGGCACCAAGGGCCGACGCCAAGGCCTACAGTGACCCCAGCACAGGGGAGCCGGCCACCTACGGCGAGCTCCAGCAGCGGTGCCGGCCCGACCAGCTGACCGGGCTGAGCCTGCTGCCGCTCTCAGAAAAGGCTGCTCGGGCCCGGCAGGAGGAGCTCTACTCAGAGCTGCAGGCCCGTGAGACCTTTGAAAAGACCCCGGTTGAGGTCCCCGTGGGTGGCTTCAAGGGCAGGACGGTGACGGTGTGGGAGCTCATCAGCTCTGAGTACTTCACTGCGGAGCAGCGGCAGGAGCTGTTGCGTCAGTTCCGCACGGGCAAGGTCACCGTGGAGAAGGTCATCAAGATTCTCATTACCATCGTGGAGGAGGTGGAGACCCTGCGGCAGGAGAGGCTGTCCTTCAGCGGCCTCCGTGCCCCTGTGCCAGCCAGCGAGCTCCTGGCTTCCGGGGTCCTCAGCAGAGCCCAGTTTGAGCAGCTCAAGGACGGCAAGACGACGGTCAAGGACCTTTCGGAGCTGGGCTCCGTGCGGACGCTGCTGCAGGGCAGTGGCTGCCTCGCCGGCATCTACCTGGAGGACACCAAGGAGAAGGTGTCCATCTACGAGGCCATGCGCCGGGGCCTGCTGAGAGCCACAACGGCTGCGCTCCTGCTGGAGGCGCAGGCGGCCACTGGCTTCCTGGTGGACCCCGTGCGGAACCAGCGCCTGTATGTCCACGAGGCCGTGAAGGCGGGCGTGGTGGGCCCCGAGCTTCACGAGCAGCTGCTGTCTGCCGAGAAGGCCGTCACCGGCTACAGAGACCCCTACTCGGGCAGCACCATCTCCCTCTTCCAGGCCATGCAGAAGGGCCTGGTTCTCCGGCAGCACGGCATCCGCCTGCTGGAGGCCCAGATCGCCACGGGCGGCATCATCGACCCCGTGCACAGCCACCGCGTGCCTGTGGACGTGGCCTACCAGCGCGGCTACTTCAGTGAGGAGATGAACCGCGTCCTGGCGGACCCCAGCGACGACACCAAGGGCTTCTTTGACCCCAACACGCATGAGAACCTCACGTACAGGCAGCTGCTGGAGCGGTGCGTGGAGGACCCCGAGACGGGCTTGCGCCTTCTGCCACTGAAAGGGGCGGAGAAGGCTGAGGTGGTGGAGACCACGCAGGTGTACACTGAGGAGGAGACAAGAAGGGCATTTGAAGAGACACAGATCGACATTCCCGGCGGCGGCAGCCACGGCGGCTCCACCATGTCCCTGTGGGAGGTGATGCAGTCGGACCTGATCCCCGAGGAGCAGCGGGCCCAGCTGATGGCTGACTTCCAGGCCGGCCGGGTGACCAAGGAACGCATGATCATCATCATCATCGAGATCATTGAGAAGACAGAGATCATCCGCCAGCAGGGTCTGGCCTCCTACGACTACGTGCGCCGCCGCCTCACGGCTGAGGACCTGTTCGAGGCTCGGATCATCTCTCTCGAGACCTACAACCTGCTCCGGGAGGGCACCAGGAGCCTCCGTGAGGCTCTCGAGGCGGAGTCCGCCTGGTGCTACCTCTATGGCACGGGCTCCGTGGCTGGTGTCTACCTGCCCGGTTCCAGGCAGACACTGAGCATCTACCAGGCTCTCAAGAAAGGGCTGCTGAGTGCCGAGGTGGCCCGCCTGCTGCTGGAGGCACAGGCAGCCACAGGCTTCCTGCTGGACCCGGTGAAGGGGGAGCGGCTGACTGTGGATGAGGCTGTGCGGAAGGGCCTCGTGGGGCCCGAGCTGCACGACCGCCTGCTCTCGGCTGAGCGGGCGGTCACCGGCTACCGTGACCCCTACACCGAGCAGACCATCTCGCTCTTCCAGGCCATGAAGAAGGAGCTGATCCCTACTGAGGAGGCCCTGCGGCTGCTGGATGCCCAGCTGGCCACCGGCGGCATCGTGGACCCCCGCCTGGGCTTCCACCTTCCCCTGGAGGTGGCTTACCAGCGTGGCTACCTCAACAAGGACACGCACGACCAGCTGTCAGAGCCCAGCGAGGTGCGCAGCTACGTGGACCCGTCCACCGACGAGCGCCTCAGCTACACGCAGCTGCTCAGGCGGTGCCGTCGTGACGACGGCACCGGCCAGCTGCTCCTGCCACTGTCGGACGCCCGCAAGCTGACCTTCCGTGGCCTGCGGAAGCAGATCACCATGGAGGAGCTGGTGCGCTCGCAGGTCATGGACGAGGCCACGGCGCTGCAGCTGCGGGAGGGCCTGACCTCCATCGAGGAGGTCACCAAGAACTTGCAGAAGTTCCTGGAAGGCACCAGCTGCATCGCTGGTGTCTTCGTGGACGCCACCAAGGAACGGCTCTCGGTGTACCAGGCCATGAAGAAGGGCATCATCCGCCCCGGCACAGCCTTTGAGCTCCTGGAGGCGCAGGCGGCCACCGGTTACGTCATCGACCCCATCAAGGGACTGAAGCTGACGGTGGAGGAGGCTGTGCGTATGGGCATTGTGGGCCCCGAGTTCAAGGACAAGCTGCTGTCGGCCGAGCGCGCCGTCACTGGGTACAAGGACCCCTACTCTGGGAAGCTCATCTCCCTCTTCCAGGCCATGAAGAAGGGCCTGATCCTGAAGGACCATGGCATCCGCCTGCTGGAGGCCCAGATCGCCACGGGCGGCATCATCGACCCTGAGGAGAGCCACCGGCTGCCCGTGGAGGTGGCCTACAAGCGCGGCCTCTTCGATGAGGAGATGAACGAGATCCTGACCGACCCCTCGGACGACACCAAGGGCTTCTTTGACCCTAACACGGAGGAGAACCTCACCTACCTGCAGCTGATGGAGCGTTGTATCACTGACCCCCAGACGGGCCTGTGTCTCTTGCCGCTGAAGGAGAAGAAGCGGGAGCGGAAGACGTCCTCCAAGTCCTCCGTGCGCAAGCGCCGAGTGGTCATCGTGGACCCCGAGACGGGCAAGGAGATGTCAGTGTACGAGGCCTACCGCAAGGGCCTGATTGACCACCAGACGTACCTGGAGCTGTCCGAGCAGGAGTGCGAGTGGGAGGAGATCACCATCTCCTCCTCGGACGGCGTGGTCAAGTCCATGATCATCGACCGCCGCTCCGGGCGCCAGTACGACATCGATGATGCCATCGCCAAGAACCTCATCGACCGCTCGGCACTGGACCAGTACCGCGCCGGCACGCTCTCCATCACCGAGTTCGCCGACATGCTCTCGGGCAACGCCGGTGGTTTCCGCTCCCGTTCCTCCTCGGTGGGATCCTCCTCCTCCTACCCCATCAGCCCCGCCGTCTCCAGGACCCAGCTGGCCTCCTGGTCAGACCCCACTGAGGAGACGGGCCCCGTGGCTGGCATCCTGGACACGGAGACGCTGGAGAAGGTGTCCATCACCGAGGCCATGCACCGGAACCTGGTGGATAACATCACGGGGCAGCGGCTGCTGGAGGCGCAGGCCTGCACCGGGGGCATCATCGACCCCAGCACCGGTGAGCGCTTCCCTGTCACCGACGCCGTCAACAAGGGCCTGGTGGACAAGATCATGGTGGACCGCATCAACCTGGCCCAGAAGGCCTTCTGCGGCTTCGAGGACCCACGCACCAAGACCAAGATGTCGGCCGCCCAGGCCCTGAAGAAGGGCTGGCTCTACTACGAGGCCGGCCAGCGCTTCCTGGAGGTGCAGTACCTGACCGGCGGCTTGATCGAGCCCGACACGCCGGGCCGCGTGCCCCTGGACGAGGCCCTGCAGCGCGGCACGGTGGACGCCCGCACCGCACAGAAGCTGCGTGACGTGGGCGCCTACTCCAAGTACCTCACCTGCCCTAAGACCAAGCTCAAGATCTCCTATAAGGACGCGCTGGACCGCAGCATGGTGGAGGAGGGCACGGGGCTGCGGCTGCTGGAGGCTGCCGCGCAGTCCACCAAGGGCTACTACAGCCCCTACAGCGTCAGCGGCTCCGGCTCTACCGCTGGCTCCCGCACCGGCTCGCGCACCGGCTCCCGGGCCGGCTCCCGCCGCGGCAGCTTTGACGCCACCGGCTCCGGCTTCTCCATGACCTTCTCTTCATCCTCCTACTCCTCCTCGGGCTACGGCCGCCGCTACGCCTCGGGGTCCTCGGCCTCCCTGGGGGGCCCTGAGTCTGCCGTGGCCTGAGGCTGCCTGCGCCCACCCCGCTCTGCATGCGGCCCAGCCCGGCTCCCACCGAGGCGCGGGGGCCGTTTTCAACGCTTAAAGGTGTCTTCCTCCCAAGTGGTGCCTAAAGTTTAACCAAAAAGACCAGACTAATATATTAATATATATCTGCTGTCCAGACAGCCTGTATCTTGGGGGACAGGGCTGGCCCAGCCCTGCTGGCCGCCTCACCCCCTCGGGTCTCCTCACTCCCTTCTACCTGCCACTCACACAGCCAGGTGCCTTGGAGGGTCCCAAGCTGGGCCCCAGCCCACCCTCCTGTCTTCCCAGGGTAGCCCGCCTGCCAGTCCTAGCTGCACAGGGCAGCTGGGCCCAACCCTGTCTGTAGAGGGCCCTGGTGTTTCTAGCACTGGCCTGCACGGTGGGCCTTGCTGGGGACGGGGGGCCCCAGTCAGCCTCTCTCCCAGTCTACCCAGAGAAGCCCCTTCCCCATGGGAAGACGAGGCCCTCGGGCCCAGCCCCCACAGTGCTGTCTGATCTGTGCTTTCCAGCTCACCCCCCACACTCACTCCTGAGACCCCTGGCCTCCGGCGTCAGCCTCCAGCCTCTGTTCCCCTAGTAAGTGCCTTCCATGTCGGCCTCTAACCCCAGGCCCCGAGGACCCAGACCCAGTGGGGAGGCGGACGTTCCAGCCGGCATGGCTGGGAACTGCAGACCTGTCCTCCTGGTGGGTCCAGGGGCCCCTCCAGCTTGTGGAGCCCCACACTGGGGTGCCGCCTGCCCGTCTCTCTCCCATGGAGCCCCAGCCCCCTTTGGGCCCAGGGACACCAGCCAGGCTCTGTGCTGACCCTCCTGTTGCACCCAGCCCTGGTCTCAGCAGCGACCACCCCTGCCTCCACCCTCTGAGCTTTGCATGTTCCACTAACCCCGGGCGGGTGGCAGGTGGAGGTGTCAGGCTGCTGGCGCCTCTGCAAGGGCAGAACACTAACCTGACCGTGGGCGGGGCCTTGCGGTATCCGCCCCCAATAAAAGCAATTCCAACCTTCCCGTGCCTCCGGCCTTGTGTCTTGGGGTCAGGTGTGTGTCAGGGACAGGGTGGACATTGCAGCCCCAGGCTCCAGGCTCTGAGCTCAGCCACTATGGCCAGTCAGGGACGTACGTCTGTGTGCAGCAGAGACCAGGTGCTCGCAGGAGGGCAGCTGAGAGACCCTGGGCAGAGGGATTCAGTGTGGGGCAGGGTGGTGGCCACACTGAGGCCGGGCCCCCTGGGACCTGCTGCTGGTCAGGTGCTGACCAGTCTCCCAGCCCCACCCTTCGCACTATAAGGGGCTCACGTTTCCTTATCTGAGGCGGGGTGTGGTATGCTCCCATATCAGTCACTGGCTGTGGCCCCTTGGCCTCCGGGGAGGGTGCCACATGGCCCCGGGTCAGTTGGTTGCTGCTGGCCGGGCAGCCCTCCAGAGAAGGGGCCACAGGCAGTGGGCCTAGTATGAGGGCCTCCACCACAGTCTGCCATGTCTCGGCCCCATGCCCATCACACTCCGGGGATTCCATCTGGATGGGCTTCTCCAGGCTTCCGACTGGTGGCAGTTTCTGGGAAGACTTAGGGGAGGAGGGAAGCGGGGCCACCCCAGCCTGCAGTAGCCACTGGTCCAGGCTCAGCCGATACTCTTTTTTTTTTTTTTTTTTTTTTCAGGCAGAGTCTTGCTTTGTCACCCAGGCTGGAGTGCAGTGTCATGATCTCGGCTCACTGCAGTCTCCACCTCCCATGTTCAAATGATTCTACTGCCTCAGCCTCCCGAGTAGCTGGGACTACAGGTGTGCACCCAGCTAATTTTCATATTTTTAGTAGAGATGGGGTTTCACCGTGTTGGCCAGGCCGGTCTCGAACTCCTGGCCTCAAGTGATCCTCCCTGCCTTGGCCTCCCAAAGTTCTGGGATTACAGGCGTGAGCCACTGTGCCTGGCCTTCGCCTCTCCTGCTGGTGGGACCCAGGCGTTCACCCTGGGGTCCAAGTCCTAGTCTTCTCGCTCTTGCTGGGCTTTACCCTCCCTGCCCCGGCCCGGTAGAGGGTGCTCTGCCTGCTGGTCCGCTGGAACAGGAGTGGCCCCGGCCGGGTGACCCACAGCCATCGAGCGGGGCAGTGCCTTACTCTGTCCCAGGTGGCTGGGTTTTAGGACCTCTGAGCCCTCACAGCTTAAGAGTTGCAGGGAAAGGAAGCACAGGTTGTCAGTGGGTCACTGGGAGCTGGTGAGTGGGCGGCCACTCCTGCCTCTACCCCTTGGTCCCCAGACCCATGCGGTCCTCTGTGGGGCCACTGATTTAGGCCGAAGACCACATCCTGGAGGACGGGACCACCACAGTCCCAGAGGGTTGGTGTCAGGACGGTGGCACCAACTCTTTCCGAGAAGCTCGCCGACGCTCTAGGCTCTGCGGCGCCCGTGTTCCCGCTCCCTCTGCACCCCCTTGCCGGAAGCAGTCAGAGGCCCTGGGGGCCGTTACACAGGAGCCCGTCTCCCAGGGCAGACACGGAGGCATCGTGGGCTGGAAAGGTGGGTCCGTGCCTGGAATACCAGCTGTTGTCTTTCCAAGGGGAAGGGGCCTCCAGGGCTGAGTTTACCTCCAAGTGACCGGTTGGTCTCTGGCTGGTTTTGCGTCCAGGGCCCCTGGTGGTCTTTATGGCCAGAGGACGGGATGTGCTGCTGCCGACAGGAGCTGGGCTTGTCATGGGGCGCCTGGCTTCGTCTGGTCCTCCATCGCTCCAGGCGGGAGCCGTGTGGGAGCACCGGACGCTGCGTCACTGGCCGCGTCATTGGCTTGTGGGTGGCTGGGTGCCCGCTCGGCAGCCGGTGCCCCTGGTGAACACCCACAAGTCCCCACGCTGGTGTCCACCCGGCAGTTCCATTCCCCAGTCCGTCTTCCAGCGTTGCCCTTCTCAGGCCCTGACCGGCCAGCCGAGCCCTTCCCCAGCCCTGTCCACGTGTGTCCTTACCATGAGCTGCTCTCCTCTCCTCATGAGAGGCCAGGGATCGCCCCGACCCCTGACTCCAGGGCCAGCCCAAGTGGAGTGGTCCGACTACCATGAACCCAACCGCCATGAAGCAGGCCGGGCTTGGCCCCCACCCAGTCACAGGGACCCTCTGAGGCTGTGGCCTGACTGGCGGGCAAGCTGGAAGCTGCGCCACCTGCCCGTGCAGCCCTCTGGCTCTCATGGCTGGTGCCCGGCAGTGCACCGCCCCTTACCCTGGATCCTCACTGTGCCGCTGACCTTAGCCTGGGTGGGTCTTGTGGCACTGGCTCCTGGTGGGAGCTGTGGCCACACCATCCCCAGGAACTTCTCTGAACAGTCCGCAGTTCTCTGTTGCAGTCGGGACCTCCTTGCTTCAAAACTTAGGGCTGGTGCTGCAGCTCTTTTGGGCCTTGCCGGAGACCCCTTGACGCATCCTTCCCCACCTGCGGCAGGTGCTCCTGGTACAAGAGCTCTGTTAGCTCACAGGGCCTGAGTGGCAGGACTTTGTTCCACAGCCTCACCAGCTGTGCTACCCTTCCTTTTCCTGGGCCCCACTCAAAACGAGAAGCCTCTGTGCCAACTGATAAAAAGATCTGTGTGTGGTATCGTGCCGGGTCTGGTATCGTGCTGGGGCTGGCATCATCCTGCCGTGTCTGGTATCGTGCCGGGCCTGGTATCGTGCTGGGTCTGGTATCGTGCCGTGCCTGGCATCGTGCTGGGTCTGGCATCATCCTGCCGTGTCTGGTATCGTGCCGTGTCTGGCATCATCGTGCTGTGTCCAGAACCCAGAGGCCTGCCATCTGCCAGCTTCTTTCCTGGTGTTAGGAAATGCAAGGCTCAAAACTCGTTCTTGACCTTGGACAGGACGTCCTAACATGCCCAGATCTCTGGACTCCTAAAACCTTCATGACGTGACCAGTCCCTGAATCTTGGCTCAGCCTCTCTCCTGCCCTGGAGTGCCTGTGTCCTAGCAGGACGCTCAGAACGCCTGCCACTTCCCGCTTGCCAGGCCTGGTGGGTGCGATGCTGTCAGTGAGCGGACTTGCGTGTTTGCGCTTTGGTCAGTTGTCTGTGTGTCTGCATGTCTGTGCGCTGCTGTCCACCTCGTGTGAATGGGAACTGCCCCTGACCTCCTCCCGGTGCAGTGGAGAGCCCTCTGCCCAGCCAGGAGCCACAGGACACCGTCTGAGGCTGTGAGTCTGCTCCAGGAAAGACCACAGACAGCACAGCAGCTGGAGTTGGCACTGTGGGGAGACGCTGTGGCTCAGCCGCCGTCCACCACAGTCTACCCAGCTCTTGTAGGGACCTGACCAGCAAATTAAGTGGGAAGATGGTGGCCATCACCCATGCACCCTTTAGGCATCTGCGGTGTTGCTGACGCCGCCGTTTTGACCAGGAGGTTGTATTGTTTTATTTCCTTGGCTGGAGCTGGGGGTAGTTTCTAAGGTTTCCATTTGGTCTTTCCTACTACAGTGATTTTTACTCCATGGGCCAAAAAGCCCATGTGAGGATTTGCTGTTGAGCATGCCAGTTCCAATTGCACGTTCCTGGGCTGGGAAATGATGGGCTGAGGCCTGGGCCAGGACTCCAGGTCCTTCCTGACCCCATATTCCCTACCCAGATGGGAGCCTCTGAGGGTGCTTTGCGCCCCAGGTGTCAGCGTCCACTCAGACCCTGATCTGGGCGTCTTCCTCTCCCCAGGGCACAGTTGTCCAGATAAGCATCTTTGGGTCCCTGGAGGGACTGGGGGGTCACTGCTGTCCACACTTGGAGGCGTGAGGCCTTTCACAAGGGGACCTGGCCGCTCTTTCCATTTGTGGGCTCTGGCTCTGAGAACTGGCTGACATAAGGAAACAAAGCAAGTGGTTGTGTTTTCCATCAGAGCAGTGGGCCTGGACTCACTCACTCGTTTTAAAATTTGTGGGTGCCGCGTGCTGAGCCAGTGTCCTCCGAGTGTGCCCCGGGACCACCTGGGAGCTTGGAAGGGGCAGAGCCTTGGCCGCGGCACAGACCAACTGAGTCAGAAATCCTGGGCCTGGGGCTCAGCCAGCTGTGCTTTAAGGAGCCCTCCAGGGGCTGCCATGTGCCTGAGTGTGAGAACCAGTGTAGTGAGCAGCTCCTTGCAGGCTGCCCATCTGCGTCTCCTGTCAGACTGTGGCGCTCCATGAGCCAGCTTCATGGGCCCCCATGGTCAGGGTCTTCTGGCCGCTGCCCCCACCTTCCCTCCCGCTGCCAGCACGTCTCAACAGGTGGGAGCTCCAGCGGCTGCACTGCCATTGGTGCCAGGCTGACAGCATCGCCAGGCAGTCGGTGGTGTTCTGACCAACTGTGGCATCTGTGCGCCAGGACCACGTCTGCGCCCCCCCATCCCAGGCAGGCTCCCCAGGGCGGTGCCTCAGTTACACATGGTTTCTGGAGAATTCTCAGAAAAGGGGTGCAACAAGTGGGGAGGGCAAGGAGCTGGCAAAGGGGGCTGGAGCCGTAGCCCTGCCCCACGGACATCTGAGAGGCAAGGGCACAGCTCAGAGGCTCTGACTCCTGCCCACACGTGGGTCTGAGCTGCCTGTGGGGTGGCACGTGGTCCTCAGGCATCTCTGAATGAGCAGCTCTTGTCAGCCAAGGGCAGTGTTCTGGAGGAGGACACAGGTGAGCGTCTGCAGCAGCTGGGGAGGGGAACAAGGACACCCAAGGGGATCTTGGAGGATCGGCCACGGCAGCTGCCTTCACGGTGGCAGCTCCTCAGTAGCAGCGCAGACGGACCGAGAGACCCTTGAAAACTCCTCCCACGTAAATCCGGGTAAAACTTAAATAGCTTCTCGGGTGCATTCTGACGTTACCAAAAAGACAAGGAAACCACCAGGGGTGAAAGAGAAAGGAGGGTCCTCAGTGCAGCGGCTGAGCTGACGCTTCCCGAGGAATTTGCTGATCCTGGAAGGCTGAAGCCTCGGGTTTTAAAGGTCCTCAGGAACAGGAGGCCGGGATGCGGGCCGTACAGCCAGAGGCCTCTGTGGCATCCGGATCCTCAAAGGGCTGCACCCAGCGAGAAAGCGGGTTCTCCGACGATCCAGCCACAGAAGGGAAACACTGGATCCTGCCTGGGCTCTGACAGGAAAGCGTTTCCACTGAGCTTTACAATTTCAGGCCATCCCCCTGTAGGGTCTGGAGAACCCCATGTGGAGGAATTACATCACCATGGCCCCAGGTTGGTTGTTGCCTGGTACCTGGTATGAGCCAATATAATCTTATCTGGAGGTCTTGCCCCCAACCAAGGCTTCCCAGGCTTCAGATAAAAGACCTCGGGCTTTCCAACATGACGCAGTCAAAAGTTACAAGACGCATGGAAACGAGCATCATGAACAAGGGCAGAACTGGAAGCTGAGGGACGCAGGATACTGGAATTATTCAATAAAGAATACACAGTGAGTATGTTTGAAATGTTTATAACACAACAAATCCATAATGTGAGAAGTAAAATTCTAGCTAAAAAGAGCAAGAAGATTTTAAAGAAATTTGATAGAATTTCTAGAAATGAAACATATACTAATAATATTTAAAGCTCAATGGACTAAACAGCAGACGAATCATAGTTGAAGAATTGGTGAATTAAAGGATAGATCTAAAGAAATTACTCAGAATTTATCCCAGAGATGGGAAACAGGAAAGAGAGGTTAGGAGGCAGAACAGAAGACATCTAGCATCAGTCCAGCTGGGGTTCTATAAGAAGATCCTGGAATAAGGTGAGGACGTTTTGAAGAAATAGTGGCTGATAATTGTTTTCCAAATAGATGAAAAACATGAACCATTTATCCAACAGGCACAGTAAAACCCAGGTATGGCAAATAAAACATCTACATCAAAACACATTGTAGTAAAATTGCGGAAAACCGAAAACCAAAAAAGAAAAAAAAATTAAAGCAGCTAGAGAGAAAAGACAGATTCCCTACGAAAGGATAATGGACACAACCCATTAGCAAAAGCGGAAGCCTCTTAATGTGTGTTCCGTGAACTAGGAGCGAGCGCTTCACCCTTGAACTTCTGAAATGAAGACTCTCGAGACCCAGCGCAGACCCACTGTGGAGACAGAAGTGACTCCGTGTTAGGTTCTACTCCACCGTGCAGACTTCTGATGAGCCGCCGTCCTGGGAATGCCCCGATTCCTGCCGTATCTACTGTCCTTAGTGTAAGAACGTGCACTCGCTATGAATCCTGCCTTTCCATCAGAGCAGCCTTGATGTTATTACACAGATGACAGGCGATGTTGCGTTCTTGCCTGTGTGGAGCATGCAGAGCCTTTCCCTACAGAGAAGCTGAGCCCTGGGTCTGGGGAGCAACAGTGCAGAGCTGCACCTGTCCCACCCAAGGCCACCCCTGGTGGCAGGTTCCCCAGTAGAGCACCCTCTCCTGACAAACCGAATCTGTCAGCCTCATTCTTTGGTTTCTCAGCTCCGTCCTCATGTGAGGGTTGCTTTGCATAAGTGAACCTTTCATGGAAAACCCGCTGATCAGAACCTGCATTTTTTTTTTTTTTTTGAGATGAATCTCGCTCTGTTATCCAGGCTGGAGTGCCGTGGCACAATCTCGGCTCACTGCAACCTCCCCGTCCCGGGTTCAAGCAATTCTTGTGCCTCAGCCTGCCGAGTAGCTGGGATTGCAGGTGCCCACCACCATGCCCGACTTATTTTTGTAATTTTAGTAGAGATGGGGTTTCACCATGTTGGCCAGGCTGGTCTGGAACTCCTGACCTCATGATCCGCCCGCCTTAGCCTCCCAAAGTGCTGGGATTACAGGCCTGAGCCACCGCACCCGGCCCGAACCTGCATTTTTTTTTAAGAGATAGGGTCTCCGTCTGTCATCCAGGCTGGACTGCCGTGGACCATCATGGCTTACTGCAAACTCAATGTCCCATTTAAGGAAAAACAATAACAATTCTGTAAAAACGCTTCCAAGAAATTGAAGAAGAGAGAACCTCCTCAACCGGATAAAGGGCATCTATGAAAAATCTACAGCTAACATCATATTTAATGATGAAAAACCAAATGCTTTCCCTTAAGATCAGGAAAAAGGGCAACATTGTATTGAAGCTTCTAGCCAGTGGCAAAAAGAAAAGATAGATAAATAATAAACAAACAAATGGCATCCATATTGAAAAGGAAGAAGTAAAACTGTCTTTATTTGCCATTGACATGATTACCCATGTAGAAAATCTGATAGAATCTACAGAAAAACAACTAGAACTATTGAGTTTAGCCAGACTGTGGGAAACAAGATCAAGATATAAAAATCAGCTGTACGTCTATGTTCTAATAATGGACAATTATAAAGTGAAATTTAAAACATTACTTAAAATAGCATCAAAAATGTGAAATATGAATAATTCTGATAAGATGTGCAAGACCTGAACACTGAACACTGCCAAACATTGATGAGAGAAATTAAACTCCTAAGTCCATGTAGAGACAGACCTTGTTCATGTACTGGAAGACTCGATATTGCTGAGATATGCTCTCCAACTTGAACTACAGGTCAGTGCTACCCAATCAGAATTCCAGTAGGTTTTTTTGTGTGTGGAAATTGACAAACTGATTCTAAAATTAATATGGAAATGCAAAGGACCAAGAGCAGCTGAAACAACCTTGAAAAAGAAAAGTGAATTGAGGGGACGTCCACCATCTGACTTGAAGGGCTGTTGCAAGTCTATTGTAATCAAGACAGCGAGGTATTGATATTAACACAGAAATATAGATCAACCGAGTCCAGAAATAGACCCATGCATCTATTGTCATTTGATTTTAAGTAAAGGTACAGAAGAACTTCAGTGAAAAAATAATGATCTTTTCACCATCTATATGCAAAAAATTAATCTCACACCATGTGCAAAAATTATCCCAAAATGGATCACAACTGGAATCTAAAATGATAAACCATCTAAAGGAAAATGTAAGAGAAAAATCTTTGTCATTTTTGAGTTATATTTCTGAAATATAACACTAAAATTATGATCTATAGAAGAAAGAGATCGATAAATTGGACTTCATCAAAATTAGGAACTTATGCCCTTTAAAATACACTGTTAAGAAAATAAAAAGACAAGCCACAGACTGGGAATAATACTTGTAAATCACATAACTGATAAAGGACTTGTATCCAGAATATACAAAGAACCCCCAGCACTCAATAAACAGAAATAATCCAATTTAGAAATAGACAAAAGATTTCAACAGACCTTTCACCAGTGAAGATATATGGATGGCGAACAGCACATAAAAAGATGCAAGAACATTAGTCATTAGGAAGATAGAAATTAAAATTACAGTGAGACACCATCATGCACCCACTAGAATGCCTGAAAATTTAAAAAGACTAAACATGTCAAATGTTGATGGGAGGTACAGCAACCAGAGCTCTCACACTGAGCTGATGGAAATACCAGTGCTTCAACCACCTGGAAAAGAGTTTAGCAGATGCAGGCTGGGCACCGTGGCTCACGCCTGTAATCCCAGCACTTTGGGGCTCCTGAGGTCAGGAGTTCAAGACCAACCAGGCCAACATGACGAAACCCCATCTGTACTAAAATACAAAGTTAGCTGGGCGTGGTGGTGCACGCCTGTAGTCCCAGCTACTCGGGAGGCTGAGGCAGGAGAATCGCTTAAACTCAGGAGGCAGAGGTTGCAGTGAGCTGAGATCACGCCATTGCACTCCAGCCTGGGCAATAAGACTGAAACTCAGTCTCAAAAAAAAAAAAAACTTTTACTGCCTTTGTATTTTTCAGGAAGAGGGTAGAGATTTTGATTGGGACTCTGGACTTTGTCAAATATCCATGTTGAAAATGTAAGAGCAACTATTCAAAGAATGGAGACGCAGTGTGTCTGTCCGTGGAGTCCCAACAGGAAACAGGGTGGCTGAGGAATGCTAACAAAGAAGCCATTCACCGCGGCATGGGCGGGGGGTGGCAGCGGGAAGGAGGGTGGCCCTGCAGGTCGCTGGACCTGCCGGCACTTGCTACCTCAGGCAGATCCTGGTAGAGGGCTGCTGCTTCCCGTTACGGTAGAACAGGTTTCTCCATTTCCAAGGTGTGTGTGTGTGTGTGTGTGTGTGTGTGTGTTTTGAGACAGAGTTTCACTTCCGCCTCCCGGGTTCAAGCGATTCTCCTGCCTCAGCCTCCCCAGTAGCTGGGAATACAGGCATGAGCCACCACACCCGGCTAATTTTGTATTTTTAGTAGAGACAGGGTTTCACCATGTTGGTCAGGCTGGTCTCGAACTCCCAACCTCAGGTGATCCACCCGCCTCAGCCTCCCAAAGTGCTGGGATTACAGGTGCGAGCCACCACGCCCAGCCTCCAAGGTGTTTTATCTGCTGTGTATTCACCTGGTTCTGAAAAGTCCCAACGAAACAACTTAATATTACAAATTTCATCATCAAAATGGCTGACCCCAATCAGGAAACATGTGGGCTCCTGAACATTCCAGAAGCAGCAGCGATGCCAGACAGGTGAGCCCCAAAATTGAGGCTGAGCCTGGGAAAGAATTCAAGGACGAGCCGGTGTGTTAGACAGCAACTTTTAATTTTTTGAGACAGGATCTTTCTCTGTCGCCCAGGCTGGAGCACAGTGGTGCCATCATAGCTCATTGCAGCCTTGACCTCCTGGGCTCAAGCAATCCTCCTGTCTCAGTCTCCCGAGTAGCTGGGACTACAGACGTGTGCCACCACACCCAGCTAATTTTTGTATTTTTTTGTTGTAAAGACGGGGTTTTGCCATGTTGCCCAGGCGGGTCTTGAACTCCTGGGCTCAAGCAATCCGCCCACATTGGCCTCCCAAAGTGCTGGGATTCCAGGAGTGAGCCCCTGCACCCAGCCTAGACAGCAACTGTTACTAAGTGGCCAACCAGACCTGCAGCAAAGGGGCTGCTCCTTGAGAACAGGGACCACCCGACAGGCAGTGCACCCAGAGTCGCAGCTGAGGCAGGGCTGAAGTCAAATTTATACCCCAAATTTTTTTTTTTTTGAGACAGGGTCTTGCTCTGTCACCCAAGCTGGAGTCTGGTGGCGCCATCAGGGCTCACCGCAGCCTTGAACTCCTGGGCCGAGGTGATCCTCCTACCTCGGACTCACAAAGTGCTGGGAATACAGGGATGAACCAGGGCATCCAGCCTGCCCACTTTTACTTACATGCAAATTAAGGGGCGGTTTATGCAGAAATTTCCAGGATGAGGGTGGCAACTTCTGGCTTGTCTGGTTGTTGCCATGGAAAGGGGCAGTAACTTCTGGGTGTTACCACGGAATGGTAAAATGACATGGCACACTGGTGGGCGTGTCTTACAGGGAGGTGCTTCCACCTCCCTGTAAGACACTTGTTTTAGCTAATCCTCACTTTGGTCCAGTGTCCAAACCCCACCTCCGGAGTTGAGTCCTGCCTCCTACCTCAGGAGGAAGGCTGCCCCAACTGCTGGGCCCTGGGAGAGGCCGTTCTTCAGTGCTGGGAATGCATTGAGCAGGGCTGCACGCCACAGACAGGAGTGGAGCCCTCCCACCCCAACACACACACAAGGCCACCCAGCAGTCTTGTGTCCTGGGCAGAGGGCTGATATGGGGAGGGGCAGCCCCCAGGCAGGAGACAGTGGAATTGTGATGGGGATTGCACTGAATTTGCAGGTCAGCTTGGGGAGTGATGCTGAGATGACTTTCCGTTCAATCATGTCCTCTTCATTTCCTTCAGTAATGTTTTCTAGTCTTAAATATACAAGTCTTGACTTTCTTTGGCTACGTTTATTCCTGAGTATTTTATTATTTGCAGTGCTATTGTGTGTGGAGCTGTTTGCTTAGTCTCATGTTTGGATTGCCTACTGCTAGCATGAAATACAACTGATGTTTGTATATTGTGGAGACAGCCCACCGAGCATCGCACCTGTCCTCCAGGGCCTCTCAGGACAGCCCAGCACGGTGGCTGGGCCTCGGGGGCAGACCAGCTTGCCCTCCCTACTGGATCATATGCAGGCAGGACCCGGGTCTCTGGGTCCCAAGCTCTCGCCCCCGGCCTGTTTGCCCACCAGGTCCCAGGGACAACGCTGTCAACAGGCTCCTCCTCCCTGGGCCTGGCATGGAAGGGCTTCTTGGTTCTGAGGCCTCAGCTGGTTCCAGCCGACCAACCCACAGCTCCCTGGCAGCCGCCACCCTGAACTGGAGTCTCGCCATAACCCTGGGCTGCGGGCCCTGCTGGGTGAGGAAGAGAATGCTTAGGTAGCTGCAGCTGCTGACCCGGAGGAGGAACCTCTCTCCTGGAGGCATTCATCCCACACTCTAAGGAAAGGGAATGGACCACTTGAGCCCAGGAGTTCGAGGCAAGGCAGGACGCCCTGAAGGGATGGGGCAGCTGTGATCTGTGGGAAGTGGCTTCCTGCTCTACCCGTCTCGGAACAGGAGGCTTTGCCGTCCTAGAAACGCGTTCGGAAGATGGGACACCTTCAGCTTACTCAACTCACCCGCTTAAATCCCTGAGTTAAAAAAAAAAATTAACTGATCGTCCTTAGGAGATCCCGGCAACAAGCTTACATTTTTAAAATTGATAAATAAAAGAAAAGAATCAAGCTCTTATTCTGTCTTTCCTATGCAGATGGGCCGCTGGGTAACCAAACAGCATGAGAGGGAGGTTTGTCATCGCGGAAGTATTCCAGCCAGTGAACAAAGAAGGCATAGCTGAGGGGATATCCACCTTCCGTGCCAGACAGCGCATGTCAGCCTCCCAGGGGATGCAAGCCTCAGCCCCGCAGACCTGCTGGAAACCTGGTCAGTTCCACCATGTCACATCCTGACACATTTCAGAGCCTTTTGGGGGCAGAGTCTTATCCCCCACCCTGGAGCCCTGTGCGTGTTTGCTGAGGGACTGCTGGCTTCAGCCCCCCGAGGAAGCCACACCCCTGGGGACCACAGCAAAGGGACCAAAAGCTAAGTGGGGCTAGAGCTGGGAAACGCTGGGGCCCTTCCTTCCCACTCTAGGGGGCAGCTGCCTGAGTCCCCGGCCTCCCCTTCCCTCCCCCTGCTCAGGAGTGGGGCTTCTCTTGGGCCTGGTCTGAGGATGCTAGACTGTGGGGTGGTGGAGACATGGGCCTGCCCTTGGCTTCAGGGCCTGGACTCCTGGCTGGGTCCCACTCTACCCACACTCCCTCCAGGTCTGCCAGGAAGATGAGGCACCACCTGCCGTCTCTGAGGACAGAGGCTGGATGGAGCCCATTCACGAAGACCAGGCTGAGCAGCGTACGCTGGGCCGCACCCCATTCAGTCCTCTTCTGTCTTATGTTGTGATAGGTTCAGAGGCCAGGCCAGCACGAGCAGAGTGGCTTTGCAGCCCCCTGGGTGGTTGCAGGTGGGTGGTTGCAGGTGGGTGGTTGCAGGAGGCCACCCCTCAGGGGCGCTGCCAGGACATGGGCGGCCTTCACGTGGACAGTGGTTTTGTGCTTTCCACCAGCACAAGGTCCACGGCGGCGGCTGCTGCGGGCTCCCCAGCAGATGGCAGCAAAGCGCCTACCAGCCCCAGCGTCTCGTCCCGGCCACCTGTCTCACTCCTGCTTTCTGACTAAAGTGGGGACAGCAGGCTGTGTCCCATCTGGGAGGCGCCACCTCACCCCCTGGAGGGGAAACCAGCCCAGTAGGCAGGGGCGGGGGATGGGGGGTGCTAGCGTCATCTCAACAACCCATGCCCCGACACAAGATGCTGGCCCCCAAACTCCTCCTCCCCAGAGATTTCTCATCCCCAGGACGGCGGTTGCAGGCAGAAGGGTTTGGAAACATTAAACGTGAATTATTCCAATTGGTAAAAAACAAAACAAAACGAAACAACTAGATCCTGGTTACTTTATAATATATAATACTCAAAGGATTATAAATTTCTTCTTTTTTGTTGTTGTTGTTGAGACAGTTCTCGCTCTGTCACCAGGCTGGAGTGCAGGGGCACGATCTCGGCTCACTGCAACCTCCACCTCCCGGGTTCATGCCATTCTCCTGCCTCAGCCTCCCGAGTAGTTGGGACTACACACGCCTGCCACCACGCCCGGCTAATTTTGTTTTTGTATTTTTAGTAGAGACGGGGTTTCACCATGTTGGCCAGGATGGTCTCGATCTCCTGACCTCGTGATCCACCCGCTTCGGCCTCCCAAAGTGTTGGGATTACGGGCGTGAGCCACCGCGCCCTGCCAGGATTATAAATTTCATTTTTATTTCAGCCTCTCTGGGCATGGGAAGGATCAGCTGAGGAGTGAGGATGGCGGCGATTACCCACAGCCTTAGCGTGACCTGCTCATTTGCAGCACCAACCAATGAAAGTCAACAGAAAATGTGAAAAATGGCAGTCCATGCCATGAATACACGTCATTTGAAAAAAGCGTCCGCGGGTGCCACTGGCACTCACACACACGCCCTCCACTTAATGTCTCCACTTAATACCAAGAACCTTCAGTTGAGAATCTATTTTATTTTATTATTATTATTATTTTGAGATGGAACCTCACTTCATTGCCCAGGCTGGAGTGCAGTGGTGCGATCTCAGCTCACTGCAACCTCTGCCTCCTGGGTTCAAGCCATTCTCCTGCCTCAGCCTCCCCAGTAGCTGGGATTACAAGTGACCACCACCACATCCGGCTAATTTTTGTATTTTAGTAGAGATGGGATTTCACCATATTGGCCAGGCTGGTCTCAAACTCCTGACCTCAAGTGATCCACCCGCCTCAGCCTCCCAAAGTGCTCGGATTACAGGCATGAGCCACCATGCCCGGCCAATAATCTATTTTAAATGAGAAAAATGGCCAGGTGTGGTAGCTCACGCCTTAATCCAAGCACTTTGGGAGGTCAAGGTGGGAGTATCACTTGAGCCCAGGAGTTCGAGACTAGCCAGGGCAACATAGTGAGACCCCCATCTCTACAGAAAATACAAAAATTAGCCAGGCATGGTGGCACACTGCTATGGTCCCAGCTATTTGGGAGGCTGAGACGGGAGGATTGCTTGAGCTCTGGAGGTCGAGGCTCCCAGACTCATGGCAGTGAGTTGTGATCATACCACTGTATTCCAGCCTGGGCAACAGATGGAGACCCTGTCTCAAAAAACACAAAATTTTTTTTTTTTTTTTTTTGAGACGGAGTCTCGCTCACTCAGTGAGCTCACGATCTCCGCTCACTGCAAGCTCTGCCTCCCAGGTTCACGCCATTCTCCTGCCTCAGCCTCCCGAGCAGCTGGGACTACAGGCGCCCGCCACCACGCCCGGGTAATTTTTTGTATTTTTAGGAGAGACGGGGTTTCACCGTGTTAGCCAGGATGGTCTCGATCTCCTGACCTCGTGATCCGCCCGCCTCGGCCTCCCAAAGTGCTGGGATTACTTTTAAAAAATGAGAAAAATTACAATGTTACTATAAACCAGGGAAGCGTGTATGCCAGTAACACACACGACACGCAGGTGAACTTAACATTTCGTGCAGGTGGCGTCCTGAACGCAGGGTGGAGCAAATCTCTCTGCAGGAGCCCCAGCCCCACCCTGGCTGTGCGCACGCCTCTTTGTTGGTTCTCAAACTTTGCAAAATGCCCCCATGTTATTACAACCACTACACATTGTTTCTGAAATGTGACTTAAGACTTTTCCCATACATGGTTTTGTTAAAATTCTCTTACTGATTTTTGGGGATATAAATACAACATGTTCCTGTATAAATATTGCTAGCAAGTGTAATGAGAGACACATAAGTTCTTTGAAGTTTCGGTATTAAAAGCCCAGAGGTGGTCAATGGCAGGTATGTGACTCTTGTGGGTGTCCTGTGGGCTCTGCGTGTACCAGGCTCAGCTTCCGGTGAGGCAGTATCTAGGATCCAGAAGACCATTCAAACAACCGCACACGTGGGATAAGGCAAATATCATTCATTTGGCAGAAATCATAGCAAAATTTAATAACAAGCTGCCAAATCATGTCTGTGGAAAGCGATCATCTATACTAAATATTACGATGTGTTACTTAGAGGGTAAATTATCCTACCCAATAAATAAAATTATGGCAGAGGGAATAAAGGTGATGATTTGGAATGAGGGGAGTGGTGGTCCCTAGCAGTGCTCCCCAACTCTGCTTCATCTTCGGGTGGGTGGGAGGGGCCGGACTGCCTGGTCCCATCATGGCCGGGAGGGGAACCGTGGCGGGGAGTCATGAGGTGGTGCCATGTGACCAGTATTGGCCAATGAGGAATGAGAGGAGGTATTTACATGGCACCTTTACGCCAGAGCATTTACTTACTATTGCACGACCCTCCAGAGCCTCTGTGTCTCATCTGGGAAGACCTGCAATGTTCTAGGCAGCAGTCATTCCATCAGCCTGGGTCCTGAAGCAAAGACGGAAGAGAGAAACTCAGCCAACCCCTGCCATGCAGTGCGAGTGAGAACAAGCTGTGGCTTTAAGCTGGAGACGCTGGGGTGGCTTGTGAACGTGACATAAGCAAACCTATCGCAGTGGATGGACTTTGAGGCCAGGGAGGGGGATGCTGCTACTGCAAACCCCACGGGACACTGACTAGTGGCCTGACCGCAAAGCACTTATCAGAAGGGCAGAGACCAGCATTATGCAAAACACTTGGCAAAACTGTCTCCAAGATAACTGGGAAGCAGGTTTCGAATCAGTGAATTTGTGTCCAAGAGAAGGGGTGGAAATATAGCTCGTGAAATACGTAGGTCACTGTGGCCGCACGTGCAGGGCGTTGACAAGGGAAGGTGTGTCGGACTACCGCAAGCAGGACAACAACAAATCCTGGAGGGGAGGAGAGAATCTAATTTCTAAAGTTGTCGCATTATGTTGTTTTATTATTTTTACGATTGGTTTTGTTGAGACAGAGTCTCGCTCTGTTGCTCAGGCTGGAGTGCAGTGGCAAGATCTCAGCTCACTGTGTCCTTGACCTCCCCAGGATCAGGTGATCCATGCATCTCAGCCTCCTGAGTAGCTGGGACGACAGGTATGCACCGCCATGCCTGGCTAATTTTTCATATTTTTTGTAGAGATGGGGTCTTGCTCTGTTGCCCAAGCTGGTCTTGAACTTCTGGGCTCAAGCGATCTTCCTGCCTTGACCTCCCAAAGTGCTGGGATTACAGATGTGAGCCACTGCACGCAGGCCTATATCCTATTATATATATAAAGTATATGTATATATTTTTTTTTAATTTTACATTTATATATATTTTTTAGACAGAGTCTTGCTCTGTCGCCCAGGCTAGAGTGCAATGGCGTGATCTCAACTCACTTCAACCTCTCCTTCCCAGGTTCAAGCGATTCTCCTGCCTCAGCCTCCGGAATAGCTGGAACTTCAGGCGCCCACCACCACACCCGGCTAATTTTTGTATTTTTAATAGAGACGGGGTTTCACCGTGTTGGCCATCCTGACCTCAGGTGATTTGCCCACTTTGGCCTACCAAAGTGCTGGGACTACAGGCATGAGCCACCATGCCCAGCCTCCATATTGTTTTAAATGTCTGCTTTTCAGCAAAAAGTTATAAGACATGCAAAGAAACAAGAAAGTATGCTCATACACTGAAGAAGATTGAATCAACATAAACAGCCCCTGAGGAAGCCCAGGCATTGGACTTACTAGATGAAGACTTAAAATTAGCTATTATTGAAGATATGTTCAAAGAGCTAAGGGAAACAATATTTGAAGAGCTAAAGTAGCCGGGCGCAGTGGCTAACGCCTGTAATCCCAGCACTTTGGGAGGCCGAGGTGGGTGGATCACCTGAGGCTGGGAGTTCAAGACCGGCCTGGCCAACATGGTGAAACCCCGTCTCTACTAAAAATACAAAAATTAGCCGGGTGTGGTGGCGCACACCTGTAATCCCAGCTACTCAGGAGGCTGAGGCAGGAGAATTGCTTGAACCCAGGAGACGGAGGTTGCAGTGAGCCGAAATCAGGCCACTGCACCCCAGCCTGGGCAACAGAGTAAGACCCTGTCTCAAAATAATAATAATAATAAAAATAAAATAAACAAATGGTGCTGGACAAATGGATTCTACATGCAAAGAATGAAGCCGGACACCTTTCTCATATACCACATACAAAACTTAACTCAAAATGGATCAAATACCTAAAGATAAGAGCTAAAACTAGTAAACTCTTAGAAGAAAACAGACTTTTTTTTTTTTTTTTTTTGAGATAGAGTCTCACTCTGTGGCCCTGGCTGGAGTGCAGTGGCACGATCTTGGCTCACTGCAACCTCCGCCTCCCAGGTTCAAGTGATTCTCCTGCCTCAGTCTCCCAAGTAGCTGGGATTACAGGCACCCACCACCACACCCAGCAAATTTTTTTTGTATTTTTGGTAGAGATGGGGTTTCACCATGTTGGCCAAGCTGGTTTCTAACTCCTGACCTCAGGTGATCCACCTGCCTCGGCCTCCCAAAGTGTTGGGATTATAAGTGTGAACCACCACGCCTGTAATCCCAGCACTTTGGGAGGCTGAGACGGACGGATCACGAGGTCAGGAGATCACGACCATCCTGGCTAACGCAGTGAAACTAAAAATACAAAAAAAATTAGCCAGGCGTGGTGGCGGGCGCCTGTAGTCCCAGCTACTCGGGAGGCTGAGGCAGGAGAATGGCGTGAACCCGGGAGGCGGAGCTTGCAGTGAGTTGAGATTGCACCACTGCACTCCAGCCTGGGCAACAGAGCGAGACTCCGTCTCAAAAAAAAAAAAAAAAAAAAAAGTGTGAGCCACCTCACCCGGCCACCCCAGCTAATTTTTTGTATTTTTAGTAGAGGCTGGTCTCGAACTCCTGACCCAGTGATTTGCCCACCTCAGCCTCCAAAAGTGCTGGGATTATAGGTGTGAGCCACCAAGTCTGGCCCTAAACTTTTGTTCTTTTGAATTATGCAGTCTTATTAGATATGACACCAAAAGCACAAGCAACCATAGGAAAAAACCCAGATAAATTAGACTTCATTAAAATTTAAAACTTTTGTGTTTCAAAGGACATCATTTCAAAAACAAAAAGAGGGTCGGGAGCAGTGGCTCACGCCTGTAATCCCAGCACTTTGGGAGGGGAAGGCTGGCAGATTGTTTGAGCTCAGAAGTTTGTGACCAGCCTGGGCAACATGGCAAAACCCCATCTCTACTAAAAATACAAAAATTAGCCAGGCGTGGTGGTGCACACCTGTGCTCCTAGCTATTTGGGCGGCTGAGGCAGGAGAATCGCTTGAATCCAGGAGGTGGAGTTTGCAGTGAGCCAAGATCGTGCCACTGTACTCCAGCCTGGGCAACAGAACAAGACCCTGTCTGGAAAAAAAAAAACAAGAAGAAAGAAAAAGAAAGAAAAAAAAGAAAAGAAAAGAAAAAAAGAAAGAAAAACAACCACATCATGGGAGAAAATATTTGGAAATTATCTTTCTGATAAGAAACTTATATCTAGAATCCATAAAGAACATCACAACTGAACAATAAGAAGACAAAAGCCCAATTTAATTTTATTTTTAATTTTTTTTTGAGGGAGGGTCTCACTCTGTTGCCCAGACTAGAGTACAGTGGTGCGATCACGGCCCACTGCAGCCACCACCTCCCTGGGCTCAGGTGATCCTACCATCTCAGCTTCCCGAGTACCTGGGACTACAGGCATGCACCACGATGTACAGGTATTTTTTTTTTTTTTTGTATTCTCAGTAGAGATGGGGTTTCACCATGTTGGGCAGGCTGGTCTCAAACTCCTGACCTCAAGTGATCCACCCTCCTCGGCCTCCAAAAGTGCTGGGATTACAGGCGTGAGCCACTGCACCCAGCCTCATGATTGATTTTTTAAAATGGACAATAACAAGTGTTGGTGAAGAGGTGGAGAAATTGAAATCCTCATACATTGCTGGAGGGGATGTAAAATGGTGCAGCCACTTTGGAAAACAATGATAGTTCCTCAAAAAGTTAAACACAAATTACCGTGTGACCCAGCAGCTCCATTCCTAGGTATATACCTAAAAGAACGGAAAACATATGTCCGTACAGAAACTTAAACATCAACGTTCATGGGAGCACTGTTCATCATAGCTAAAAAGTGAAAACCCAAATGCCCATCAACTGTGAGTGGATAAAGAGAATGTGGATTTCCCTACAATAGAATATTACTCAGCCATGAACAGGAAAGAAATTCTGACACATACTATGGCTTGGATGACCGTTGAACACAAGATGCTAGATGAAAGAAGCTAGACACAAAAGACGGTATATTGTAGGATTCCCTTAATATGAAATACCCAGAAAAGGCAAATCCCCCAGGACAGAAAGCAGATTAGCTTTCCAGGGGGTGGAGAGTTCCTATTAAAAGGTGTGGGGTTTGTTTTGGGATTACATAGTGGTAATGGTTGCATAACCTAATTGTACTAAAAACTACTGCGAATTGTACACTTTAAAGGGGTGACTTTTATGGTACGTGAAGTATATGTTGAGAGAGAGAGAAATGTTTAGACAAGAACAGGCTGCGTTGTAAGCAGGAATGAAAGGGAAGGGAGCCAGTCATATTATCGAGGACTTACAAAGCTAGAAGAGACAACTACTTCTCAACCCTAGGCAGAAATGCTTTGAGTGACAGAGCGTAATAGATCTCAGCCTTAAATGAAGGGATTAAGTCAAGAGTAGGCCGGCACACCCATCAGAGGTTAAAATCCCTGATGAATTGGGTAGGCACCCTGTAAATCCTTTTAAGTAACAAAATGGCTCTAGGAAAAGAAACTAAAGGTCCCTGAAGGGACTGAGGTGCTTATGATTAAGTTAAGGAAAAGAGGCCTGAGTGTACAAAGCAAACAGCTATCAAACCTTTAGTCTCTAGCAAAGATCTGCGGGCGTGAGCACTGGCACGCGGAGCCGCAGGATCAGATGAGCAAGAAGACAATTCCTTCTGTTATTTCTTTAAAGTGTTTATAGTGGAAAATTCAAACATGCTAAAGTAAACAGAATAGGATAAAGAGCTCCCAAGCGCACCTCACCAGCTTCAACAGTGAGGAGCTCATGGCCCGCCTTTCGTCTCCGGACCCCCGTCCATCTCCCACGGCCCATCATCTGTGTATGTCTATCAAAGACAAGGGAGCTTTTACAAGATAATAATCACGTCATTATTGGGCTTTAACATCCAATGATAAGGGCCTTTACATTTTTAAGACCCCCTAAAGTTCACAAACCGTATGTGGGTCTATGAAACACGAAGCCAGCTCTGCCAGTCACTGAGCCGACACCCCACTGGGAGTCCCAGTGCTCACTGCCCTGGGATTGCCCCCATGCCAGCCCTGCCCTCTGCAACCCTGAGCATGGGTTCTAGGAGCTGGGATAGGGATCTGGGCCGCAGAGAAGGACTCAGGACCAGCAGGGTCCCCTCTCCATCTTGGGCTTCTGACTCAGGATTCCTAGGAATTCCAAGCGTCTCTCTGAACTTTTGATACCACAAGCTGAAGGGCAGGAGAGAGTGCCGTCTCTAGGCACTCCGGAGATCTGGGGCAGTGGCCTGGAAACATGGTGCCTGCCTGCCTTTCTCTCTGCTTTTCCCTCAGAGACCTGGACTGTCTCCTCCATCCCACATCCTGGGATGGTATCTTCCACCTTGAATCCTAGGGTAGGGTTATGGGGTCCCTGGTTCAGCAAAGCTAAGAACACTGATGAAGGTGGCTATCCTAAACAACACATTTTCAATGTAGACAAAACAACTTTCCACTGGAAGAAGAGGCCATCTAAGACTTTCGTAGCTGGAGAGAAGCCACTGTTTGGCTTCAGAGTTTCAAAGGGTGGGAGGATCACTTGAGCCCAGGAGTTTGAGACCAGCCTGGGCAACATGGCAAGACCCTGACTCTACAGAAAAATACAAAAATTAGCCACGTGTGGCAGTGTGTACCTGTAGTCTCAGCTACTCGAGTGGCTAAGGCGGGAGAATCACTTGAACCCAGGAGGTCGAGGCTGCAGTGAGCTGCGACTGCCACTGCACGCCAGCCTGGGAGACAAAGTGAGATCCTGTCTCTTAAAAAACAAAAAAGAAAGGGCCAGACACGGTGGCTCACGCCTGAAATCCCAGCACTTTGGGAGGCTGAGGTGGGCAGATCACGAGGTCAGGAGTTCGAGACCATCCTGGCCAAGATGGTGAAACTCCATCTCTACTAAAAATACAAAAATGAGCCCAGGCATGGTGGCGCATGCCTGTAATCTCAGCTACTCGGGAGGCTGAGGCAGGAGAATTGTTTGAACCTGGGAGGTGGAGGTTGCAGTGAGCCGAGATTGTGACAGCCTGGGTGACAGAGCAAGACTCCGTCTCAAAAAAATAAGAAAGAAGTTAGACCAGGCGCAGTGGCTCACGCCTGTAATCCCAGCACTTTGGGAGGCCGAGGTGGGCGGATCACGAGGTCAGGAGATCGAGACCATCCTGGCTAACATGGTGAAACCCCATCTCTACTAAAAATACAAAAAACTAGCCGGGTGAGGTGGCAGGTGCCTGTAGTCCCAGCTACTCGGGAGGCTGAGGCAGGAGAATGGCGTGAACCTGGGAGGCGGAGCTTGCAGTGAGCCGAGATCGCGCCACTGCACTCCAGCCTGGGCGATAGAGCAAGACTCTGTCTCAAAAATAAATAAATAAATACATAAAAATAAAATAAGAAAGAAGTGATATGCTGATGCAGTTGTCACCTCGTCGGATTCTTTTTGTTAGAGATTATTTAAATTAACGCATTTTGGTCAGAGGACTGTCTGTGTGATATTGACCATTTGGGTTGTTCCAAAACTTCTCTGTGGCCTGATGAAGGAGCAGAAGTGTCCCACAGGGCCAAAAAAAAACAAAAAACAAACAAACAAACAAACAAAACATGGGTCAGCCATGAGAGCCTCTGTGTTTGTGTCTCTCTGGCTCCTGGTGTCTGTGAGGTCCATTCTGCAAGCTGGGGCCTGCTGTCCCTGTGGTAGACAGGCATCCTCCCCTCCTGGGCATGCATCTGTGATTCTTTTTTTTGAGACAGAGTTTCACTCTTCTTGCCTAAGCTGGAGTGCAATGGCGTGATCTCAGCTCACCGCAACCTCTGCCTCCCGGGTTCAAGCCGATTCCCCTGCCTCAGCCTGCTGAGTAGCTGGGATTACAGGTGTGCACCACCATGCCCAGCTAATTTTGTATTTTTAGTAGAGACGGGATTTCTCCACGTTGGTCAGGCTGGTCTTGAACTCCCGACCTCAGGTGATTCCCCTGCCTCAGCCTCCCAAAGTGCTGGGATTACAGGCGTGAACCACCACGCCCGGCCACACGCCTGTGATTCTAGTTGGTCAGAGGTTGGTGCCTCCTGCCCTGGGCCCACGTGTCTTTTTATTCTAAGATTGTCCCTCGGAGCCCGCCAGTTGCCGGGTCTCATTTGCTCTTTCTCAGGGGGTCCGAGGGTATCCTCCTGGGTGAGCGTGGCTGGGTCCGGCAGCTCCTGCTGTATTTGGAGAGATTTCCTCGTCTTATTCTGCAGCCTCTACACACTATGCTTTCGCTTATTGGTTTGCCCGGGACGCATTGCGTTTCCTTTGCTGGCCTGGTGAGTGGGGCCTGCACGTCCGCTCTGACCTCGGCTGCCTTGGGGCTCAGACAAGCTCGTCCTGCTCTTCTCAGCGGCATCCATGCCACGTGCTCCCCCGGCCCCCCTCGCCGGCACCTGGCCCGGAGCACCGTGCGTGGAGCTGCACTTTCTCCTCTCCCCTCAGCCCTACGGCCGTGACTGCCACGCACCCCGTCAGATTCTTTTCTCATTTTCTCCTTCCTGACCCCTCCACATGTTCACGCCATGGGGGGCCTGGGGGCCTGAGATGGTTGTTCTCACGATGGCCTCCTGTTTAAGAGAAATCTGGATGGCCAGTGACAAAGACCTAAGTTCGGAGATGAAGCTTTGAGGCTGGGGACGGAGGTCTAAGATCGGGACGGAGGCGTAAGGTCGGGGATGGAGGTCTAAGGTCGGGGACAGAGGGCGAAGGTGGGGACGGAGTTGTAAGGTGGGGAAGGAGGTCTAAGGCCCGCTATTCTTTCCTTCAGAGCAAGACGCAGCTGTCCTCACCTAGCCAGGGCTGCTGCTGAGAAATCGGAGGCCCTTGTGACGCCCCTTTTAGGAGGTTTCTCTCTATCCCAACGTTCCTTCCATTTTCCTCTTGCCTCTGAGGCTTCTGGGTCACGGGGTGGGGTTTTCAGGGTCTCCCCCGTGGCCTCCCTGACCCCTGACCCTTTCTGTGTGAGATCTTCCCCTTCACCCCAACTCCGGGGAACCCGAGTCCGCGGTTCCCGGCCTCCTCTCACCTCCATTCTCCAAAGCACTGGATTTTCTTGTATATTTTTGGTCTCCTTTTCCTTCACAGCCACCAGCAGCAAGGCCCTGGCCTGGCCCCCGGGATGCTGGGCACCCCGCCTGCATCCCTGCACTAGCAGGTCTGGTACTTTTCCTAAACAAACTCTCACCCTTGCTTCCGGCCTGGTCACGCCCCTTGTTCATGTGAAAGTCCACTGGCTCATTGATTGGCTGCCTCCACAGCACCTGCCGCTCAGCCGTGTCTGTGCCTGATGCGGCCCACGCCCCCACTGCACGTTCACGGCTGCCCCGCTGTCTGGCAGGCTACAGGGTCTGTCCTGGGGGCCAGGGCGCCATGGATCCCCCCATATGCATTTGAGGGAGGTGGGCTTCCCAGGTTGCTTTCCTGCAGCCCCAGGGCTTAGAGGACAGTGGCTGGAGGAGGGGCCCGGCGATGTTAGCCTCCAGCTCTTGTCACAACTGGTCACCCAGCCAGGGTTTTCCTCAAAGCCACCATCGACCGCGGCAGTGGCCTGCGGTGAAGGGGTGGATGATGGTCTGCAGACCAGGCCGGGGAGCAGCAAGCGCAGAGCCCACCGCCCACAGCTCCCCCTACCGGGGCCTCACTGGGCGGTTTCTGGAGTCCACACCCCTTCTTGCTTGGGGAGTTTCTCCAGGGCTGATTTTGAGAGTGGGCTGGCAGGTGTGGCCTCTTGGGCAGGAAGAGTTTGCTAACATCTGACGGCCCCTCCCTGGCCAGTGTGCGGTGGAGGAAGGAAGGTAGTTCCGGGAGGTGGAACTGGCGGTCCTGGGGGCCCAGCTGGCTGCACAGCTGGGGGTCGGCAGAGCCTGCGTCAGGGGCTGCGAGGAGGAGTGCTTCTGGGGGTGACAAGGAAGGAGGGAGTGAAAGGCGGGTGCCAGGACGTCAGGAGGGGCCCGGTGTCGCAGCCCACCTGAACACAGGGGACGCTGGGGACGCTGCCCACCACAGCTCTCTGGCTGCAGCGGAGATCACAGCCCCGACGTGGCCCCCACTGCCAGAGACGAGGGAGCTTTCGGAGGCAGCGGGGCATGGGACTGTGCTGGGCTCATGAGCTGTGGGCCCCAAACCAACTGCAGTGGACTGAGAGCCAAGGACGGGCCCGAGTCAGCCAGGATCAGGCACAGACCCCGCCGCAGATCGGGGAGGCTGGGTCTTTCCCAGTTGGTTCGGGGCCCATGGCTCATGAGCCCCACACAGCATTTGAAAGCAGGCATCCGGTACTGAGGAAGGACATCGGGCCAGCAGCCGTGCTTAGGCAGGCGGCCGGAGACGTGGGAGCACTGGACAGGTGTGCAGGGTGTTGGAGAGGCCCGGGAATGTACCTGCTGGAGTAGATACAGGTGCGAGGGGGCCCACCGGGGCTGCAGGAGGCAGGGCCTTCCTGGAAGCTGCCAACCCCCTTCCCACAGGAGGTTCCAGGCCTGGATACTTACTCTCTGGCGGTAACCCCTGGAGCCCACCATCAGCTCATTCCTCCTGGGATCACGGCGGTGTCTGAGCCAGCCCTGGTCACAGCCTGGCCCTTGCTGGAGCCGCTCCTGGCTGCTGGACTGAGTGCTCGAGCTACGGCCTCCAGGTCCTGAGCCCACACCCACGCAGTCAGCCCCGGCGCTATGCCTGTCCTTTCTTGCTTGGCACCACCAAGCCCACCCCTCATGCAACCCAGGAGCTGTGCTCAGGTTCACTTGAAAATGGAGTAGCTGCCCTGGCGTGGCGGTGGCCTCAGTGTCCTCTGCTCAGACTGGGCTCTCGGCCCTTGGCGGTATCTGGTTGCAGGAGGGGATGCAGGATCTGCAAGAGGGCACCGGCAGGGATGGCGAGTGTGGCCCCTCCCATTTCCACCTCTTCACCCCAGGCCCATGCGTTCTACTTACTGGGGAGGAGAGGCTGAGGATGCACTGCTTACGGGTTCAGGGCATAAGCCCTGCCCTGGAGCGCAGTGCCCAGCTCCACAGCCCGTGGTCACCCGGCTGTCCCTGAGCGCGACTCTGCGGGGTGGCTCCACCACCTGAGGGCCGCAGTCCCGGCGCTGCCACGCGGATCACCACGGCGACCACGGGTCCCGTGACACGGGCCTGTCGCACTGCCTTTGCCAAAAGTGGCCCCTCAGGTTCAGCTGTGTCACGTGGCATCCCGCACACGCACATCTCCCAGAGCCCGGGAGGGCATCCCTTCCCTTACCTGCCAAGAAAGAGGAACAGAAGCAGTTTGTGTTTTCCTGGGATGGATAACAATGTGTGTTTACAGCTCATCACGGGGTAGTGGCACCCTCGCACCCTCTGTCACCATGTGGCCCAAGGGCGCCTATCACCTGGCAGGCCACACAGCATCATGGCGACCCACCGTGCCGGGGGTCGTGGCACTGGGACCTGGTGATGCTCCGCATGCCTGTTCAGACACCTCCCACTCCAGAGATGGAGACGGAGCCAGAAAGAAAATGGCACGAAGAACAGCCAACCCAAAGCCATGTGGAGACCAAGGCCAGCATGACCGCAAGAGCCGAGCTAGAGAGGCGGCTCTGACACGCAGGCCCGCGGCGCATGCCAAGCAGCAGGAGCTGCAGGGCCTCCAGCCATCAGTGTGTCCGAGCTGCTTCCTGTCACATTTATCCGGACGCAGCTCAGCCCGACGGAACCATCAGGAACTCAGCGTGTCCTCCAGCGTCGCCCTCAGCCCTCTGAAGCCACACGAGGCCTCCTAGAGTCCATAACCATAGTCACACAACTGGCACCACCTCGGACCACAAACACAGGTGGGCGAAAAGTGAACTGTGCTGTTTTCACAGCTGAGGTCCATTTTTATTTGAGCAACCATGCCTCAGACTCTTGGGCTCAGCCAGCGGGTTCCCTCTCCTCGGGGGTTTGTCTCAGGCGGTGGCTGCTGCGGCATGCAGAGGGCTGGAATGAATCCAGTCCCTGCCCTCCGCCTCTCCCTCCCCGGCGTCTGCTGAGATGCGCTCACCCCCTCCCAGGCCCTGCCCCGATACATCTTTCAGCACACGCTGCCCCAGATCCTGGCAGTGACATTTCTGGGGAACCACTCCCTCCCCACCCTCAGGCCACAGCTCAGCCGGGCTGACCCTGCCCCCCGTTCCAGGCCCCCAAGATGGCTCAGGTGGACCGGTCTCCCGGGGCTGCCGCAAGCAAGCACCACAAAGTGGGGGCTCAAACAACAGAGACGTGTTATCTGGAAATTCTGGAGGCCAGAGCCTGTGAAGAGGGTGTCGGCAGGGCCTGCTCCTCTGAAACTCTGAGCCGACCTCTCCCTGCTCCTTCAGCTTCTGGCTGTTTGCTACCAACCTGTGGCCGTCCTGGGCCTGCGGCGACAGCTCTTTAGCCTCTGCCTCCGTCACCGCGCGTGCCCTGGCGCGTCCTCACAGGGCAGCGCTTTCTTGTAAGGACACCAGTCCATTAGGATTGGGACCCACCCTAGTGACCTCATCTTCACTTGATGACGTTGGCAAGTGCTCTATTTCCAAGTAATGTTGCGTCCACAGGTACTAGGATTAGGACTTCGGCATGTCTTTTTGGGGGACACAGTTCAGCTCAGAACAACAGGCCATCCGATGAGAACTAACGTGCTTTTTCTAGAATTTCGGGAGAGAGGCTCATGGGCTTCCTCTGTCCTGTCGGCTTCGTGCTGGCCTGGCCCTGGATGTCCTGGCCCTCAGGGCTCCCCGGGCTGGAGGCCGCAGCCTGACGCTACGCAACCCCCTGCTCCAGCACCCCGCCCCCACCCTGTCAGTGCTACCAGCTGAGCTGCCTTTTTTATTTTCTGTTTTTAAAGACAGTTTGAGTTGGGTTTCTGGGGACCGGCTGGAGTCTGGGCTCCACCCCTTGCTCCAAGGGGCCGCAGGGCCTTGGACCGGCCGTGTGACCACTTCTCCAGCCCTGCGAGGGGCCCAGGAGCTCTGCCCGACTGGGATGGGGTGCAGGCCCCTCGGGCCCAAGACCCCAACTCTCTGGGCTTTTCTATCACAGAGACACCTGAGCTGGTGGTCAGTGTGGAAACGATTATTCTTGCCATATTTTTTTCCTAGTGAATCTTTAGATCTTGCAAAGAAAAGCCACTTCTTATCTTAACCTATACCCCCACTCCTGCCAGCCGAGGTCTCTGCTGGAGTTGGCTCTCCCTGGGACCCCTCCTCCCCTTGCCAGCCCCTTCCTCCCAGGGGCTTGGAGCCCCCCGAGAGGAGAAGTGCCTCAGTGAGTGCCTGCTGTGCCCATCGGCTCCTTGTCCTGGGCCAGAGGGGAAGCAGGAGTCCCAGCCCCAGGCCCTGTGCCCTGGCACACTCCGGCCCCTAAGCCTCCTGCCTCCGCAGGCCCCCCAGACCCTGGCACTGCTCCAGGCCCCATGAGCACACCCGTGTGCCTGCGGTCCACGGCTGCTGTCAGACACGCACAGCGTGTCCACTGGGAGGTCCCTCGGGCGCCGGCCGGGGCTAGGACTGGGCTGGGCTGCGTCTTCAGTGCTGGCCCTGCCTGTGTTCCCCCTCCCTGCTCGGGTTCATCTGTGCCTGCCCTCAGGCCATGCACACAGGGTCCTCCTGGGCCTGCTTCCCTGCCCCGGTGCTGGGGCTGTGATACCCTGAAGGCAGAAAGCCTCGGGTGCAGGTGGGGCCAGACCTCTGTCCCCAGCCTGGGTCAGGGGCACGAAGCCAGGGGAGGTCTTGGGAGAGGATGTCAGCTTGAATGGGCAAGGAGAGGACAGGGAGAAGGGAGGTCATGGCAGAGAGGCGGCCTGCGTGACCACCCATGGCAGCGTCCAGGCTTGTGTGAAGGTCCCGTGGCAGCACCCAGGACGAGCCCCAAGCTACGGGGCCTCGGGCCCCAGCAAGGCACCTACTTCTGTGTGCAGGCGCAGGCGTGGAGGGCGGGGCCCCTGCTATGATGGCGAAGCCTCGCTGTGGAAAGGGACCCTGTGGTCAGCTGAGCTGCCAGGAGCTGGGTGTGCCCGCAACTCGAAAAGTGGCCGTCAGAGCCCCTGGGGGAGGCGGGGTGGCCGCTGTGCTTTGGGGTCCTGCCTGGCGAGCATTGCTGTTCCTTTCCAGGAGGAGCCAGGTGCAGCCCAGACCCTGCCCCAGGTGCCGCGCAGGAGTGGCTGGAGGCTACCCTGGGCCTCAGCCCTGTGGCCGGCCCTGTGGAGGCTCTGACAGAGACCCCACATGCCCTGCCTGGGCGGGGAGGCGACCCAGGGCGTCAGGAGCCAGGGCGCCTGCCCCTCCTCCCCAGGAGAGAAGAGGAGGGGTCATGAGGCCTGCCTGGTACAGGCCCTGGTGCAGACGTGCCGGCCTCCCTGGCGGCTGTGCTGGGATGCCCACCGTGGATCCTGTGGGGCTCACATGCTTGGCACCTCTGGGCCTGGAGGTGGGGGTACGAGTGGGCAGGGTGGGCCGTCCGAGGGTGTGGGCCAGAGCAGCCCCTCCCGGGAGAGGCGTCCACCACCCATCCACCCACAGCGCGTCTGCGGGCCCGCCCGGCCTGCCTACCCACCCCACCCAGCATCTTCTGATGGAAAGTTCCCCAGGCAACAGCAGCACAAACTCTGTGAGAAAGACATGCCCGGGCAGGGGTGGGCCTGGGCCCCACAGGGACTCCCAGTGTCTGTCCAGACTGCCCGGAGGCTGGGCCCCTGCTCTCTGTCCCCTCTCTTACCCAAGCAGCGGTGGCTCCTGCTGGGCCTGGGGCCCAGCACAGTGGTGGGCACAGGTGGGCTTTGGCCTGTGTGCCCAACACAGCATCCACTCCTCGGTAGAGGCCAGTGTTGGATGAAGGACTCAGCGGGTGGGGGGAGGGTCTGCACTGGCACCTGCGGACACAGCTGACCACCCTGCACCTGCAGGGACCAGGGGCGCCCACTCCTGCGCTGGGGAGTCACCTCTCCCCATTGTCAGGCCTGGGAGAGGGGGGCTCCAGGCTGGGGAGGGGCAGGTTCATTCCAGGCCTGGGTGGGAAAGGCGTGGCCACAGGGTGGAGGTTCCTGGCAGCGAGACCGGCCAGTCTGGGGTGGTGGGAAGTCTTGGGTGGGGGCTGTCGGGTCCCCAGGGGTGGGGCAGCTGGGGAATGGAGAGGCTATCGAGGGTGTAGGTGAGGAGACAGGGATCCTTGAGGTCTGCATGGCTGCAGAGGAGGAGGCGGGAGAGCCCACCTGTAGCTCCTCAGTCCCTGGCCCACAGGAGTGTGATCAGCACCCCCATGTTGCCCGCCCCCAGATCCTCCCAGGGCAGGCCTGGCATCCACCGCCAGCAATCCCTCCCTCTGGCTGCCTGCCCAGCGTGGGGGCTCAGTCCAGTGGGCCAGACGGGCCTTGGGAGCAGTGAGTTCCTCCAACCCTGGCCTATTCACCTCCCCCGAGGTGCAAGAAACTAGGGGGAGGGTGAGAAGCCCCTTCCCAGTCTCTCCTACTTACATGGCTGGGGCCGGGTCCTGGTTTCCCTGGAAACAAGTGGCGGCAGGAGGCAGGGTCAAGAGGAAAACACTGAGGCTGTGGCTCGACTGGCTGCACTGGCCACACTGACAGCTGGATGGGACGGGCCAAGCTGTGGCTGGGAGGGAAGGCTGGGGGCAGGGACGTCAGTAAAGGTGGAGCTGACCCCTGGGCTCTGGGCTCCCTCCGTCCCCCAGGCCTGCTGCAGCAGTGGCCACAGACAGTAAGTCTGAGGATGTGGCCTTAGCCCCAGCCTTGAGCACAGGGCCGAGGGGGCTGGGCGGGCTGGGTGGCCTCTTCCAGATCTGTTTCAGGTCTCCTCGCCCCACAGTGCTCACCACGGGGAAACCCGGCCTCATGGTCGGGCTGCGGGGGGCTGAGGAGGAGCCACACGGGGGCTAGGCCCCAAGTCTGGGGGGTCCCTGCCGCCAGCGGTGTTCTGGGAGCTCCTGGGCCTGGTGGAGCCCCCGTGCCATTGAGGTGACAGACACTGGTGATGGAGATGGCGGTGACAGGCTGTGGAACTGAAGCCTGGTGAGTGAGGGGGGCAGATGGCTCTGGTGAGGCAGGAGCAGCCAGGGTAGGGGGGAGGGCAGCCCCTGGAGCTGTCATTCCTCCTGCAGGCATCCCCAGGGTCCCTGGATGCCCTTCGCAGCTGGCTGGATGGTATGGAGGAGCTCAGGCCTTTCATGGCCTCTGGTCCCTCATGCTGTGGCAGCTGCAGGAACAGGAGGTGCAGGGAGCGGGGGGCAGGGCTGAGTAGTGACACCTTTGGGACACCTCTGAATCGCCTCTGAATCTCAGCTCAAGCCACTGATTCCCAATGATGCCGCTGGGTGTCAGGTCACAGCCGACCCTCCCTGGGGGGCAGACAGATGGCAGACTCTGGTGGAAGATGTGGCTCTTGTCCCCGTGGCTGCTGACCCCTGTGAAGGGCACTGGTGGGAGGGCAGGACAGAGGCCACCAGCCCCCTGCGCTCAGCCCGCCCCCATGTCCCAGCAGCTGCTCCTGTACCTGCTGGGGGCAAGGGTGCCTCTGGTGGAGCAGAGGCTGCAGGAAGCCGGGAGCCCCTCGGAGCCGTGTGCACAGCGGGGTTGCCTGGTGCAGCAGGCAGAGGCCAGGTGAGGCTGTGGGGGCATGAGCGGGGAGGGCACCCGTGCGGGGAGGGCCCTGCGGCTGCCCAGTCTTGGTCCCCAGGTGAGGCTGTGGGGGGCGTGAGTGGGGAGGGCCCTGCGGCTGCCCGGTCTTGGTCCCCAGGTGAGGCTGTGGGGGGCATGAGCGGGGAGGGCACCGTGTGGGGAGGGCCCTGCGGCTGCCCGGTCTTGGTCCCCAGGTGAGGCTGTGGGGGGCGTGAGTGGGGAGGGCCCTGCGGCTGCCCGGTCTTGGTCCCCAGGTGAGGCTGTGGGGGGCGTGAGTGGGGAGGGCACTGCCGGCTGCCCGGTCTTGGTCCCCAGGTGAGGCTGTGGGCGGCATGAGCAGGGAGGGCACCCGTGCGGGGAGGGCCCTGCGGTGCCCGGTCTTGGTCCCCAGGTGAGGCTGTGGGGGGCGTGAGTGGGGAGGGCACCGTGTGGGGAGGGCACCTGTGCGGGGAGGGCACCATGTGGGGAGGGCACCATGTGGGGAGGGCAATGCCGGCTGCCCGGTCTTGGTCCGGAGTTCGGGGGTCCTGGAGCAACTTTTCCTGGCAGCCCACAGCTTCGAAGTGGCCAGGACACTCTCCTGGCTGCGCTGTGGCAGGGCGGCTGGAGCCCGAGGGCCAGGAGGGGCCGTACAGTGCCTGCAGGTAGGAACTGGGCCCAGGGAGAGGCGGCAGGCTGCGCAGGGCTCCATGTCCCCAGCACACATGTGCCCCCAGCCTGTGTCTGCAGCATGTGTGTGACGAGGCTGCCGCGCGGATCCAGGACGTGAAGGTCTTGTAGACAGGCCGGAGGCTGGTGGAGCTGCTCATGGGTAAGGGGCCCTCAGCCTTGTCCCTCAGCCCGGCTGGCTGGACCCCCAAGGAGTCCCGAGTGCTTCCAGAAAAGCCCCTCCCCAGCCCCTCATCCGCCATGCCTTGGGGCGCCATCCTGGTGCTGATGTCTGTGATGTTGCCCCAGGGGGACACGTCCCAGGCCCCCAGTCCAAGGCCCCCTCCCAATGCCCGTGTCCCCGCCCCTGGCCCCTGGCCCCTGGCCCCTGGCCCCTTCCCTGTGGCGTGGCAGGGGATGAAGCTCAGCTGGTGGAGCAGCCGCTGCAGCGGCTCCGGGACTGCATGAGGCTGACCAAGGATGGTGCTGCCTGTGCCCAGCGGGAGCTGCTTTGTGCCCCAAGGATGGGGTCTGCTGAGCCCTCATCCCCAGCAGGCCTGGAGGCCCAGATCACACTGGCAGGAGCAGCCTCTGAACGTCAAGGACTCAAGAACCAGGAGCAGGTGTTTGCGCCCACCTGGCCCACCCCAGAGGAAGGGTTTCCACCTGCCTGTACCCTTTGGGGCGGCTGCAGCTCACAGCCCTGAGCAGCAAGGGTGGCTGGGAGTGCCGAGGGCTTTCAGTCCCCAGGCCAGGCCGCCCAGGACGATGCTGGCTCCCCCCCAGCTGAGGGCCCGGGTGGCCAGTATGGCATGGGAGGCATAAGCCCCCGGCCAGGCAGCGGCACACCCAGTGGTGGCCCCGAGACAGCACTTCCTACCAGGCACCTAGAGATTGCCCGTGTCAGGCTCTGGAGGGGACTGGGGCCAGGTGGGGAGGGTGCCAGGCCCAAGACTGGCACTCAGGTGGCACTGTCTCTCCCCAGCTGTGTTTTAGGCAGAGGAGGAATCCCTGGGGGAACCCTGGTCAGGGCCTCAGCAGCAGGACACGGGGCTGAAGGCCACCTGGGGGCCAGGCCAGCAAGCCTGGTGGGGCTGCGGGAGAGGCTTTGGCCAGAGGGCCGCTGGGCCCCAGCCTTGCAGGTGCCTTGGAGGATTGAGGGAGGGAGGAAGTCACCCCAGAGTCCCTCGGGAGGAGAGATGACCACGGGCAGGCTGGACAACTTGGACGCTCTGGGCTGGAGCTGCTGGGAGGGGCCTAGCCAGAGGACACCCACCCTTTAGGGAGAAGAGGGTATGGCAGGGGAGAAGGAAGGCAGGGACAGGCGGGGTTGAGCAGCGATTTCTGGTGCCGATTTCATGGCTCAGCTCCCATCCTTCTAACAACTGCAATCCCCCATGCATGGCTGTGCTGCTCTCCCATGGGGTCAGAGCTGGAGGTACAGGTGGTCCTGGCTGCCCCCACAGGTGGGTCTAGCCAGCCCAAGGACAGCACCTCTCAGAACAGCACTACCCAGCCTCTAAACTGTGTTGGGGTGGGGCAGAGAGGGCCTGGGTACCTGGGTGTGCCTTCTACCTTTTCAATCAAGTAGAATTCCCAGTTAAGAGCATGGTATTGCTACGTATGACTTCCATTTATGTGGCAACTGGAAAGAATATACATTTGGAGCAAGATAGGAAAAAATTTCACTCTGAGATACAGGTTGGGGCCTCCTTTCCTGTGTTTAATGCAACCTCGAGGCCCAGAGTGGGTTCCGTCCTGGCTGAGCCTTCCTCCCCTCCTCCTCCCCCTTCTCCTCCCCTCCTTCTCCCCTTCCTCCTCCCCCTCCTCCTCCTCTGTCTTCTATAAAATGGGAGAAGCTGGGTTTGCCTCACACCTGGACCCTGCGGCCCCCTCTGCCCTTGCTCTCCCTGGCTTATTTCCCTGGCTTGGGGACTGTTTGAGTTTCCCGGAGCTGCCCTAACCAACCACCACCAATGGGGTGACTCAAACAACAGAAACTATCGACCCTAAGCTCTCCAAGCCAGAGTCTAAAATGGAAATGTGGGCAGGGCTATTTCCCTCAGCGGCTATGAGGTGAGACCCAGCTCCAGGCTTCTCCTCGGCATCTTCTTCCTGTTATCTTCACATCATCTTCCCTTTCTGTGGGTCTTCGTCTGTGTCCGATGCCCCTTTTTGAAAGCACACCAGGCACATGGGATGAGGCCCGCCTACTCCAGCATGACCTCATCCCAACTAACCGCATCTGCAACGACCCTGCTTCCAAAGAAGGTCACATTCCCAGAGGATTTGGAGTCTGGACTTCGACGTAGGAATTTGGGGGATGGAGTTCAAGCCACAGTTGGGAGGAATCCTCTGGCCCTTCCTCTCCTGGCCCTGACCGAGCAGCATGGGGGCCTTTGGCAGGCAGAGGCTGTGCTCCTCGTGCCGGCCGGCTTCCGAGGCCTGGGCAGGAGAAGCTGGGCCAGCCCGTGTCATCACCCTGGCTGACTGGGGATGGGGGATCAGTGAGACGCACAGCGAGGAGGGTGTGGAGAAAGAGAATTTGGGATGTGGGGGGTGGTTCCGTGGGGGACAGAGGCAGCAGGGCTCCAACCCCCACCTCAGCCCTTCCCTGCCCCCGGAGGCAGCTGCATCACTGGGCTCCCCTGATGGCAGGTGTCCCCTGAGAGCCACTGGGAGAGCAGCCCATGTCTTTGCTGTGAGGGCACCCAGCCTGAGAGGAAGGCTCACCCCCAAGGCTGCCCGCCCCCTGTACC
The DNA here is from genome assembly GCF_000001405.40 of Homo sapiens. NCBI lineage: Eukaryota > Metazoa > Chordata > Mammalia > Primates > Hominidae > Homo > Homo sapiens. Next base: position 143,880,911 of record NC_000008.11, on the reverse strand, counting down.
TGGGCCTGCGGTTGGAGCTGCCGGCTGCTATGTCCAGGCCCTTGGTGGAGAGGTCAGCCTGCTGCTCAGCTCTGTCCCACCCGCTCCCGCCGGGCCCTCCATCCTGCCTGCATCTGCCCTGTCTCCTCTCTGGGCCATGTGCCGTGGAGGGGACACCCTGCTCCCAGATGCTTTATGGAGCAATGGCGGGCACTCCCCTTCGAGCTGGGCCATGCCAGGCTCCAAGGGACCAATGGGGATCCTGGCCAAAGGCTCCAACCAGCACGGTGACTCCATGGAGCAGCCCAGGGGCAGCGTGGGCACTGGTCTTGGGGCTCTGGGACCTCCCTCCTTGGACCAGGTCTTCTGAGAGCCTCCCTGACCTGCAGGGGGAAGCTAGGTGCCAGTGCCAGGAGGAGGTGGGTAGAGCCGTGGGCAGTACTGGGCATGGGAGCCCTCTCGCTCACCTCCTGACACCCTCCCTGATGCCCTTCCTTGCTGTGTAGGTGGTATAGGCCCAGGCCTGGGGGCTGGAGGAGTGGCCTGTGGCTCCGGGGACTGCTGGGCTGAAGCACTGGACTGGAGCCCCTGGGGAGGTGGTGGCTCCCAGAAGCCCTGACTGGGAGTGGCCCAGGGACCTGGGGAGTAGGGCAGGCACCCAAGTCTGCCCCCAGAGGTGTCCCCAGAGGTCACTGGGCTGGGGGCCACCACAGGGCAGGGGATCTGGAGTCACAGGAAGACAAAGCCGAGGGAGAGGAGCCAGGGGACAGATGCCAGTGGGTGCAGCAGAGCAGGGCCAGCTCCATGCCACCTGCCTATACCAGGGGGGTGACGGGCAGAAATGGGTGCAGCGGAGCAGGGCCAGCTCCGTGCCACCTGCCTATACTGGAGGGGTGACGGGCAGAAATGGGTGCAGCGGAGCAGGGCCAGCTCTGTGCCACCTGCCTATACCGGAGGGGTGAGGAGCAGACAGGCATGTGGCCCGTCCCTGGGCACACAAGAAGGCTTGGTCTGGCCAGCCTAACACCCCCTTCTTGCAGCGAGGGGCTGGCATACACCCAGGTTTTGTGGCCTGGCAGGGGCGCTGCCTGCAATGGCTCACCGCAGGAAGAAGTGGCTCTGGGGTGTGCTCCAGGCCACAGGCCATAGCCAGCACCACCATGCCTCCCAGCAAGACCACACAGACAGTGTCCAGGCATCCGGTGAGCAGGGCTGGGGATGGATGCGGTTGGCCTGGCAGTGCCTTGGGGAAATGCGGGTTCCACCAGAGCTCCTCTGGGGTCAGGGCCCCGCAGTCGGCAGCAGCCATGCTGTGCGGCCAGTGTGGCAGGTGTGGACAGGGTCCAGGCAGCCTGGGTGAGCAGGTGTGAGTGTGGACCTGGTGGGTGGGTGAGAGCAGAGCCAGGGCAGTGGTCCCAAGCACCCTAACCCCTGAAGGCCTAACCTGTCCCTCCTGCACCTGCGTGGGCGCCTGCAATTACCCTCATGGTGTGCATTGGAGGTGGCTGGCTGGCTCTGGATGATTTTCTGGTCAAGAATGACTCAGGCAGAGGTGGGGGCTGGAGCTTGGGAGAAGGGGGCACTTGTGGGGGTGGGGAGCACCTGAGCCCTCAGGACCTCCAGGACTACGGGACAGAGGAGGAGGGGCCTTGGGGACAGAGGAGGAGGGGCTTTGGGCCCTGTACTTCCGTGGCCCTGCCCACCTGGGATATCGGGGCAGCCAAGGGGAGGGCCCTCCAGAAGATCCATGGAAGGTTCCCGTGCCAGGCTGAGGCTGCCCCCAGGCCAGCCCCCGAGGCTGTGAGCCTCCATGCCCAGTGTCTCTGGCATGCCCCAGCCTTGGAAGGTGGGTGCCAGGATGGGCTTCAGAGAGGGGACCAGGTACTCCCAGGGTGACAGGGAACATTCTCTGTGCCCAGGTGGAGGAGCCAGACCGGGGGGTGAGGCCTGGCACTGCTCCAGGCAGGACATCCCAGCTCTTACAACGTCATGGGGGCAGGGGGGCCTGCCAAGGAGAGCCTTGAAGACCCCTGGACCCAGCAGACACACGACGTGAAGCAGCGTCCCCAGGAAGCTGAGCAGACAAGGTGGGGTCGGGGCTGGAGGCAGGGACACCAGCCCGCACCGCATTAGTGGCTTGTGGGGATAGAAACCGCCGCTCTGGCCGGTCCGCGTTTCACTCCAAACTCCTTTCCCAAAAAAAAAAAGCTGTTCTGAAGGGCACAGGACGCCTCCGCGCCCGCCCTGCGTTCCTTCGCGGTGACTCCCTGCTGGGGACGAGGGGAGGGTCCCGGCTGCCCAGCCGCCGCCCCTTGCCCGGGGTGCAAGCGCCAGGCCCGGGCCGCGCGGGGTTTCCGGCACCTGCCCGCCCCGCCCCGCCCCGCGTCGGGGCCCCGACCTGGGCGCCGCCCTAGACGGGGGCGGGGCCTGTGGGGCTTGAAATGCGGGCGGAGCGGGCGCGCGGAGACACTGCGGACCGAGCGGCGAGCGGGCAGGTGCGGCGGGTGCGGCGGGTGCGGCGGGTGCGGCGGGTGCGGGCAGGTGCGGCGGGTGCGGGCAGGTGCGGCGGGTGCGGGTGCGGGCTCGGGGCCGGGCGGGGCGGCGGCCGCCGAAGGAAACCGGATCCCCGCTGGAGCCGCACGCCGAGGCCAGGGTAGGGGCGCGGCGGCCAGCGGGGTCTTGGGCTCTGGCCGGGCAGGTTTCCCGCCCTGGGCAATTTGAGCTCCGAGTCCGAAGTGGCGCCCCTGAGTCCCGGGCGCCGGTGAAGAGGAGGCGCCGGCCCCGAGCCCTCACGGGAGAGGCGGCCAGGGGCGGGGGTCTCGCAGGCCCAGCGGTTTTCCCTGCAGCGAGGACCGCCCGGGGCACGCTCTGCAGGGTGGGGAACGCCCAGGCCAGGAGGCAGCTAGGCCGACAAATTGAGAGGGGTGACTCCTGGCAACATTGCCGGGAGGGAGGCGTCACGGATCCGGGGAAGCTGCCTGCTGTTGGGTGAGCGGTCCCAGGGGTGGCCACTCCGGGTCAGGTAAGCGGTCACACGGTCGCCTGGAGACCCGTGGGAGGCAGAGGCAGGAAGGGCCCTGTTCATCACTTGGGCCCAGGGCTCTGCTTCCCTGCCCTGGGCCCCCGCTGCACTGTGCCAAGCTTGTTATTGGGGCCACTGATCTCTGATCATGGTGCAGGTTGCAGGTGGGTGGGGTCTTCCCACAAGGGCACACAGCCGGGCAGAAGCTAAGGCTGCTGCCTCCTGTGTGGGCCCAGGCAGCTGCCAGGGTCTGTCCTGACCTGACTCAGGCAGGCGGCTGCAGCCTCCCCAACCTTTGTCCCAGGCTGCGGTGGGGGCCTGCCGGGCAGTCTGGTGACAGACAGTGACCTCACCCAAGAGATGCAGACCCACCCTCCTCAGGAACGGCCCTCCACCACTTGGGGCCTGGGGGCCACCTGAAGTGGGGAATCCACAGGAGGGGCCCTTTGTGCCTCAGGCTCCGGGGAAATCTGCTCGGCCTCCTCCCCACCCCATCACCCTAACCCTGACCCCGTGCTCTCCTAGGCAGCAGCCACCTCCTCCAGATGCCCCCACACTCGAAGCTGCACCCCCTGCCCCCCCTCGCTCCGGACCCTCTGTCCAGCTGCCCTCCCAGGCCCCACATGGAGTCAAGACACCCACTCCCGGGCCTTCCTCCTGCCAAGCCTGGGAAGGGGCAGGGCCCAGGGAAGGGGCAGGGCCCAGAGGGGTTCATACCAGGCCCAAGGTCAGGAAGAGATAGGGAGTGGTGCAGCCAGCCACAGGCCGCATCTCACGCATGGTGCGGGGCATGCACTGGCAGGCACACTCACACACGCAGGGCAAGCCTGCCCCCGACTCCCTGCTCCCAAGCGCCCTGTCTCCAGCCTTCCTCCCTGGATCTCCTCTTTGTTTGGGGAACTTGAGCCACTTGCCTGAGCTTACGAGGCCCGCTTAGCACGCGGCCTGTCTGGGCTGGCGGCCTGTGCGCAGGTCAGGGGCCCGCCCAAGGTGCTGTCCCCACCCTCACTGGCCCTGCCCCGCCCTCGCTGGCCCTGCCCCACCCTGGCCCGCACTGCCCCTCCCCCTTGCTGGGAAATCAGGTGCTCCTCTCATTTCCTCACCGCCATCCCTGGCCGGATGTCAGGGGACAGGGCAGGGCCCTGACCCCCTAGAAGCCCCTCGTCTGGCCTGGATGCCATAGTGAGTGGCTGCCTTAGGCTCACAGATCCTGGAGGGTCCTGGAACGAGGCGTGCTGGAGAGGGCCCAGCCCTAGGGGAGGCAGGTGCCAGTAGAGGTGGACACAAAAGCGCCCAGGCTGGGTTCCCAGAAGCAGAGTCTGTCTGAGGCAGGGGTAACCGGGAGTGGTCTCAGGATGGCCTCAGGAAGGGAAGGGAGGAGGAAGCAGGTGGACGAAGGAGAAGCTGGCCTGTCCTGCCGTCTCATGTACCCCCCAGAAGCAGATCTGGACAGCCCCGTAGCCACCCCGGTCAGGCTGTGCCCTTGAGCCTGGCCTCTTCCTGGGGAAGTGCAGAAACAAGTTTTGCAGGGTGGACCTGGCCCCTGGGGCTGCCTCCCCGTCCTCCAGACTGGATGCCCTCAACCCGGGCGCGCCTGCTGGCTCAGGGCTTGTCAGGTGTGACCAGGTCCTCTTCCCTGAGGGTCCCCTCTAGGGCTGGGGGTGATGTTCTATTTACCATGAGAACCAGGCAGGGCACACCAGGTCCCTGCACCCTGTCTGCCCCTGTGGTGCCGCCTCCTGGTGCTCAGGCCTGTCCCCTGCCAGATGGGAGCCTCCTCCTGGCTGCTTGCTCCTGGGACATGATGGGCCTGGGAGCAGCATAGCCTTTGGCTTGGTGACACTAGCTGTGTCCCCTGGCAGAAGTGTTCCTACTCCAGGGACCAGGACATCTAAGCCCACCCGCCCCAGAGCTGTGGGGTCGAGGAGCCCAAGCTCCATCATAGGTCAGTGGGGGGTGGGGGGTGGGGGCCACTGTGCCAGGCCTTGGTTCCTGGGCCCCTGTGACCCACCTCCTGGGACACACGCACATGGGAAGCCACGTTCTGGAGTGGTATAGCCGACTTCCTGGAGAATGGTGCCCTAGCCTGCAAGGCGTCACTGGGGAGCTGGCACCCCGGCTGTGCCTTCAGGAAGTGATTCCTACATCCTGTCAGGCCAGCAGCTTTTGGCTGGGGCAGACTGTGATGTGGCCAGCGGGCCCGTGGCCCATTGCACCACGAAGACAAGCGCCCAGGCATCCCTGTGGCGCACCGGCCAGCTGGCCAGACGTCTGCAGCCTCTTGTGAGCTTTCTCCAATGCTGGTCGTTTACCAGCAGCCCTACTCCATGGTCCTCTGAATCCTCCACGTCTTCCCAGCCACCTGACACTGTGTCCTGAGCACGGTCCCTCGGGACAGCTGAGCTGCAATGCTGCTTCCTGGAGCCCTGGCTCTCTGCACTCGGCCAGTGAGGTGATGGTGAGCCCTCCTGGTCCCAGCTCCGTGTCTGAGGCTCTGAGCAGCCTGTCAGCAGCAGGATGCCTGGAGGAGGCCCGGGACCAGTATCTGCAGAAGGGAAGGGAGAGGGCCAGGGTTTTGCCAAGGTGGGTAGGTGGGCTGCAGTCTTAACAGGTGGTCCTGAGGGGCATCTACGAGCCTCGACAGCCCTCAGAGTTGCCCCTGGAGCATGCCCTTCGTGAGACCAGACATGGGGAGAGGGGATGGGGAGGACCCAGTGCCTTCTAGGGTTAGGCTCTGCATGTTCCAGAGCATGAGCAGCATGGGGTGCCTGTGAGACCTCCAGGAGGCAGCTGGGCACATGGTTTTGGGACCCAGGACAGGCTGGGCTCCTGCTGCAGATTTGGGGAGCTGAGGGTAGGTGGGAGGAGGTCTCAGAGTTAATGGGTGAACGAAGATGGAGCGGAACCCTGTCACTGGAGAGGGGAGCCCCCATAGCCCATGTGGTGGAGGTGGGTGGGGGCCAGCTCCAAAATGCATTTGTCGAGTTTGGCAGCCGGGGGTGGTGGCTGCCTCAAGAGCGGTGGAGTGGGGGTGGGGGTCAAACGTGGGATCCGACCCTTCTCCTGAGACCTTGTGTAGAGGTAGGGAAAGGTTGTCATGGACAGGCTGCTGAGCAGAGGGAGGTTCCAGCTGGAATGAGGGGGAGAATCAAGAGAGGGACTGGGGCCCGTAGTGCTGAGAAAACGGGGAGCAGACCCTGCTCCTGGGTGGGTGGGCACAGGGGTGCAGAACACTGACCAGGGGCCTAAAGAGCAGGAAATTGCTCTCACAGCTCTAGAGGCCAGAAGCCGGAAGGCGAGGAGTGGGCAGGGCCGCACTTCCTCCGGAGCTCGAGGGGAGGATCCTGCCTGCCTTTTCCAGCTTCTGGGGCCCCAGGCGTCCTGGGAATTCCTTGGCTTATAGATCCAATCTCTGCCTCTGTCGTCACACGGCCGCCCTCTCCCTGTGTGTCTTCTTATAAGGACACTAGTTATGTTGGATAACAGCCAATCCTAGCCCGGTATGACCTCACCTTAACTGGGTGATATCTGCAAAGATCCTATTTCCAAATAAGGTCACATTCACAGGGACTGTAGATTAGGACTTAGACATACGTTTTTAGGGACATAATTCAATCTGGTGCAGAAGGGGACAGGCCTGGGTGGAGGCAGTTGACGTGCAGGAGTGGTGGGGATGGAGGTGAGGCACCTGCTGCTCTGCTCAGGGCCAGTCGTACAGCTGTGTGTGGAAGGGGTTGGCGCAGGGCATGCCGGGGCTGCAGCCGGAGGACCAGGGCCCATGGGGGAGAGACAGCCTTGCCTGGCCTGCACCCGGCTCCTGGCAGGACTGCCACACGTCTGCTGAGCCTGCGGCCCCCGGGGCAGGGTGTGGGCTCAGAGGGGCAATAGCCCAGAGGCCGTGGTGCTCGCAGATGTGAGATCCAGGACAGGCAGAGGAGGATGCAGGGCCAGGCTGAGGCAGGAGACCAGGGCTTCAGAGGGCTGGGGTCTTGCTGGAGCCTGGTGGATGGCTGTGGAGGGAGGGCGGGACCTCAGGAGCCAGCAGGAGGTGGCAGAGGCTTCTCTGGAGTGACAGGTCCAGGTGGGGTGGGAGGTTTCAAGAGATCACTGGAGCTGGGGTGGGGCAGGGCATGGGGCAGAGCCTTTGGAGAACAAAAGGTGGGGAGATGCCGGTGCCCAGGCTGAGGGGCGGGCCCTGTGGGTGGAGCCACAGCCCTTTTGGAGCAGGGCTGGGCCCCTCGGGCAGGGCTAAGGATGGGACCAGGGTGCCCAGGAAGGACTCGAGGACACAGGACCCTGGGCTGGCGGGAGGGCGTTGGCCTGGGGTGGAGGTGGAAGGACAGCCTGCGGGAGGGACAGCCCTGGAGTCCCGAGAGGCCTCCCGGCGCCGCCTGGGTGCCTGCGCCCACATGGTCCCTCTGAGCTGGCACTTCCCTTGGCACCCCCGCGGCAGAGTGCTCCTGGGCAGACTCAGCTCCTCGGGGACACTCTAGCTGCACGTCTGTGGGTGGAGCCCAGCCCGGGACAGCATGGGATTGCCCCATGACCGCATCTTCCCTCGTGCCCACCAGGCCATGCGGGGTCCCTGATTGAGCCTTTCTGTCCCCTGCAGGACAGAGGTGGACCTCAGCAGGCTCTGCATAACCAGCCGTGTGTGATGAGTGGCCACACCTTGCCTCCTCTTCCCGTCCCAGGCACCAACAGCACAGAGCAGGCCAGTGTACCCAGAGCCATGGCAGCCACGCTGGGAGCCGGCACGCCCCCCAGGCCCCAGGCCAGGAGCATAGCTGGGGTGTATGTGGAGGCCTCGGGCCAGGCCCAGAGTGTCTACGCCGCCATGGAGCAGGGCCTCCTGCCTGCTGGGCTCGGGCAGGCTCTGCTAGAGGCCCAGGCAGCCACTGGGGGCCTGGTGGACCTCGCCCGGGGCCAGCTGCTCCCTGTGTCCAAGGCCCTGCAGCAGGGTCTGGTGGGGCTGGAGCTGAAGGAGAAGCTGCTGGCCGCTGAGCGTGCCACTACGGGCTATCCTGACCCCTACGGCGGTGAGAAGCTGGCCCTCTTTCAGGCCATCGGGAAGGAGGTTGTGGACAGGGCCCTGGGGCAGAGCTGGCTGGAGGTCCAACTGGCCACTGGGGGCCTGGTGGACCCCGCCCAGGGAGTGCTCGTGGCCCCTGAGCCAGCCTGCCACCAGGGCCTCCTGGACCGGGAGACATGGCACAAGCTGTCAGAGCTTGAGCCTGGCACAGGTGACCTGCGCTTCCTCGACCCCAACACGCTGGAGCGGCTGACATACCACCAGCTGCTGGAAAGGTGTGTGCGTGCCCCCGGCTCGGGGCTAGCCTTGCTGCCCCTCAAGATCACCTTCCGCTCCATGGGCGGGGCGGTGAGTGCAGCTGAGCTGCTGGAGGTGGGCATCCTGGACGAGCAGGCTGTGCAGGGTCTGCGGGAGGGCAGGCTGGCCGCAGTGGACGTGAGTGCACGTGCCGAGGTGCGGCGCTACCTGGAGGGTACCGGCAGCGTGGCCGGGGTTGTCCTGCTGCCCGAAGGCCACAAGAAGAGCTTTTTCCAGGCTGCCACCGAGCACCTGCTCCCAATGGGCACCGCGCTGCCACTCCTAGAGGCCCAGGCTGCCACCCACACCCTGGTGGACCCCATCACAGGCCAGCGGCTGTGGGTAGACGAGGCAGTCAGGGCGGGCCTGGTCAGCCCAGAGCTCCATGAGCAGCTCCTGGTGGCCGAGCAGGCCGTGACAGGGCACCACGACCCCTTCAGTGGCTCCCAAATCCCCCTTTTCCAGGCCATGAAGAAGGGGCTAGTGGACAGGCCACTGGCACTGCGGCTCTTGGATGCCCAGCTGGCCACAGGCGGGCTGGTCTGTCCAGCACGCAGGCTCCGGCTGCCCCTGGAGGCCGCCCTGCGCTGCGGCTGCCTGGATGAAGACACTCAGCGGCAGCTCTCGCAGGCTGGCAGCTTCTCAGACGGCACGCACGGCGGCCTGCGCTATGAACAGCTGCTGGCCCTCTGTGTCACCGACCCAGAGACCGGGCTTGCCTTCCTGCCACTCTCAGGGGGACCCCGGGGAGGGGAGCCCCAGGGACCCCCATTCATCAAGTACAGCACTCGGCAGGCCCTGAGCACGGCCACAGCCACCGTCTCTGTGGGGAAGTTCCGGGGCCGGCCCGTGTCCCTCTGGGAGCTGCTCTTCTCTGAGGCCATCTCCTCAGAGCAGAGGGCGATGCTGGCCCAGCAGTACCAGGAAGGGACCCTCTCCGTGGAGAAGCTGGCCGCTAAGCTGAGCGCCACCCTCGAGCAGGCTGCAGCCACTGCCAGGGTCACCTTTTCTGGGCTGAGGGACACCGTGACACCAGGAGAGCTGCTGAAAGCCGAGATCATCGACCAGGACCTGTACGAGCGGCTGGAGCATGGACAGGCCACAGCCAAGGATGTGGGCAGCCTGGCCTCGGTGCAGAGGTACCTGCAGGGTACGGGCTGCATTGCTGGCCTGCTGCTCCCTGGCTCCCAGGAACGCCTGAGCATCTATGAGGCCCGATGCAAGGGGCTCCTCCGGCCCGGCACTGCCCTCATCCTTCTGGAGGCACAAGCTGCCACAGGCTTCATCATCGACCCAAAAGCAAACAAGGGGCACTCCGTTGAGGAGGCACTGAGGGCTGCTGTCATTGGGCCTGATGTGTTCGCGAAGCTGCTGTCGGCTGAGCGCGCTGTCACTGGCTACACTGACCCCTACACCGGGCAGCAGATCTCCCTCTTCCAGGCCATGCAGAAGGGCCTCATCGTCCGGGAGCACGGCATCCGCCTGCTGGAGGCCCAGATCGCCACGGGCGGCGTCATCGACCCCGTGCACAGCCACCGCGTGCCCGTGGACGTGGCCTACCGGCGCGGCTACTTCGATCAGATGCTGAACTTGATCCTGTTGGACCCTTCTGACGACACCAAGGGCTTCTTCGACCCCAACACGCACGAGAACCTCACGTACCTGCAGCTTCTGGAGCGCTGTGTGCGTGACCCCGAGACGGGCCTGTACCTCCTGCCACTCAGCAGCACGCAGTCCCCGCTGGTGGACAGTGCCACCCAGCAGGCCTTCCAGAACCTGCTGCTCTCCGTGAAGTATGGACGGTTTCAGGGGCAGAGGGTCTCCGCGTGGGAGCTGATCAACTCTGAGTACTTCAGCGAGGGCCGCAGGAGGCAGCTGCTGCGTCGCTACCGGCAGCGCGAGGTCACGCTGGGGCAGGTGGCAAAGCTGCTGGAGGCGGAGACGCAGAGACAGGCGGACATCATGCTGCCCGCACTGCGGAGCCGGGTCACCGTCCACCAGCTCCTGGAGGCCGGTATCATTGACCAGCAGCTGTTGGACCAAGTGCTGGCCGGGACAATCAGCCCGGAGGCCCTCCTACTCATGGACGGCGTCCGCAGGTACCTGTGCGGCCTGGGAGCTGTGGGCGGTGTGCGGCTGCTGCCCTCTGGCCAGCGGCTCAGCCTCTACCAGGCCATGAGGCAGAAGCTGCTGGGGCCCAGGGTGGCCCTGGCCCTGCTGGAGGCCCAGGCGGCCACCGGAACCATCATGGACCCTC